>NW_025791755.1:0-335159 GCF_000001405.40 Homo sapiens
CACTGTGAGTCCAACATGGTTCTCCAAACTTACACATTATCTCATCAACCTACACAGTGGCACTTTGTTAGAATAATCATCTTTAGCATGTATATGAGAAACAGGAGGCAATAGGAATAAATTTGTTAGAAGTTGAATAAAACCAAAATTTAATTTTACTCCAAATCTCCTTCTTTAGAGAATGCAATTTATTGGTTACATCCTGAAATATATATATATACACACACATCTTATATATGCAAAATATTATGCATAACATTACATATATAACTATATTGCATATGTTTATATACATATTTACATACTCTATATTTACATATGTAATATGTATATGTAGATATATGTAATATTTATGTATTTAAGTACTTACATATATAAATATGTGCAAATACATATTAGGTATTACATATATAGGATGTATATATATTATATCACAGAATGAAACCAATAAATTGCATTCTCTAAAGAAGGAGATTTGGAGTAAATTTAAATTTTGGTTTTATTCAACTTTAACAAATGTATTCCTATTACCTCCTGTTTCCCATATGCATGCTAAAGACGATTGTTCTAACAATGTGCTACCATGTGGGTATGTAAATGTAGATATGTACATATATACATATAAAACATATAATATTACATATTAATATGTAGTAGAATTATATATGTGTATATGTATATTAGATTATATATAATTATCTATGTTCTCTAAAGTCCACTGATACTCAATGTCATGACTCAGGGTATCAGTAGAATTTAGAGATGAGGACATAAAAATGTGTTAGGAGAGAAACAACCTCACAAGGGGAAGACAGAAGGGAAGACACAAGGGAAAGACAAAGCACCTATTTATAGTTTCTTCCTGTGGCTTGGAAATTTTCACCACGTGGTGGCCTAAGTTTAGGAAGACTACTTTACATGATCGCTAAAAGTTTTAGGAATTGCTGTTCTAGTGAGTGAAGCAGAAGTTGCTTCATCTTTATAACCTAGTCTTGGAAGTTACAAAGTATATTGTATTGGCTCAAACAGTCACAAAAACCTGACTAGTTTTAAGGAGACAGGTCATAAAATGATGAAGATTTTTATAATCTTTAGAAACATCAAAGTGCCTCAAAACCCAAAATAGGTAAAAATAGATTTAGACATAAAACAATAAGCAAAATACTACATTTAAAATGTCACTTTTGAGAGATAATATCATACTATTTGATATATATCAGGAGCCAAAAACATAAATTTGAATTTTAAGGATCCATGTCCATCAGTGCAAATTATCATAGTACTAGGCAAAAAGAGGAATTTCATATGGCTTTCTTAGCATAAAATGAAAATAACTTGGTAATATTCTATATATATATATATATTATAATAAGTCATAGAACACTAGACAAAGAATGGAAATAAAGTCCGGTGATGCTTAACAATGGGATATATTTGAGAAATGCATTGTTAGATAATTAAGTCATTGTGTGAGCATCATAGAATGTACTTACACACACCTAGATGACATAGCCTACTACACATCTAGGCTATATGGTATGGCCTAGTATTCCTAGGCTACAAACCTGTGCAGAATGTTCCTATACTGAATATTGTACATAATTATAAAACCACTGTAAATATATATATATATATATATATATATATACACACACATACCTAAACATAGAAAAGGTACAAGAAAAATATGGTATAAATGACATAAAATGATGTGTATACCTGTGTAGGGCAGCTCCATTATATTCTTATGGGGCCACTTCGTACATGTGGTCCATTCTGGACAGAAATGTTCTTATGCAGTGCATGCATGTACTTAAGGTACCAAAGTTTACATAAAGATTGATACATTTATTTTACAATTAGAATTAAGATGGGAATGATCACTATGACCACAATTGCTTAAAATTTTGATGAATGTCTTTTAGAGAAAAACACTAAATTAACAGATACTCTATTAAACCAAGAAGATAGTTTATCAAGACCAGTCTATAAAATTATGTAACATTTTTTCTATGCCAGCGATAATGATTTGAGAAACATATAATAGAGTACTTGATAACAAAAACAAGTGTATAATATATAAAAATTAATATAACATAGAATGCAAAAATCTGCCTCAATAGATACAATTTAAAAGTGTAATAAAAGACTTACTAGAATATTGGAAAAAGTAGGCATTCTGTATTCAAGGATGGGATCACAATATAACCTTGTAAATTCCACTCAATACAAATTTCTAAATATTTATTTTAAAGACCTAATACAGCTTACTACATTATTCCTTATTATAAATTAACTAAGAGATAATAAATGTCCAAAATAACTTAGTAAATGTTGAAAAGTAAAGAACAAAGATGAGTAGTTTTCCTAATACCTATTGCTATATAACATAAAGTCATATTTATAACATCATCCTGATACATCGTAATATACACATCTCTATAATCAAATATAGAGAAACAGTTGGGACACTATTGCTCTCAAAAGTCAACTTACAATATATGAAACAGTATCTAATAAAGGAGAAATTTTATATTGAAAGAACAAAACATGCTATTACTCGATGTAGGAAAAACTTGCTCAACAACTAAAGAAAAAAATTATATTTCTATTTAAAAATATATAGAAACTAGACTTCAGATTAAGACTTAAATACATAACGTAATGCTATAGAGTTACTTGAACGTAATAGAAAATAATCTCTTTCTCATAAAGTGGAAGGGACACATAACTTCAACAGCAAAAGATTAATGAAATATATTTAATTACATAAAAATTAATAATATTTATCTAGTGAATGACATCATGGGCAAACAACATACTAATACAAATTGAAAGAAGATAATTTGCATCTCAGAGACAAATAAGCCAATAAAACCTAAAATATTCAATGTATTCCTACACATCTTAGGATGCCCATTTTAATTAGTAATCAGATAATTACTTAATCAGAGAATTAATTACTTAATCAGAGAATTACTTAAGATGCCCAGTTTAATTTGTAATCAGAGAAAGGGCAATTAAACAAAATAAAATATTACTTTAGATCCAATAAATTAGCAACATTTCAGGAGCTGAATAATGCTAAATGGTGCAAAAGATGTGAATGAATAAGAACGCTTGGAACTACATTTGAAAACATGATCTGATGTTGGTATCTTTCTTTTTTTTTTTTTTATTTTGAGAAAGTCTCACTCTGTCATCCAGGCTGGAGTGCAGTGGCACAATCTTAGCTCACTGCAACCTCCGCCCTCTGGGTTCAAGCGATTCTCCTGCCTCAGCTTCCCAAGTAGCGAGGATTACAGGTTCATGCTACCATGCCCAGCTAATTTTTGTATTTTTAGTAGAGACAGGGTTTCGTGGTGTTGATATCTTGAAGAGCAATCTGCTGGTGTCTAGGAAATTTATATTTTCATATCAATTAGAAGTCAGCAATTCTGCCTAAGCCCATTTATACCAAACAAATTCTCAGAAAGGTCCAGAATAAAGAAAATAATCCAAACAAGTTAAATATTATTTTTAGTTATAAATAAGTTATCAATAATAACATGGAATTAAAGCACAAAATTGTGATTTTTTAAAAACAAAGCCAAGATTTAAGTAGCTTACGATGGAAAATAAAGCATAAAGAATGCTTAATGCATTTTTTTTTGACATGGGGTCTGGCTCTGTCACTCAGCCTGGAGTGCAGTGGTGAGATTATAGCTCATGGCAGCCTAGAACTCCTCAGCTCAGTCTCCTGAGTAGCAAGGACTGCAAGTATGCGCCACCACACCCAACACATTTTTAAATTTTTTTTGTAGAGATGGGGTCTTGTTATGTTGCCCAGCCTGGTCTCAAATTCCTGGACTCAAGTGATTCTCCCACCTCAGCCTCCCCAAATAGTAAGATTATAGATATAAGCCACTGTGCCCAGCCTGGAATGCTTAATACTGTAAAAGCAAATAAAATAATGACACAAGATAACACATCTTCAGTAACATCAAGATTTGTTTATAAGCTACAGAAATAAAAACCAGGTAGGGGGTTGGGGGAAAGAGGAGGGAAAGCATTAGGACAAATACCTAATGCATGCGGGAGTTAAAACCTAGATGATGGGTTGATGGGTGCAGCAAACCACCATGGCACACTTTTGCCTATGCAACAAACCCACACATCCTGCACATATATCCCAGGACTTAAAATACAATAAAATTTAATAAAGTAGAAAAAATTATTAATATATACACATGAAATATAAATATATATGCACATACACATGTGGAAATAGAAAAAATGCGCACAGGATTTGACAGATATTTCACAAAGCAACAGTTAAACACATCAAAAGTCATGTAAACATTAGTAATCAAAAAGGCACATTGAACAATGATGCACCTATCAAATTGACTAAGACGGAAAAGTGCATAGAATTCAGTCCTGGTACATGTAAAGTTTATTGCTGTGATGCTGTAACACAAGTTGAAAACATTTTTGGACAGGGAATTTAGTTTATGGATATTAAGAAATTTGAAAACTTTGTATCTTCTTGCAAATCACTTTAGGAAAAAACACACTTAGAGAATGCTATCTGGGAAAGGTGGCGGGGGAGAGTATACGGAAATGTTGGTCAAAGAGTTAAAAGTTGCAGTTGTGTAGGATAAATAAGTCTAGAGATCTAATGTATAGCTTGATGACTATAGCTAATAATATTGTATTGTACACTGGGAAGTAGCCAAGAGAGTAGGTTTCAGGTGCTCTTAGCACATGTAGACACACACACACACACACACACACAAAGTAAAGATGGACATGCTTATTTTCTTGACTGTAGTAATAGTAATAATTTCACTATGTATATAAAAATATGTTGCATACCTTAAATATATACAATAAAAAGAGAATCCTTTGTACATAAGCTATTAAAAATGTCAAACAATTTATCACTTAGAAATTTGAACACAACCTAAATAACCACTATTTGGATTTTAATTGTGGTATAATTAATTTGATAGGATATCAATGTCTAGTCACATATATACACTTAACCTATTTTAAATAGAATAGATTTAATGTACAAAAGTGGTTACAGGGTGGCACAAAGGGCTGGAGGGAAGGCTGATGCAGCAAGGAGCCGAGTGTTATCACTCACAGACCAGGAGTTGTCACCAGTGGCGCCTCATATGCTCCTCAGTGCTGAGCTGATGGAGACCGCACGCCCAGGGCTGCTTGTGTGACTTTCCCATGCTGATATGCGGCAACTTAGATGCCCTGCATCCCCACAAATGCAGCTGAAACTGACTGTAAGCCCACAACTCCCTCAGGACCCCTGCTGCCTGCAGTTGCTGCTGCTGCCGCCACAGATCATCACCAGAAGCAGGAAATAAGACACAGTTTCCTTCTTTCTCCTGCTCTCCAGTGTTCCACCAGGGCCTGCCCTCTCATAGCCTTACAGGAAACCAGGTAGCACAGGAGTCAGGACAAGCTCTCTGCGGGCTGAAGCCCTAGAAGTCAGCGGAGACACCAGCCCTAAAGTGTGGGCCCAACAAACAGAAGACAGACACCATCTGGACAAACGTTTTCATGAAAAGACTTCCGTGACATGGTAACATGATCAACATCATTCTAGAACACACGCACAGAAAACGGTTCAGAAATACTTGTCTGCAAGATCCAAGAGGGTGGAGTTGCTTCCACCTAGTTACCTATTTTATTCCAACTGTCTGCTACATGGTGTACACTTCATAAATATTCATAGTATGAAGTCAAGACATGAATTTTAAAGTTTTGTTTCTATCTGAACTATTACATTATGGTTGATTTTTAAATTTTATTTGTACTAGACTGTGATTTTAGATTTTTTAGTCATATCAATATTTAAAATAAAAACAAACTTTAAAATTAAATGCATCACTAAAGTAACAGAGCTTGCAGGTGAATAACAGAAGAAAGAACATAACAAGCTAATGAAGAGTGATAGCAATGAAGATGTGAAAAAGACAACCTCAATTTTAGTATGGAGTTCATTACTGATCAGCGATACTCTCTTTGACACATCAACTGAACTCTGAGTTTCAAAGCCTATATTTGTGAAAGATTGGAACACAAATAGCAATATTTTATAAAAATTTCCTAAAGTTTAAAGGAGGAGGCACATACACATGAAAATATTGTGTAAAACACAAAAGGCCATATATAACTAACTCATATATCATAGGTAAAAATTCATTAGTAATGGCTAACTTTGAGATTATTGTTAATATTTGTTGAGATTTTCAGTTTAACAATAAAAGAAGATTAAATAACAACAACAAAACAGCTGGGCACAGTGGTGTGTGTCTGTAGTACCAGCTATTCAGGAGAGTGATGTGGAGGGGGTTCACTTGAGGCCAGGAGGTCGAGGCCTTTGTGCACTGTGATCTCACCTGTAAAAATCTACTGCACTCCAGCCTGGGCAACATAGTAAGATTCTGTCGCTTAAAAAAAAATGAGAAGAAAATCAGAAAAGGGCAACAGAGATATCTATTAGCTTCTTTAGCTCCTTTATTTGCATTCGTCTTCAAAACCCCAGAGAGGACTTATTAACAGAAAACTTTTATCTACACCCCTAATGGACACAGTGAAGCCAGGGATGATGTCACTTTTGTTTTTCTTTGCACACTTAAGCCAGCCACACACCATGAGCCCCTCCAAATGAGGGTCAAGACATCATCTGATGGTGAGTTACACCAGATAGGTAGACAGTATTGCAGGAACAAAAGATGGTCACGGTTCTTGACTTGTTCTGCTTTTGAAACATTTCTATTAGTTCTTGACTGTATTTCCTCATTTCCCTCTATCATCTATTTTTATGGAGAAAAGCCAATCTGTTTTATTTTTCCTTTGAGTCTCATTTTATATAATACTTATTTACTGCAACATATTAGTAAACGGGTTTTTCATTTCCAAAGTATTTATGGACAAAATCATATATATTCTTCCTCTGTTATTGAATGATACATTTGTTTTAGTGGGATGAAAATTTTGCAGAGGAAAAACAACTAATTTTTCTTTGAATGGAAATTAGGTCTTAGAGTTAGAAAACACTAGCAACAAATGTTTCAATCATATTTATGTTTCCCTGGTGAAACCAATAGTGAGTTATCTAAAACCCAAATTTTAGTCTACGGAAGCAGGACTGTGTCCCCAAGAGAACTGAGGTAAGTGACATGCTCTGGGTCCCGCACCTGCACCGATGTACTTACTCCATGGGGTTAGCTGTGTGATGTTAGATAGATACCCCAGAACTTGAACTTTTAAATCTGTAAATGGTGAAATTAGATTATATACCTCATAGGTTCTTGAGGAAAATTAAATGTGGTAAACTGGCATTAAGAACAATTCCTAGGATACTGTAAGCTTCACATAAATGCTCAATATTGCCCTACCACCACTATTAATTATTCCCTGGGTTAAACATGCATTGTGCTGTTTGGAAACTCAAGCAATGTGATCAAGAAAAATAAAAGAAAGAAAAAGTCCAGTTGTGCTGCATGCTGCAGTCACAGTTTTCCCTCACTGATCTGGTGTCCCAGGTCAGCTGTTCAGCGTGGCTTAATGACAGGGACTTCCATTTACAAAAGTGCAGCAGAGATTTGCCCAGCATCCACCTCCCATCCCGCACTGCCCTCTTGGTCTCCCTCCATTCACTTAGCAAACAGCTGCCCAGTCTCCGCATCTAATTATTATTCTCCAAAACTTGAAAATATTAATAAGTCTAATTAGAATTATTAAAAGAATTCAAAATGTATTTGAAACTTGGAAATTCTTCCTGAAATATGACTGTATGATAACCACTGCTAAAGTCTTCCCTGAAAAAGGACCCTATATTTTCTTCCTATTGATAAATACTAAAATTTAACAACATGTCAGAAATCGAAAAGTTGCAAAGTTTTAATCTTCTTAAGAGAAAATGTAGGAGTTATCAGTGATTCTCTTCAGAAAGGTTAAATGTATTTTGCTTCTATTAGCCTTGTTAATGTAGCTCATAGCTATTCTAATCTGAAGTTGTACTTTAAATCATGTTTATATGTTTTTTCCTGAATAGACTGACTGTGACCTCCTCAAGCTTAATCAAATATAATTTGTCTTTGATTCCTGCACTAGCTAACACAGAGTCAGGCTGTGAGTAGCAAGATAGAGGAAGGAATTTAATTGAAGTGAGAGACATCTTAGTGTTTTATTTTCTTTTCTGCCTCACAGTTTCCGTGAAAAAATTCACTGTAGCAGGCAATAAAGCAGATATTTGCAAAAACACCAAAAGCCTTACCTGGTAAATAGCAGGGAGTTTCTAAATCCCAGTTATGCCCCCCTGAGATTTAATGCGAATGACAGGAGCTTTAAGGAGTTAAGCTTGGAGAAGCATGCACTAGTCACAAAGAAGGTGGATTCTGCATAAATCTCTGCTCAACATGAAAATAAGAGACATACCTTACATTAATATATGCATTTCTATTTGTAAATATGCATATACAATGTATTCTTATATTTGTAAATCTGCACATATATAAAAATGCATATCTATAAATTTATATAAAATAAATGTAAACTGTATACATACAAGTTGTCTGGGACTAGAGAAATTATCAAATCCAAATTCTTACAAGTCTGACTAAATGATAAAATCAGCAAACTGAAGTAATGAAGCTCATATCATAAGATGATTATAGTAATACAGTCTGCAGAATAATTTGTGTAGATATTAACTCTTTGACAGTGTATGTATTTGTTCATTTGTAACTGGTAATATTCTAAGCACTTTCATTACTTTTCTGCATTTAATCTTCATCAACCCTGAGGTCAAACCTTTTCTTACCATCTATTTTTATGTGCAGTAAACAGAGGAATAGCAGGTAGAGGGGAAGCTGGGTCCACCCTGCAGTCCAGCCACGGTCCCTGGGCTCCTCACCCCATGCGACTCTGGTTTCTGAGGAGTCTGGTGTGTAGGAGGACCCTGGCTTGCTCATGGGGATGTGTGGGGTTTTGCTCCACGAAACCACAGAGCCTCACAGCATTGTCCAATACTGTGGGTAGAAGGGTGCAAATGTTTGGTATGGATTTTCCACAAGTGATATTTTAGTCATGTTCTAAATCATTCCTATATGGAATACACTTTTGGGAGTTTTTAAGATTCCAGATGGATCCTTAAACCAGAGAATGTAATTCACTTTAGACTTCTCTAAACAACTCTAAAAACAGGGGGACAAAATTCTCCTTTGTTTTCAATAATTCACTATTCATGTCTGCATAAGGCAGTGACACTGCCAGTTTCCAGGACTTGTTTATAACAGACACTCTCATCGGGAAATCTCATGACTCAGAACTGTGGCAACTTCACTACAAATCACCCTTTTGATCCACAGTTGTGAATTCTTAGTTCCTGGTAAATTTTTTGAATTGCAGATAATTTATAACACCCAAATCTACAGGCCCATGGGCCTTTCTTTGGTTAGAACACACACACACACACACAATTTGTTTCAGAGGCTCAAATTACTTTAACCCCAAGCTTTCCTTTGTGGCCTAGGTGAAACCTCATGGACAACATCACCTGGATGGCCAGCCACACTGGATGGTCGGATTTCATCCTGATGGGACTCTTCAGACAATCCAAACATCCAATGGCCAATATCACCTGGATGGCCAACCACACTGGATGGTCGGATTTCATCCTGTTGGGACTCTTCAGACAATCCAAACATCCAGCACTACTTTGTGTGGTCATTTTTGTGGTTTTCCTGATGGCGTTGTCTGGAAATGCTGTCCTGATCCTTCTGATACACTGTGACGCCCACCTCCACACCCCCATGTACTTTTTCATCAGTCAATTGTCTCTCATGGACATGGCGTACATTTCTGTCACTGTGCCCAAGATGCTCCTGGACCAGGTCATGGGTGTGAATAAGATCTCAGCCCCTGAGTGTGGGATGCAGATGTTCTTCTACGTGACACTAGCAGGTTCAGAATTTTTCCTTCTAGCCACCATGGCCTATGACCGCTACGTGGCCATCTGCCATCCTCTCCGTTACCCTGTCCTCATGAACCATAGGGTGTGTCTCTTCCTGTCATCAGGCTGCTGGTTCCTGGGCTCAGTGGATGGCTTCACATTCACTCCCATCACCATGACCTTCCCCTTCCGTGGATCCCGGGAGATTCATCATTTCTTCTGTGAAGTTCCTGCTGTATTGAATCTCTCCTGCTCAGACACCTCACTCTATGAGATTTTCATGTACTTGTGCTGTGTCCTCATGCTCCTCATCCCTGTGGTGATCATTTCAAGCTCCTATTTACTCATCCTCCTCACCATCCACGGGATGAACTCAGCAGAGGGCCGGAAAAAGGCCTTTGCCACCTGCTCCTCCCACCTGACTGTGGTCATCCTCTTCTATGGGGCTGCCATCTACACCTACATGCTCCCCAGCTCCTACCACACCCCTGAGAAGGACATGATGGTATCTGTCTTCTATACCATCCTCACTCCAGTGGTGAACCCTTTAATCTATAGTCTTAGGAATAAGGATGTCATGGGGGCTCTGAAGAAAATGTTAACAGTGGAACCTGCCTTTCAAAAAGCTATGGAGTAGACCATTTTGAGAGTAATTTACTTTTCCTTCTCTCTGCACTTCACATATGAGAATGTTATACCAGTGTTATTTCCCAGACTCCAAGACTGCCATGGTGTTTGATCTCATTTTCACACCTCTTTTAGAAATCGCTTTCCTGTACTAGAAACTTTTCAATTTACACTCCGTCTCACTTCAAAATGCATTATTCAGTCATATTATATTGATGTTACAGTTACTGAAGTTCATAACTACTTTCTAATTCTATAGGATATTTTCATATTCTGGGAATACATAATGATACTACTTAGAGGATAAAGGTTATAAGGCATAAAATTGAGAGAGAGGGAGAAATGAGGAAGAAAAAGGGTTCATATAGATGTTCTTTGTACTACTTTTATTTATGCTAATTTTCTGTAAAATTGAAATTAATTTTAAATAAATAATTAAAATATGTCCCCTCCCTCCCACCTTTTTTGAGCAGTACACATGATATAATATCTTAGAAAACTTGCTGATTGCAATGTAGTTATTCACTGCTGAGACAATCCAGCCATTTGTCCACCCTTATTGGAGGCTGTCTTGGCCCACATGGTTGGTTCCTGAAAGATTAAGGTCTGTTATTGAGGTTAACAGTCTTCATCAAGTGCTGGGTTTTGAATCCCGAATTCCGTTAAGAGACTGTGGAAAACATATTAGCCTGGGGTGAAAAGAAGCTTTAGAGAAGATTTCCAGCACAAAGTGACATCTGAGCTGAGTTTTGAAGTATGTAATTTATTAGACAAATAAGAAGAGGTAGAGTATCAAATATCCAATTGTTCATTTATCCAGTAAATATTTGTTATGCTATATTAAATCTAAAATATTCACTAAAGAAAATTCAAAGGTGAATACTACATACTGCTTTCCCCAAGAAATTTGAACTAGTAATTCTGTGTGCAAATAGGTGCTATAAAGTGTATGAAATGCTTTGATGCACATGTGGAAAGGGTATAGCTCATTCTGGCACCTCGCTTCTTCCTGTGCTGTGCACATTCAATCAAGCAGAAGATGCTGAGTGCAGCCCCAGGAGCTCAGTGTTAAAGGTGCCTAGCTGTTCCCCTCAGATAACTACACATGGCTGGGGAAGGGGGAGGGACTTTGTCAGGGATGTGATTATGCCTGGGAAAAGGCACAGCAAGAGCAAAGGTCAGACAATTGACCAAGCAGGAGTGGCAAATATTCTAATCGTGCCTTCTTTCCTGTTTTATTTTGTGGAATAATTCCTTGCTTTCTGTGACCCAGATGTTTACAAACAGTAGAAAATGATCAGTCTTGCATTTCAGAAATATTACTTTGGTGACAATAGATTGGAGAAGTGCAAACCTGGTGGCAGGCAGACCAGGTGAGTGAGGATGGTGAAATGCACGAACTCAGTGGAACGATGTGTACCTTACCACCAGGAGGGACTTAGGGAGAGGAAATGTTTGGGGTATGCAGGGATGTGAGACTTTGTCAAACCAATTGGATTATAATTACAGACCTAGTTGCAGGTGTATCATTTTCCAATTGCCTGTGTCCAACTTGTGAAAAATCAAGTGGCTTCAGATTTACAGATTCTGCTTTCCTCTTGACAATATGATCCTAAACATGTAAAACTTAAAATCTCCACAAAAGCTCTGTTAGAACAATTGAAAGCCTTCACATAAAGTTGCAGAAATCAAAATCAACATACATCAATAATTTTTCTATGCACTAACATCAAACTACCTGAAAAAGAAATTTAAAAACAATTTTATTTATAATAGTGTCAAATCAAACAAACAAAAACTTTGGGATAAATTTAACCAAAAGGGTTAAATATCTACACTGAAAAACATAAAACATTGATGTAGGAAATTAAAGAAGACACCAATAAATGAGAACTATCCCATATTCATGGATTGGAAGAATTAATATGTTAAATTTTTCATATTACCCAAAGGGGTCTATACATTTAATGACATTCTTGTCACATTTCAATGTCATTTTTCACAGAACTGGAGAAAAAAATGATTTATATGAACAGTAAGAACAAAAGGGGAGCATCACACTACTTTTTTTCTAAATATATTACAAAGCTATGACACTCAAAACAGCATGGTACACGCATTACAAAAGGCACATTGACCAGTGGAACAGGATTTAGAGCCGAGAAATAAACCCACACATTTATAGTCAATTGATTTTTGACAAATGTGCCAAAAACACACCTGAGGAAAGGACTGTTCCTTCAACAAATGATACTGGAAAAATTAGATATCCACATGCAAAAGAACAAAATTGAACCCTTTTCTCACACCATATACAAAAATCAATTCAAAATGAATTAAACTTGGATATAAGACCCGAAACTGTAAAGCTACTAGAAGAAAATATAGGGAAAAGCTCTGTGACATTGGTTTGGGCAATGTTTTTCTGGATATAAACTCAAACTCCCATGGAACAAAAGCACAAATAAACAAATCAGATTATGCAAAACTAAAAAGGTTCTGCACAGTAAAGGAAACAATCAATAGAGTGAAGGGACAACCCACAGAATTAGATAAAGTATTTGTAAACTATATTATCTGATAAGGGATTAATAGAAAAAATATATCAGGAACTCAGAAACCTCAATAGTAAGAAAATAAATAACACAATTTAAAAATGGGCATAAGACCTGAATAGACATTTCTGGAAAGAAGACAGACAGATGGCCAACAGGTATATGAAAAATAATGCTTATTATCACTAGTCATCAGGGAAACACAAAACAAAACCACAATGAGATATCACTTCACTCTTGTTAGAATGGCTATTATCAAAAAGACAAAAGATAACAAGTGTTGGTGAGGACATGGAGACAACTTCCCTCCCTCCCACCTCCAACTTTGAGGGTACAGTGGGCTAAACTGAAGAATGCATGAGCTGGGGGAGGCAGAGGATGCTGGGTCCTGTCTCCCCACTCTCGGGGCCGACTCCTTGACCTGATACAGGCAGAACAGGTGAGGCCCCGAGGCTTTACCTTGACTGAGAGCTCTAGCTGTGAGTAGGATCTAGGCATGTTAGTAACGACTGATTCTGGACTGAATGTGCTGGGAGGTCATTTGAAAGTCTAGGAAGGTTGAAAAAACCTCATAGCTTGAACAGGCATTTGAATGAAACCTCAAAGTTCTTTTGTGCTTGTAACTTGAAGACATTTGCTCTTTGGAAATAGCATACACATATACAGACCATCTATATGGTATACACAGATGACAAAGGTTTGTGCTCTCCATAGTTTCTTTTCTTCTTTATTTGATGGATTTATTCTTTCTTGCACACCTGTAATTATATTTCTCTTGACACCTTGCTGTATATCAACTTCTTGAGTTACACTCCTTGTCAATAGTTGAAAAGTTTCTGTCTTTCAGCTTCCAACAAATTTGCTGACGAGTCAGTTGCTGCTCAGATTTTTTAAAAATCAATTTTATATAAGTAGTTCTTTCTATCTGGTGACTGCAAAATGTTAACTTGCATTTACTCTGAAAATAATTCATGTACATATTTTAACTTACTGTTACAATTGCTAACTGTTGTTAATGTATAATTTCTATAAATGTATATCTATTGCGTTGAATATCAGAGTATTAATTTAAAAGTGGTACTTTTTACATATATAACTAGGAGTGGAATAGCAGGGTAATATAATAATTCTATACTTTGTGTTTTGAAAAGCTGTCAAACTGTTTTCAACTATGGCTGAAACATTTTGCATTTCCACCAGCAATGCATGAGTCTTAATTTCTCCATATTCTCACCAACACTTATTACTGCTTAATGAGTAAGGGGTTTTACAGCTTGGGATCGTGGAAATGTTTTGGAACTAGAGGTTGTTGTTGCCCAATATTGTGAATGTATAAGATACCACTGAATTGTTCACTTTAAAATGGTTAATTACATTGCATGAAGTTCACTTGAATAAATTATTTTTAAGTGGCGCTGTTTGTTTGGAAGACTATGAGAGAAATTTATTTTCACATAGGGTTATCCCATGGAACTAGGCAAAATCTTGAGAAATAGTATTTCCAAATAATTCACAATAATTTTTCAACTTATTCCAAGAAGACAACTTCTCTAAAAACATGTAACATAATGGGCCTGGTCAGTTCTTGGTTGATGCTTTGACTCTTTCAGTGTTTCTTATTTTAAAACATGATTTTAAGTTTCAGTTTTGGCTGGGAGAAAATACCCTGTCTAAAGCTGTATTTCAGCCTCTTGCTTTCAGATTTACCAAATTGTCTTTGTTTGACTTAAAAAAAATTTTTAGTTGTCTGTTTCCAACATATTTGCATTGTTGATTTAAAAAAACTTTGAAAAGCATGTGTGTTCATTTGAGAATAATTTTAGCTCATTTTTGATAGGGGAAGTGTATAATTTATTTTATTAGTTCTAAGTCCTCCTTATTTCTAAATTTTATTTTTATGAAATAACATTTTAAATGTGCTTCAAAATATTTCCACAGGGCAGTGTGTGTGTGTGTGTGTGTGTGTGTGTGTGTGTGTGTGTGTGAAAAATAATCATACATTTTATTTAGAGTCGGTTTCCTTTCACAGAAAATTTTCATTAGCTCTTATGCATGAAAATAAATAGTCAAATGATTTACAGTTTTAAAATGTGACCTGTAAATTCAAAAATGTTTAAAAATCATTCAGAGTTCCTATTATAATAGATTTGTATGATAATTTTAAAAAAAATTTTTTTTTGAGAGTTTCACTCTTGTTGCCCAGGCTGGAATGCAATGGTACAATCTCGGCTCACTGCAACCTCCACCTCCCGGGTTCAAGCGATTCTCCTGCCTCACCCCCTCACTAGCTGGGATTACAGGTGCCTGCCACAATGCCTGGCTAATTTTTTGTATTTTTAGTAGAGATTGGGTTTCACCATTTTGGCCAGGCTGGTCTCAAACTCCTGACCTCAGGTGATCCGCCCACTTTGGCCTTCCAAAGTGTTGGGATGACAGGCATGAGCCACCATGCCTGGCCTGTTTGATAATTTTAAAAAATGTTGTTACCATCCACATTTTACTCAATTTTTATAAAACTTATCTTTTATTTTGTTTTTCAGAATAATTTGTTCAATTTAGGCTTGTTTCAAAACATATTTATTTAATTTTGCAATTATATTTCGGTAAAGGAAGGAAAAAGAACAATGAGCATTCCAGTGTGACAGGAGACATGTAACTGCAGTAAACAAACAGCTCCATGATGGTGACAGAGCTACCGGGTGTAGAAGGTACACATTCTAATAGCTATGGTTATTCCCATTCCACAGATACTGATTAACGAGTTTCACAAAAGATATGTTGAGAATGAATTACTTCAGTGGTAGAGTAAGCAGAGATGAATTACAAAAGCTTTTAGTAAATACAGTCAGCCCTCTTTATCCGAGTTCTGCATGTGTGGATTCAATCAACTGCAGATAAAAAATATTCAGAAAAAAATGTTCTGAAGTTCCAAAAAGCAAAACTTGCCATGTTCTGAGCACTATGTTGAATCAATTCCAATGAAGTGATATATAGACCTTGCATGAGGTATAATAAGTAATCTAAAGATGATTTAAAGTATGTGAGAGGATGTGCATAGCTTACATGCACATACCGCAGCATTTTATATAAGGCACTTAAGCATCCTCAGGTTTTGGTACCTACAAGGTGTCCTGGAACCAAACCCCACAATGAATACCAAGAGACAAATGTGTTTTTAAAACAAATGAGAATTGGTCTTGCAGGGTCCTCACCAAGTGAAAGATCACTCCCTGCCTTATGGAGGTGGGAGGGAAATAGGAAAAATTGTATTAAGTAAATGTCTACCATGAAGTCATAAATACGATTTGTTCAAAATACTTAACAGTGAAATTTATATTTTGAAAACATCATTTAATATTGAAAAGAAAAATTTAGGGAACGGCTAGTGGAATAAAAATTACATAGAAGAATCAGGACAATGAAGTAAACTTACATAGGGGAAAAGGGAAATCAAAATCATTTGGGGCCAGGCATGGTGGATCACACCTGTAATCCCAACACTCTGGGAGGCGGAGGTGGAAGTATTGCTTAAGTCCAGGAGTTCAAGACTAGCCTGGGCAACATACTGAGACCCCATCTCTACAAAAAATAAAACAATTATCCTGGCATGGTAGCAGGTATCTATAGTCCAAGCTACTTGTGAGGCTGATATGGGAGGATCAGTTGAGCCCAGAAGGTTGAGGGTGTAGTGAGCCATGAATCATACCACCACATTTCAGCCTGGGCAACAGAGTGAGACTCTGTCTCAAAATAAAAATAAAAAAAATCATTTGTAAAACATAAGTGAAATGAATTTAAATACAAGTTTCAAATCAGTATACATGAACGCTAATACAATTTTCTTGAACTAGAGAGACTGTACAAGGAAACTGTGCATCTGGACATTGCTGTAATTTTTTTTTAACAGGGTCTTGCTCTGTCCCCTAGGCTGGAGACAACCTCCACATCCTGGCTTCAAGGGATTCTCATCCATCAGTTTTCAGACTAGCTGGGATTACAGGCGTGGGCCACCACACCCAGCTAATTTCTTGTATTTTTAGTAGAGATGGAGTTTTCCTATGTTGGCCAGGCTTGTCTTGAACTCCAGGTCTGAAGTGATCCACCCATCTCGGCCTCCCAAAGTGTTAGGATTACAGGCATGAGCCACGGCATCTGGCCTATTGCTGTAATTATTGATCATAACTGTGGTCATTAATGCATATATTTTTGTTAAGTTGTTTTCTTGGTTTAATTCAATATGGCTTAGGGATATGGACTGCATATTTCAAACTTTGTAGAATTCTCTTGAGTTTTGTTATGTGGCTGAGAACATTTTATATTGTACAGGAAATTCATAACTTTTGGGCAATGATTTTATCATTCCTTGAAGACTTCTGCCCTGCTCCTCTTAAAGGGCACATTGCCTGCTCCATCCACTCCTGAGTGTTCTTTTCACCTGGAGTGACCTGATCTGCCTGCTCTAGGCTTTAGAAGGGCAGAGGTAATGTGGGTCATTTCTCCACTTCTACCCCAGGCTCTTGAGTGCATCTCAATGTCAAGGTTTATTAAACAGAACAAGAAACCGTTCTTCCTTTCCCGAAATAAATTAATTCTCCTTTTAGATCTCACAAATAAGTGAGAACATGCAATGTGTGTCTTTCTGTGCCTGGCTTACTTCACTTAACATAGTGACCTCCAGTTCCATCCATGTTGTTGCAAATTAAAAGATCTCATTATTTTTTATAGCTGAATAGTACTCCATTGTGTATAAGTACCACATTTTCTTTATCCATTTATCTGTTGATGGATACTTAGGTTGCTTCAAAATCTCGACTATTGTGAAAAGTGCCACAACAAACATACGAGTGCAGATATCTCTTTGATCTCTTTTCCTTTATTTTGGGTATATCCCCGGGGGATCGATGGATCATATGATGGCTCTGTTTTTAGTTTCTTGAGGAACCTCCAAACCATTCTTCATAGTGGTTATACTAATTTACATTCTCACCAAGAGTGTACAATGGTTTTCTTTTCTCCACATCCTTGCCAGCATTTGTTGTTGCCTTTTGGATGTAAGCCATTTTAACTGGGGTGAGATTATATCTCATTATAGTTTTGATTTGCATTTCTTTTATAATCAATGATGTTGAGCACCCTTTTCTATGCGTGTTTGCAATTCGTATGTCTTCTTTGGAGAAATGTGCATTCAGATCTTTTGCCCATTTTATAATTACATTACTAGATTTCTAGACAGTTGTTTGAGCTCCTTATATACTCTGGTTATTAATCCCTTGTCAGATGGGTAGTTTGCAAATATTTTCTCCCATTCTGTGGATTGTCTATTCATTTCATTGATTGATAAGTTTCCTTTGCTGTGCAGAAGCTTTTTAACTTGATGGGATCCCATTTGTCCATTTTTGCTCTGTTGTCTGTGCTTGTAGGGTATTACTTAAGAAATCTTTGCCCAGACCAATGTCCTGGAGACTTTTCCCAATGTTTTCTTGTAGTACTTTCATAATTTGAGGTATTAGATTTAACTCTTTAATCCATTTTGATTTGATTTTTGTATATGGCAAGAGATAGGGGTGTAGTTTCATTCTTCTGCATGTGAATATCCAGTTTTCCCAGCACATTTATAGAAGAGACTGTCTTTTCCCCAATGTATGTACTTGGCATCTTTGATTGCAAATGAGTTAACTGTAGGTGTGTGGATTTCCTTTTTGGGTCTTTATGCTGTTCCATTGGTCTGTGTGTCTGTTTTTGTGCCAGTATCCTGCTATTTTGTTTATATAGCTCTGTAGTATAATTTGAAGTCAATTAATGTGATTCCTCTAGTTGTGGTTTTTGCTAAAGATAGTTTTGTCTATTCAGGGTCTTTTATGGGTTGCTATAAATTTTAGGATTGTTTTTTCCATTTCTGTAAAAAATGTCATTGGTATATTGATAGGGACTGCATTGAATCTGTATACTGCTTTAGATAGTATGGACATTTTAAGAATATTTATTTTTCCCATTCATGAACATGGAATATCTTTCCATTTTTTTGTTTCCTCTTCAATTTGTTTGATCAGTGTTTTATAGTTTTTATTGTAGAGATCTTTCACTTCTGAGGTTAAGTTAATACCTGGGTATTTAATGTTATTCATGGCTATGATAAATGAGATTACATTTTTTCATATTGTTCACTGTTGGCAGATAGAAATGCTTCTGACTTTTAAATGTTAATTTTGTATCCTGCAACTTTACTGAATTTGTTCATCAGTTCCAAGAGGTTTTGGTAACGTCTTTAGGTTTTTCCAAATATAAGGTGATATCATCCACAAACAAGAATAATTTTACTTTTTCCATTCCAATTTGGATGCCCTTTATTTCATTCTCTTGTCTAATTGCTCCAGCTAAGACTTCCAGTGCTATATTGAATAATAGTAGAGAAAGTGGACATCTTTGTCATAATCTAGACCTTAGAGGAAAGGGTTTTAGTTTTTCCCTATTCAGTATACTAGCTGTGTGTCTGTCATATATAGCTTTTATTATGTTGAGTTATGCTCCTTCTATCTTCAGTTTTTTAATGGTTTTTATCATGAAGGGATGTTGCATTTTATCAAGTGCTTTTTTTTAACATCAATTTAAATGATCATATGGCTTTTATCCTTCATCTGTTAATATGATTCATCACATTGATAAATTTGCCTATGTTGAACCATCCTTGCATCTCAGGGATAAATCCCACTTGGTCATGATGAGTGATCTTTCTAGTGTATTGCATGCCAATTGTATTCTCCAGCTCTAGAATTTCTGCTTGATTCTTTTTAATGTTTTCAATCTCTTTGTTAAATTTATCTGATAGACTTCTGAATGCCCTCTCTGTGTTAGCTTGGATTTCCCTGAGTTTCCTCAAAACAGCTACTTTGAATTCC
Organism: Homo sapiens; assembly: GCF_000001405.40. Classification (NCBI taxonomy): domain Eukaryota; kingdom Metazoa; phylum Chordata; class Mammalia; order Primates; family Hominidae; genus Homo; species Homo sapiens. The sequence goes on from NW_025791755.1 coordinate 20,043, forward strand.
CTGTCTGAAAGGTCACATATCTCTGTTTCTCCAGGATTGTTCCCTGTTGGCTATTTAGTTTATTTGGTAAGGTCATGTTTTTTTGAATGGTGTTGATGATAGTAGATGTTTAGTGTCTGGGCATTGAAGAGTTACGTATTTATTGTAGTCTTCACTATCTGGGCTTTTTGTACACATCCTACTTGGGAAGGCATTCAAGATATTCAAAAGTACATGTGTGTTGTGATCTAAGCTGTGTCTACCTTAGGGGGCACACTAAGCCCAGTAATTCTGTAGTTCTTGAGACTCATTGAGGTACCGCCTTGATATTCTTGAACAAGATCTGGATGAATTCTACAGATTACCAGACAAAGATTCTTGTTCTCTTCCCTTACTTTCTCCCAAACAAATGAAATCTTTGTCTGTGTTCTGAGCCACTTGGAGATAAGAGTGGAGTTATACAAGCACCACCGTGGCAACCACCACTAAAAGTGCCCTGGTTCAGGCCTGCAGCTAGCACAACACTGAATCTCAGCCACGGCCTGCTGTAACCACTTCCTGACTACCACTCATGTTTGCTCAGGGCACTGCAGCTCTAAAATCAGCAGGTGACAAAGCCAGCCAGGCCTGTATCTTTCTCTTCGGGGTATCAAGGTCCCGTAGGCCCCAGGAAGGTCCAGAGGTGACATCTGGGAGCCAGGGACAAAAGTAAAAAACCTTAGAAATCTACCCGATATTCTGTTGTATTGCAGCTGAGCTGGCACTCAAACCACAAGATACTGTCTTTCCCACTCTCCCCTTCCCTTTCAAAAGCAGAGGAGCCTCACCCTATGGCCACGGCCAGCACATGCCCATGGGAAGTGTTGCCAGTCTACTGCTGATGTTCCCTCAAGGCCCAAGCGCTCTTCAGTCAGCTTGTGGGGAAGGCTCCTTGGCTTGGGACTCATCCTTCAGGACAGTGGGCTCCCCTCTGGCCCAGGGAAGGACCAGAAATGCTGCCCAAGAGCCAAGTCCGAGAATTGAGGAAACCAAGAGCCCACTTGGTGCTCTACCCTCCTAAGGCCTTGCTAATACCTAAAGTCCAAGACGAAGTCCCGTTTACTCTTTCCTCCACTTTTTTTTTTTAAAGCAGAAGGAGTTTCACCCCATAGCCACCACATGTGGGAATGTGCTGAGTCTCATCTGTGAGCCAGTAATCTCAGAGGCTCACCTAAGGTCCTCAACGTGGTACCTGGGTATCACTGCTGGTTATTCAGGGCTCAAGGGCCCTTCAGTTAGCAGGTGATGAATGCTTCCAGGATTGGGTTCTTCCCTTCATAATAACAGGTTCCCTTTTGGCCCAAGGAGTGTCTAGAAATGTCCACAATCTGGGGCCTGGAGCTAGGGGGTGGAGCAATGATTAGATCAATGATGAAATTCTCAAAGCTTTGGCACAGTGGTACTGATTAGTTGTAGCGATTTCTGATGACTCTGATTGGTGCCCTCTCCTGCTGTGGCTGAGCTGATTCCAAGATGCAAGAAAAAGTCCTCACTCTTTCTTATCTTCTCAAGTGGAGGGAAGGGGTTTTTTAGGAGCCACAAACTGTGCAGCCTGGGGCTAGGGGAGGGGTTCCAGCACCCCCTTACTTGCTCTGGCTGGTGTCTCAGTAGGTTGTGTCCCCCCATAGTCCACAGGCTCTGGGCCAGGTCAGCACTTGGACTCATTTAGGAGTTGTGGTCATTGTGGCCTGGTTTCTTTTTCTCATGTTTCTTTTAAGGCCCCAGAGCACTTTAGTCCATGGTGGAAAGGCTTGCAGGAACTCAAGTTCAGACGGCTGGGATTGGTAATTGCCCTCGGGCTAGTCTAAATGCTCCCTCCATGGATGGGCATCAGCTGAGTTTGGTCCAGCTTTGTTTTCTGCTCCAGCAGAGCAGCGCTGAGTTCAATGACTCACGATTGCTGTGCTCTCCCTCTCCCCAGAGCACAGAATTGCTCTCTGCACCATGCTGATGCTGCTGGGGAATGAGGCAAGGGTGCATTTGCAATTCACAATTGTTTTTCTATCTCTTCAGTGCTTCTTTCAGCAATATAAAGTTAAGGCCAGGTACAGTGAGTGCTCACCTGATTTTTGTTTGTATAAAGGTGCTTTTTGTGTGTAGGCAGTTATTAAATTGGTGTCCTTGCAGTGGGAACAATTGGGGGAGCCTTCTATTCTGCCGTCTTGTTCCTCCTCCTTCCAAATTTTGATTCCTTTAAAATAACATAACTGAGCTTATTATGCCTGTCATGATTCTCTTTTGTACATATAAAGTGTTTCCAGTTATGGCTACCTAATATTGTCATTGTCTATGTTTGCATTTTTTACTTTACAACTCATATCCTCTCTTTCTCTATATACACACACACATAAATATATATTTATGTACATATAAATATTTGTTACATTTATATATATGTGTGTATGTGCTAAAACTAAGATGTAGGCATTTTCACATGAGTAGTATCCCTTAAAAAAAACTAATAGAAGTTGCCATGTATATGAATAAGGAAATCTGAGGTGGATGGTGGAAGGCGCAGAGAGAGGCAATCTGAAATGGAAAAGAGTCAAGAATCCATTAAACCTTTAAGTCACATTGTTTCCTTTTCTTGGAACTAACATTGACACAAACTATTTTACATGCTGTTTCGTTTTCTTTAGGTTTTACGATTAAACACATTTAAAGCCCAGTTGATATCTCTACAGTTAAAAATTGAATGTGTATGTTATGATGTGTCACAAGATAAGTAGCAAAATATAACTAACAAAACTTAGCAGGCAAAAAAATAGAATGTTGGAAAACAGCACATATGCACGTGTTAATTTCATCTTTTAAACCAGGCATAGATTTATCATTTAAAGTTGATACATCGGTAATACAATATAATTTACATTCATATATATTACTATGAGAAGACTAAACAAAAATGATTCATAACCGTACACCTTATGCATCAAGAGAATGCAACCAGGCCGGTCACAGTGGCTCACGCCTATAATGCCAGCAGTTTCGGGGGCCGAGGCAGGCAGGTCGCCTGAGCTCAGGAGAATGAGAGCCACCCATCGAGTATAAAGTGATTTTCATCAACTTCATCTCTTATCATGTGTTCAAAAGGGTTTTGTAGCAATAGTTTCCATAAGTTGGATTTTTACACTAACCTGTTCATCAAGAGCCTGCCTGATATATTTTCTTAAAAGATTGTTTGGTACCTTTACTGAATTGGCAATTAAAAGTTTTTCTTAGTGACATTTAGTAAATGAGTGATGTTTATTGGGAAGCTGCTTAATGCAAGAGAAAAATGAAAAGATTAGATCATGACTATTGTTAAAGTGAGAAATTAAATGACCACATAAAAAACTTCTCTTCTCTTCCTTGGGTATTTTTCCAATATTACTCATTTGCCCTCTAGGGAAACAAACAACAGAGTTTTGTGATGAAACATGCATTAAACAGCTGTTCTCAAGCTGTTAATTAAAAACAAAACAAACAAACAAACTGCAGAGGAGGCAGCCCAGGCATTTGTTGTGGAACACATTCTCTGCTTGCCACTTACATGTTTTGAGTACAGTTTTCAGTACCCATCAGAACCAGTTTAGTTGATATTCCTTCTGGATTATTAGAAGGAGTTTTCTCCATGAGAAATCTCAGGATGTTTATGATGTCACATACTAGATTACTTAAACTCTTCCCTCTTTGGTTCCTGGAGCTGTGTGCACAGTGCTGAAGTATGACATCCATGCCTTCAGTTAAGTGGTCATCTTCAAATACCTCTAACTGGCACTCTCTTTTTTTTTTTGAAGCTTTTGCCTTTTAACCTGGATCTCCTCTCATCTTTTCAAGGAAAGATACTAATATGAAGACAGAAAAAAAGAAGATCAAGAAGGTTCCCTTTTATCTCTTGTTTCTAAGGTCTCACCTCTTGTGAAGTTGTTTGTAAACAATTTTGTCTTTACCTAATATTCCTCTCTCTGGATATATTATACCTGTAAGTGATCCACTATCATCAACTTATATCTCCATACTCACAGTAAGAAAGCCATTTGGCTCTCTTAGATAATGTGTGTGAGTAGGAGAAAAACAAATAGGGAAGTTCACTCATTTAAGATAATTCAGATATTTTGTGCATGTTCAGTTCCCACAAATGTGATATCTTCTAAGTTACAGGGAATTAGGTAAGATGATCAAAATAATTAAATCGAATGGGATTGGAAGGTAGGAATTTTGGTGGAGGTATGAGTAATTGGCATGTTTACTTTAAGAAGATTTGATTGAAGGAAATGAATTAAGCATAATCCAGGAGTACAGAGGTAAATACTTTTAACTGAACTAACAAAGGAAAGACTAGACAAAAACTTAGTTGTCAAAACTAAAAACATAGGTTACTGTTGAACTGTTCCTGAATACTGTCAAACTCTTCATTTAGCACACTTAAAAATACATTTTTCAGGGAAAAGTGGAACTTTTACAATTAAATGGAGTCACCAGTTGGGCATCAATAACCATGGAAACACTTGAGGAAGGCTGTACATTTTCTGTTGTTTCATCTATAAAATACCCACTCATGTATGTATTTAATTTTTTTAATTTTTAAATTTTTTTCAACTTTTATTTTAGATTCAGGTGGTACATGTGCAGGTTTGTTAGCTGGTAATATTTTGTGACGGTGAGGTTTGGGGTGTAAATGATCCCATCATACAGGCACCTAGCATATACCCAATAGTTAGTTTTTGATCCTTGCCCCTCTATCTTCCTTCTAGCAGTCTCTATTTTCTGTTGTTGCCATCTTTATGTCTATGAGTATATAAATGTTGAGCTCTTATTCATAAGTGCCACTCACTTATTTAAAACAAACATCACTTTCTTGAAAAAATGTTTAAAAATGGTCAACTACCCTGATAGCATTTTGATAGATTCAGTCACTCTTTTGTGAACTTATTTTATTGATTGCTTTTTGTGACCCATTTTGGACACACTAAGAGACAGTATCTGAAAGACAGGAACATTCTTGCTATCGTGTGATGGTTGGTTGGTCAGATGTTGTCAGTCTGGCTATGTTGAAAGCACGGGCATAACACTTCCTGTGAGGTTAGAAGGGACCAAGTGGCCTACATATTCCTATTGCCTTCTGGACTGCGTCATTAGCTTGCTTTCTTTTCCAAAGATCAGTTTTATTTGCATTTAAGTGGTCTTCAAAGTTAGCCACTTGTCACAATGCAATATCATAGAAGATATCAAAGCAAATCTTCTGTCATTTGTGCTCTCAAATTATTAGTATGAGTTTGAAATGGGAAAAGATAAAGTGTTCTAGGAGTAATCAATTGATGTATAGACCACCTAATACATACAAGGCTGTGCTAATGGCTGTTGATATAAGGACTATTTAGAGGATGACTCTACCCTCAAAGAGCTCATATTATATTTGAGGAGGCAGAAGCATGCAGCAAATAAAAACAACAAAGAGAGTTGTAGAAACAAGTTGAAGAGGTGTCATGAGGGCAAGGGCAGCATGGGGCTCGCCCCTGTCAGAGCGCGTCACAGAAAGACTCAAGATGTCTTCATTAAACTCTGGTAACCATCCGAGTGTGGTCCATCTTATTTGGAAAGGCATGAAATACAAAGTTCATAGTATGTGATGAGTAAAATAAATAATCAGATTCACGGATGCTCTGGTAAAGTGTATTCCTGATTCTTCAATCTCCATTCAGTTCAGCAAAATCTCCTGATTGCTCTACCTTGAGCTTCATTTCTGCCTTTGGGCGCATTTTTTTCCTATCCCAACCCAAAACTTTCCAGGCTGACTACACGTGATTATAATTTATCTATGCACATATATGTTTGTAAACAGGCAGTGCTATGTTTCCTACTTAAAAATATATTATGTATATCTTTACATGAAAAGACAACTAAGCTACACCATTATCAATGAGTATAATGTAAATTGAGCAATGTTTGATTTAGTCAACCCATTAATGTTGATCATTAAGATTGTTTCTAGTTTATTTTCACAATCAATGGCAATAATTTATTTAATGTCTTCATATATTATTCCCACTTCATACTATTTATTTCCTCAGAATAAACTGATGAAAATGGCTAAAAGATGGATTTTTTAAGTTTGCTAAATGCCAGACGCTTACAGAAAAAAATGGTTTCAATTTGTACTTACACTAGCAGTGTGTGATGTTCCCCGCTTCTTCACAATAAAAATCCTAATTTATTGTCATTACTTTAGCATTTTTTCAGAATACAAACAACATACCTTTTCATTAAAGAGACTCAAACATCATAAAAAAGTTTTCATAAAGAAATGTATTTATTTCTTGTACTTAAGTTTTTGAGCCACTTGATCTGGAGTGTGCGTTTTAAAGTCTTACTCTTTACCTCTAAGTTGCAATTTTGTTTTCTTCATATATATAAACTCTACCTTTCCCAGTTATCCGAATTCTCATCTTACTTGTGTGAAACATTTGCGCATATGTGGGTTTTTTTGTATTTTGGCGGGAGACAGCAGTGTTTATTTCCAGATACTCTTCCGTTTAGTTGTTGAGCCTTGTTTTTTCTATTCAGTTACTCATCCTTTACATTTCACACTGGTCCTACAGAGGTCAAAGTCAATTTTTAGCATTGTTTTTCCCCAGACAATTCATATGTGTTTGTCCTTTCAGATCAAATTTATAATCATTTTGACAAATTCCTCTAGAATAATTTTCTATTGCTTTTTAAATTAATACTGAATTATTTAGTTTTATAAATGTTCTCCAAAAGTTTAGCATATTACCAGTTATTTTACCATTTTTATTGTTATTATATAGAAATTTTTTTTGTGTCTGGGTGCGGTAGCTCATGTCTGTAATCCCAATACTTTGGGAGACCAAGACAGGAAGATTTCTTCAGGCCAGAAGTTCAAGACCAGCCTGGACAACATGGCAAGACCCTGTTTCTACAAAAAATACAAAAACATAAGCTGGATATGGTGGTCTGTGCCTATAGTCCCAGCTACGCAGGAGGCTGAGGTAGGACAATTGCTTGAGCCCAAAAGGTTGAGGCTACAATGAGCAGTGATCGTGCCACTGTGCTCCAGCCCGAGGAACAGAGCAAGTTCCTGTCTCAAAAAGGAAAAGAAAAAGAAAAAGAAATATTTTTGTTGATATGTTGTTGATATTATGAGTAACTACTTGTTCATATATGCTGGGGCATTTGACATTGTTATTAAAACCATAGGGGATTCCTGCAAGAAGTATAAGTGACCTGAGACCTGGGTCTACAGTAACCAGATGAAGAGAGAATTGTGCTCCAGGCAGAGAGAGCTCCTGAGTCAGGCTATTTTCTGGGAGAGAGGTGCCAGGAATTGACAGAGTGCTGCAGAGTAGAGAGCTGAGTATCCAGGTCACTTAGGGACATACAAACCACAATCAAAACTTGATCTTTAGCTCACAAACAACCAAGAATCTTTGAAGGGGGATAGAATGGGAAAAGAGGGAGTTTATATGAACAGGTTTGAAGATGTGTTGTTATTAATATACTTCTGAGTTCAATAATTAATATTCATTTGGGAAATATTTATATATGTGAACTTGGTTTATAATTATGAGAGTTTTCTGTCTTTTGAAGGCTATATATATTTATAAAATAAATGATTAATTAATTCCATTTTTTTGTGTACAAAGATTTTTAAATTTTCTGTCCTTAGAAGATTTTTATGGGATGTTTTCTGAACTAGGAATTTTGGGAAAGCAGAATTCCATTAAAACTTTTAAATTGTTCCAAATTTAGAGATCTTCTTTGGTATTTTCTTTTTTTTGATTTATTTTTATCATACTTTAAGTTCTAGGGTACATGTGCACAACGTGCAGGTTTATTACATATTTATACATGTGCCATGTTGGTGTGCTGCACCCGTTAACTCGTCATTTACATTGGGTATATCTCCTAATGCTGTCCCTCCCCCCACCTATATGTGTGTGTATGCATTATATCTACTTATAATTATATATGAATATTAAGAATTTTAACTGTATGTGTGTATGTATTATATCTACTTATAATTATATATGCATATTAAGAATTTTGACTATATTTGTGTGTATGCATTATATCTACTTATAACTATATATGCATATTATGTGTATGCATGCACTCATACAAAACTATACTTTAAAATCGTCTTCTTCATTAAAATTTCAAACTATATTAATATAATGTTAAAATAACTTCTCATACTATAAATATTTTATCACTCTTCTCATATCTGTAGTTGGATCATTTTTCTTACTTTTAATGATGTTTTGTGTCATCCTTTCTGCCCTCAAATATCATTAGCATGGCCAGAAATAGGTCTATTTTGTTTCAGTTTTAAAGAATCAACTTTAAATATTCAGTCTGCTTATTTTAAAATCCATTAATATCTATTTAAGTCTTTTATATGGTCTTTCTCTTATTTAAATGTATTTTGCAGATATTTTTCTAATGTATTGGGTTGAATCTTTATTAACATCACATATTTTTTCTATAAGAATTACATTATTAGAGGTTATAAAATTTTGTCTGGATACATCTTTAGCTATATCCTATAGGCTTCCATACATAATATATTTAATTTAATGAAAGTTTGAACTTCCTTTGGTCTAAGTAGTGTTTTAGGCATACGTTAAAGTATTTCAAATTCTCTGATTTAGATGTGAACCTATTATTATGATTTTAGAATTCTAATATATTTTAGTAAAAAAAAAAAAAGAGATTGTCCTATGGAAGCTAACTGAATATATTAAGCACATAATGCATTTCCATTTAAAATCCAAATTACAGAATTGTTCTCTTTGTTCCATTTATAATATCACCTCATATTGTAGTTTATATATACTATGTCATTCCTTTTTGCATTTTTTTAGTTTTCTTTTCCATTTTGTACATTTTGTTTTGTTTTCTTTGAAGAGTAAATCTACACTTTGAAAGCGGATGTTTACTCTGAATGATGTTGTAGCCATGATTAACCTAGTTGTTTCTATCTCATTTCATCATATGCTTCGCGTTAATTTCCTGTGCTGTTATGCCTTTTTTTCTTTCATTATTTTAAACCATTTTAATAGACACCCAAACACACATGTACACACATACAAACATTCTTTTAACTCATTTTAATACCAGTAACTGATTTGGTTAATCTTTTTCAAAATTGTTCTTATTCTTATAGTTGCCTCTGTGTTGGAGTCATAGGCTCCAGAAAAAAAAAATGTATTTTTTTTTCTGGCTCATTTACTTAGAAAAAATGTTAGATTCTTCATAATTGTATATGTTTTTATTTATAATCAGCCCTTTGCCCTGTATGTTCCAAGAAAGAGGGAATATTGTTAATGGTATCTTCTGCTCCTAGAAAAATGTCTAGTGAATACTGGATCACAATAAATACTTGAATGTATAAATACATAAATGAATGAAAGCTGCTTTCTGGTACTTCTTAATTTTACATTCTATTTAAATAGAATTTGTTTTGCATGTATAGTATTAGCATTCCATTTTCAGACCCTGTTTTCTGTATAGACAGAGATAGGTATGTCTGTGTCTACAGATTAGATGTCATAGATATATATGTATCTATCTATTTCTACATATATATGTCTTTGTTGATAAGAATCTTTTGAGTTCTATGCAATAAGGCAATCATATTTACATTATTTTTAAATATATATATATTTAACCTGAATTCAACGTTTACTGTTAGTAATATTACAGTTTCTTCCCTTTTCTTAATTTTGTTTCATCTACAAAAATATTCAGCTGTATCTTACTGTTTATCCCCCCTAATTTATCTCAGAATGTCTTCCTGTTTGAGCCACACATTACTCTCAACTAAAATGTATCTAATGATATCGATAATAAGTTTTACTGAACAGATAGCACATTCTAGATACTAGTCTAAGAAACTGATGTGTGTGAATGATGTAAACTTTGAAACTTGGGCCCTTTCTATTATTACAGAGCAAATGGGGGAAATGGATACAAAAGTAATTTCAGTATCCGTGGCCACACAATTTGGTGGTGGAGAAAGGGTCAAACCCAAGGAAATTCTGGCTCCAGAGCTCTCTCTTTTTACTGCAACATTGTATATCTTCAGTTTAGACATTTTTTCACTTTTATTTGGAATTTATCAGGAAGACACCTGTGGTCAGTGTGAATTTTAGCCTGTGTAGGTGACTGTGTTTTCCTTTTCTTGTGTTTTGTTTGCATGCAACTATGTTTTTATTAGATGCTGCCAGATGCTTTTACTTCAAATAACTTTCCCAGACACACACAGTGTATTTATTAATGAAATGAAACATCCATATACAGAGTCTTTTTGTTCCTTTCCCAAGTTTTCCTTTTCAATTTTTATTAATAATTCTCTCCTATTTGTGAAATCACTCTTTTTAAAACACTGATTATTTATATTTTGCTTTTGTAATTCCAATACTCCATGTCTACCTTTCTTTCTTTCTTTTTTTTTTTTTTTAGATGGAGACTTGCTTTGTTGCCCAGGCTGGAGTTCAATGGTGCAATCTCAGCTCACTGCAACCCCTGCCTCCCTGGTTCAAGCGATCCTCCCACCTCAGCCTCCAGAGTAGCTGGGACTACAGGCACCCGCCATCATGCCTGGCTAACTTTTGTAGAGACAGGGTTTCACCATGTTGGCCAGGCTGGTCTTGAACTCCTGACCTCAGGTGATCCACCCACTTTGGCCTCCCAAAATGCTGGGATTACAGGGGTGAGCCACCGTGCCCGGCCCATGTCTATCTTTCTTACCATTTAATATCTGCCTTTCTGCATCCTGGAGAGCTACTCAAGTTTTATCCTCCACAACCCTAACAAAATTTTATGTCTTCAGCGCTCTTCTTTGCAGCCTTTCTTGTAACGTCTCATCCTGGAACTGTTTTTAATTGTCATGGGTAAAGCACCGCACTTGCCTGAGTGTGTTCACCCTCTCCTGAAGTGTTTCCTAGTGTTATCATCATGGAGAAAGCACTGCACTAGCCTGAGTGTGCTCATCCTATCCTAATGTGTTTCCTAGTGTTATCATCATGGAGAAAGCACTGCACTAGCCTGAGTGTGCTCATCCTATCCTGGTGTGTTTCCTAGTGTTATCATCATGGAGAAAGCACTGCACTAGCCTGAGTGTGTTCATCCTATCCTGAAGTGTATCCTAGTGTTATCATCATGGAGAAAGCACTGCACTAGCCTGAGTGTGCTCATCCTATCCTGATGTGTTTCCTAATGTTATTGTCATGGGTAAAGCACTGCACTAGCCTGAGTGTGCTCATCCTATCCTGATGTGTTTCCTAGTGTTATCGTCATGGAGAAAGCACTGCACTAGCCTGAGTGTGCTCATCCTATCCTGAAGTGTTTCCTAGTGTTATCATCATGGAGAAAGCACTGCACTAGCCTGAGTGTGCTCATCCTATCCTGATGTGTTTCCTAGTGTTATCATCATGGAGAAAGCACTGCACTAGCCTGAGTGTGCTCATCCTCTCCTGAAGTGTTTCCTAATGTTATTGTCATGGGTAAAGCACTGCACTAGCCTGAGTGTGCTCATCCTATCCTGAAGTGTTTCCTAATGTTATTGTCATGGGTAAAGCACTGCACTAGCCTGAGTGTGCTCATCCTATCCTGATGTGTTTCCTAGTGTTATCGTCATGGAGAAAGCACTGCACTAGCCTGAGTGTGCTCATCCTATCCTGAAGTGTTTCCTAGTGTTATCATCATGGAGAAAGCACTGCACTAGCCTGAGTGTGCTCATCCTATCCTGATGTGTTTCCTAGTGTTATCATCATGGAGAAAGCACTGCACTAGCCTGAGTGTGCTCATCCTCTCCTGAAGTGTTTCCTAATGTTATTGTCATGGGTAAAGCACTGCACTAGCCTGAGTGTGCTCATCCTATCCTGAAGTGTTTCCTAGTGTTATCATCATGGAGAAAGCACTGCACTAGCCTGAGTGTGTTCATCCTATCCTGAAGTGTTTCCTAGTGTTATCATCATGGGTAAAGCACTGCACTAGCCTGAGTGTGCTCATCCTATCCTGATGTGTTTCCTAGTGTTATTGTCATGGGTAAAGCACTGCACTAGCCTGAGTGTGCTCATCCTATCCTGAAGTGTTTCCTAGTGTTATCATCATGGAGAAAGCACTGCACTAGCCTGAGTGTGCTCATCCTCTCCTGAAGTGTTTCCTAATGTTATTGTCATGGGTAAAGCACTGCACTAGCCTGAGTGTGCTCATCCTATCCTGATGTGTTTCCTAGTGTTATCATCATGGAGAAAGCACTGCACTAGCCTGAGTGTGCTCATCCTATCCTGGTGTGTTTCCTAGTGTTATCATCATGGAGAAAGCACTGCACTAGCCTGAGTGTGCTCATCCTCTCCTGAAGTGTTTCCTAATGTTATTGTCATGGGTAAAGCACTGCACTACCCTGAGTGTGCTCATCCTATCCTGATGTGTTTCCTAGTGTTATCATCATGGAGAAAGCACTGCACTAGCCTGAGTGTGCTCATCCTATCCTGAAGTGTTTCCTAGTGTTATCATCATGGAGAAAGCACTGCACTAGCCTGAGTGTGTTCATCCTCTCCTGAAGTGCTCCCTAATGTTATCGTCTGTTTCTGCTCCCATTGACATTGCGGGAAGCTCCTTCTGATTCATCAGGTCCTCACGAGGAGCTCGTTAGATGAGATGCTACCCATTAGATGGAGGATCTGCATTTTGGGTGGACAGTGGACAGAATAAATCTTCAGCCCGTTTTTCCCCTCACCACCTGATCCACTCAGCCTCTTCTAAACCGGTAAGCAAAACTGTGCAGTTATGTTTGAATTTTTGTTGAAAGAGAAGGAAAAACTTAGAAAGGAAAAGTTTCGATTTCTTGTTAGCTAGCATTTTTCCTTGTGTCTGTGTATTTCTCACTTTCCTAAATGAAGTCTCCTGTTCACTGTGCTGAGAACACTCCTTCAAGAACCTCCTTTGTTGGTCTACTTGCAAAACTCTACCCTTTTTCTCCATAATTTCTTGGCTAGGGGAGGGTAAGAATGGGGAAAGCAGAGAAGCAGACCCTGCTGCAGAGAAAATCTGGCACAGAGACACACAGCCAATCCTTTTTCTGAGTGGTTCACGCCATGAGAGACCTTGTACATGTGCTGGCCAAAACCGAAGAGGCTTTTCTCTACTGAGGAGTCGCTAGGGTTCATCTTTTTCTAGTACTCAAGATTTTTAATTTTCAGTATAGATAAAAAATTGAATCGTTTCTGTGGTTTCGTGAGCATGTACTGAGAAGTTTGAAACAGGCCACCCTGGAGAATATGTAGACACTTGCAAATTATTTTTTAGGCCCTGTTGTTCATGTAATGCTATTACCTAACATCTTGATAGTCACTGTTTAATCTGAGAGTGAACTTAGGAAATGACAGTCTTCTTCCTGGAATCAGTTTTCCCAGAAACTAGTCTTTTACGAGTCCATATCTTTTGCTAAAAGATTCCTCTAATGGCAATTATTTGCATGATCAGGAAGAATGTTCTGAGATTTTATCATTTTAAATAACTCACAAGACAATGCACAAGCCTGCAGCCCTGCCTAGTTAGTGTTCAACAGGTGACACATAATTTTAGAGTGTGTCCCCTAGTGCTCAACAGGTGACACGTGCTTTTTAGAGTGTGTCTCCTATTGTTTGTGCCTGTGGTATACACACAGTAGCTAAGAAATGCAATATTGCCTTCGGCAAGATATTGTGTGTCCTCATTATCAGCATTCTCTCACAAGCGCAACAGCTTATCATAGATTAGCATTTGAATTTACTCAGCTGTGGTCCTTTGCATATGTTACATGACGTTTGATCATGACAACATCCCGTAAGTTTCCTGTGATATCCTAATTATAGATCAGGAAACGGGCTCTAAGTTTTTAAGTAATGTGCATTAGGGCACATTGCAAATGATGAAGCCAGAACCCCAAACAAGCATTCTCAGTGCAAGTATTTCAGAATTGAGCAACCCCCTACTCCAAAACGGTGTTCTGGAAGCTGGCTGCCGGCTCTGTGCACTTACTGCTACATCATCTGCCTCTCTGTCTGGTGTAACACCTGAGTGCACACAGAAGGGTCCAAGAATTCGAAATTCAAGTTGGATTTCAAAGAGTGTTAAACCTGATGAGGAAACTTTTAAAAGATATTCTTATATTCATCGTGTATTCAAGATGTGAATGCACCACCCATAGCTATCTAAGATTGTGTATGGTTTCCTGCCTCTGGCCTACAAGATCTTTTATGCATTTCCTTCAGTCACCATCTCCAAGGCTTACGACTGACCAACCAAATCAGGAAGTTTTGAGTGAAATGAGGAGGACATTAGGACAGAAAGCACAACCTGGTCTATCCCAGTCTAAGCCTTCAAGACCCACAAAAATACAACACTAAGCAAAAACAAAAAATGACTCAAATGTACCAAAGAGATAAAAAGAAAAAAACAGAAAGATCATAATGAACATGTTAAAGTTAAACTGTTACATGTTACAAACTGCAACTCAATTCTACTGATAACACTTAGAAAATAATTCTGTTCTCTTTACCCCGGCCTGCATACCTTGAAGAACTGATCACTAATATCTCACTGTCTTCATCACTTGCAATTCTCTTCCTGAACTGACTTTTGTTTCCTGACTATCCCAAACTCCTTTTTGCTTTAGGGATGTCACATTTGCTATTTATTTTGTAGGAACACCCTAGCCCTAAATCTTCACATGAATTTTCTTTTATCTTTCATTGTCTGTGTTGAAGTTTTCCGCAAAGCCCTTATTTGCATTACCTGGAACCATGGTTCCCACTTTTGATTTACTGTGCTTATTTCATAACTAGAATGTAAGTCACATGATTCATATTCTTTTTATTTACTACAGTATCCCCAGAGCTTAGAACACTGCACAGTACTCTCTCCATAAATAAAGATTAAGTGTGCAAATGGATGAGAAATTGACAAATGGTGAGGGAACACATAAGAATGACCAATGATCAGGCAGATAATGTAATCATGTTTATTACAGTTCAACATAGTTTTCAGTTGTGTCTACAATTTATGGTTATTTCTGGATGAGACCAATAGGTTTTAAAATTATCACAGAAATTCCCAATTTGAGCCAATGGCCTATTGAATTATTTTATTGGGTTGTTTGAATTGATTGGATCAATAGTCTTTCAGTTGTATCCACATTTTAAGTAAATGGAGCCAACTCCAAATGAAGGATCCTCTCTAGGGCCCAGATTTTCTTCAATCATAATGAAACTCCCTTAAGCCAAGTATCAATTGCCAAACATTCATTCATCTTCATCCCATGGGGTCCTAATGTTGAAATTATTCTTCATCAAAAAGAAATAGCCAAGAAAAAGGAAGCTACAAATCTACCACACCAAAAAAAGTTTTATATTAGCTACATAAAAGATTTTAATCTAATAATGTTTACACAGACATGTTTAAGTGATTTATCTTTTGTCATTTTCATTGACCCTGCTTCTCTTCTTATGCCTCCATTTCAAACTCAGTACCATGAATGAAAACAATGAAACCTTGACCAGAGGCTTTACCCTCATGGGGCTCTTCACTCACAATAAATGCTCAGGATTCTTTTTCGGTGTCATTTGTGCCGTCTTCTTCATGGCCATGATAGCTAATGGGGTCATGATCTTCCTGATTAACATAGACCCTCATCTCCACACCCCCATGTACTTCCTCCTCAGCCACCTCTCCGTCATTGACACATTATACATCTCCACCATTGTGCCCAAGATGCTGGTAGATTATCTCATGGGCGAGGGGACCATCTCTTTCATCGCCTGCACTGCTCAGTGCTTTCTCTACATGGGCTTTATGGGGGCTGAATTCTTCCTGCTGGGGCTCATGGCCTATGACCGCTACGTGGCCATCTGCAACCCACTGCGCTATCCTGTCCTCATCAGCTGGCGGGTCTGCTGGATGATCCTGGCCAGCTCTTGGTTCGGTGGGGCTTTGGACAGTTTTCTCCTCACCCCCATTACCATGAGTCTCCCGTTCTGTGCCTCTCACCAAATCAATCACTTTTTCTGTGAGGCACCCACCATGCTGAGGCTGGCCTGTGGGGACAAAACCACCTATGAAACAGTGATGTATGTGTGCTGCGTTGCAATGCTGCTGATCCCCTTCTCGGTGGTGACTGCATCCTACACCAGGATTCTCATCACAGTGCATCAGATGACATCGGCTGAAGGGAGGAAGAAGGCCTTTGCCACCTGCTCTTCACACATGATGGTGGTGACATTGTTCTATGGGGCTGCCTTGTATACGTATACGCTTCCCCAATCTTACCACACCCCAATCAAAGATAAGGTCTTCTCTGCCTTTTATACCATCCTCACACCCTTATTAAACCCTCTCATCTACAGTCTGAGGAACAGGGATGTGATGGGTGCCTTGAAGAGAGTTGTGGCAAGATGTTAGGGGACATGTGGTGTGATGAGGAAAGAATTCTGATGGTCTAAAACCTCCACATCCTGTTCAGGCATATATGGGGTCGTATCATGGATACCACGGATGATGCTGACAGGAACTTTCAATACCAGCTGTGCTAAATGGTGTATCAACAGTACCCCCATCAAAAATGGGAAGTTGCTGTAACAGTCACACACAAATAATGCCAGAGTTCTAGAAACACCACTCATGTTTATTCTTCTTTTGTTTCTACTGATTCCAAGTCTTCTCTCATATCACTTCTCTGATTGCAGTTTGTGTATATGAATGCCCCAAAATGTTGAGTTAATATTACATATTCTGCCCATTTTCAATGGCTCCATAAGAACTGGTGATTTTGACTATATTGTTTAAACAATCCATCAATTGGCTTGTCAAAGATTTAGGGATGCCAAGGTTTGAAAGACATATGAAAGAGACTAAACTGTCATAAAACTGTAAAAGAAAAATCTACATAGACTTACACCAAGATTTAGAAAATCCAAATATCTCTTCTTTGAGTAACCACTGAAAACACTCCTCCTTTATCTACATTTGGAGCTAAAAAAAAATGAATCATGTGTTTTGTAGAAATGCCAAGACTAAATCTTTATGGGGGAGGGAGTCTGTAATGTTAGTTTTTTAATATGGTAACTAACTGTTACATTGGAAGACACAGCAAAAGGTAGTTGAGAAAGAAATGCCCTATTAACTAGCAGTTTCTGTAATCACTTTACAGCTTCTTCTCCAATTCACTAGCATTTTTAAACTTTTGGGATCCCTGTGCAGATGTTAGTGTTGTTGGAGCTATTTCTACCAACTTTTCTCTTTTAAAAAAGTAGTAGACAGCGTCATATTTTTCCTTCTCTATAGCACTGGCTTTTGCATTGGATAGCATTGCAAAGTGGGAAGGAAATACCCAGCTTTTCATGTGAAAATTAGAACTGGAAACCCTTGTAAATGACTTAGTGTCATGAGCGGTGCAAAGTTAGAAATAACCAGGACCACAAATGCTTGTGTCTTTCCACAATGTCAGGATTTTATTGATGCTGTTTCAATCACAAAAGCCACCATGAGCTACATAGAGTTCCCAAGGGGGCAACTCTCCTTAGTACTTTTCATTCACTTGGTAGTCAGCGTTGTGGGCACACAGACTCAAGCCACTCCACAAGTCAGTCAATATTGCAAACCATACATAATAGTATACTTAATCAATATGTAAATGTTATAGGTTTAACATTTCACAACAAACAAACTAACATTTAACACAAGAAGGAAAAGGGATAGGAGAAAGGATCACAAACCAGTCCAAGGGGAGAGAAGAAGAGAAAAGCGGTCCTGGTCCAGGCCGGGTGGTCCACTGGTCTTGCAAGAAAGAGTCTCTGAGGTGGCAGAGACTTCAGCAGCAGATGCCAAGTTTTCATCACCAGTGACTGCAAGATGGCATCAGTTAACATGGCTATTTCGAGCTGCTGAAGGCCTGCTCTTTTACGGTTACAGAGTCCTCCCATGAGAACTGATCATGGAAGAGTGTGCTTGTTTGAGTCCTTATCTGGTTGGATACAGTCTTTTATTTTTTAATTTGTTTAGTAGACAACACATCTTATCCTTGTTGGAAAAGTGCTCTATGAAATATAAAATAAAGTCTTTTTCTAAGATGGAGTTGGCTACGTCAAGGGTGTTCTATACACTTAGTATGATTTCTTTTTAAGTGGCTAAGAACTGGAGAAAAAATGTTTGGCCTAAACTGTAGACACAGTAGTAAAAACCAGGACCACATCCCAAACCCCTCAGGCCACCTCTACAAGCTGCTGTGCCAGGCTTTGTACTGTCATTGGTTTAACAAAATCCAAGCCGGGTTCAGTGACGTTCTGCAGCGACTGAAGATGGTGGGTGAATGAAAGATAGCCACACCTCCTTTTGTACTGAAAAAAGCTGCTGGGTATTTGACAAAATATTTAGCCAAATAGAACAGCTCAACTTGGCATTGGGCTGAGCACTTAATCAAGAAAATAGACCAGGTCTTGCCTAACAGAGCAGGGTTTTCAGTTGAAATCCAGGAACAGCTTTTCCGAGGCTCTTCAGCTGGAGGCTCAACATCTCCTCAATCTTGTCAGACTGTCTTGGACAACAGTATGTGCCAGATAATATGAGGGAGCATTTCCAACCAAGAAGATGTTGAGGTACAAAAAACACAACAAATCAGAAGAGAAGGAGAGGGCTGGCCCATAAGAACTGATCATCAGTTTCAGCTCCACGTAAACACCATGTGAATTTCTGTCAATCATACAATGCTTCTGAGGACCAACTTTCTTTTTTATAAAATTTGACTTAATACATACTTTTTTTCTTGTAAGATTTTAAAATCAAGTAAAATGATGAATGTAATAAAACCTTATAAATGCTAGTCATTATTTCAGCTATTCTTTGAAAAGATGATTGACTTTTATATTCAGTTTTTACAATTTCTTTCATTTCTATCGATCCGTTACAGACAAAAGCACACTCTCTTGTACAGCCACTTTGGAATACAGTTTGACAGTTTCTTACAATATTGAACATAATCTTATCATATGATCTGGCAATTGTGTTTCTTGGTGTTAACTCTGCTGATTTGGAAACTTATGTTCACAGTAGATTTTTCATACATTCCAAAACATAGACTTAATCAGAAAGTCCTTCAGAAATTAAATGGATAAAGTGTGGCACATGCATACAGTGGAATATTATTTAGTGTTAAAAATAAATGATTTATCAAGCCATTGGAAGACATGGAGGAAATTTAAATGTATATTGTGAAGTGAAAGAAGCCAATCTGAAAAGGCTGCATACTGTGTGATTCCAGCTGCATGACATCCTGGAAAAAACAAAACTGTGGATACAGGAAAAAGATAAGTGTTGCAAGGGGTCTGGGGGAAGTATGGATGGATGGACAGAGCACAGAGGACTTTTAGAGCAGTGAAACTATTGTATATGACACAGTAATTAATGTTACATAAGATTATGCTACATGGTACTATGTATTTGTGGAAAAAAACATACAACTCTGGAACAGAAAGACTCATCCTTATGTAAAATATGAACTATTAATAATAATGTATCAAAATTGATTCATCTATTGTAACAAATGTACTACACTAATGCCAGATGTTAACAATAGGGAAAAGAGAGGGGATATATAAAAACTTTCTGAACTATCCATTCAATTTTTTGGTAAACCTCATTGTTCTAAAATATAAAATTTCATTTTAAAACAGTTTTCTAACAATTATATAACTCTCTGATACTATATTTCTTGATTGGATTTCAGTCAATAAATCATTAGGAGTTCTCATCAAAGAATTGTGGTGTTTGTAGAAGTTAGGATGGGGGATGGGGATGAAATAATAAAAGTTTGTTAATCTAATTGGTCTTGTTTTGGGAGTTTGGTTATATGTTGTTTTGAAGACGCGGGAGCAGTGAGGCTAATATTTCCTGGAAAGTTAGAAGAACATGGGCCAAATATTAATTAGTTTTATGCTTGGGGCATATGGTAGGAGCCCCTCATTCCAAGTTAGCATTCCTTCCCTGTTCTGCATATATAAGAAAATACTGGAAATGCATCATCTGTATATGGAAGAGGGGGGGAAATGTCTATATTACCTCACACCAGAAAACCAAAACCTATTAAAAGAGGGATGCTGCTTCAGGAGAAGGCCTTTTTAGAGTGAGTGAATTTTTTTTAAAGAATTTGATTATTCATGACCCATCATTGGGAATTTCATCTCGAGTTCAGATATTCAGCCTTTGATGGAATGTGAAGCCACTTGTGGGCCATTTGGCCATCCCTGCAGGAAAATCAGTTCAAAACTCAGCCTGACTCTGCGGGAAACCTCTTAGAAACATGTGCTTCCCCTGGTTGGAACCAGCTAGCAAAATGCATAATTTGTGCTCAAAGAAGAATTAGTAATGGCTAGAAGAGAGATTAATTTTTCTTTTAGCTCTCCTAGTAACTCAGTCTACCATTTGGATGACTCTGTTGCCTTAGCCTGAGTTTCTACTTAAGTGAATAGGGAATACTCTCCTAGATATGGTTGTTGATTCCCTCAGAACAAAATTAACACGGCAACTATCAAGTCATGCACAACCCTTTTGGAAACTTGAGGAAGAACGTGAGCAACATTTCTAAAGGTTTTTGTCACTATTCTGAAATTCATAATGTCATAAATATATGTCATTTTATTACTAGACTTTAGAAATATGTAGGCGTTGTGTAGCACAGAGTGATTTTTGATATGAATTGATGTTCTCAAGAAGTCAATGGTTTTACATTAAAAAATGCAGGACTGTGCATGGGAAGGAGTGTAGGTGGAATGATTGGGGACCATAGAGCAACAGGAGTCTGGCGCCTTCTAGGACCTATCCAGAGATATTCAGCCTGACAAGCATCAGGCATTCACAATGATGCTCAAATGAAATGTGAAGAATTATTAATGCAGGAGAAGAATTCAAGGTAGTTTTGTCAAACTGATGAGTTTTTGGTACATGCTAGTTGCAAAGATCACTGCTAGGTTTTTGGATTGCTGTGCTGAGGATTTTTCTGAGGTCACATGTAGGCCCTGTGGGAAGAGTGATGTAAACTAATTAGCCAGGATGGACACAGGTGGGTGCCTCGGGATGAGTTCTAGGACGTGGGGTGCCACATTGGCTGTAGTCAGCTCTTACCCCCAAGTGCCATCTAATGGTTTATAGCATAGCAGTTGCACAGCAAGAAGAAATAAAAAGCATCTAAATAAGGAAAAGAAGAAGGCAAACTATGTCTGTTTGCTGATAATATGATTCAATACCCCCCAAAAACCAAAAGACTTTGCCAAAAGATTCCTGGAACTGAGAAACAACTTCAAGTAAAGACTCAGGATACAAAATTAATATACAAAATTCAGTGACATTTCTAAACACCAAAAACATTCAAGCTGAGATCCAAATCAAGAACTCAATTCAATTTACAACAGCCACAAAAATAAAAAATCTAGGAATGCAGTTAGCCACAGAGGTGAAAGATCTCTGCTAGGAGAACCACAAAACACTGCTGAAAGAAAGTAAATAAGACTCAAACAAACAGATAAACATTCCATGCTCACTGGTTGGAAGAATTAATCTCATTAAAGTGGCCCAAGGAAATCTACAGATTTAATGTTATTCAGAAAAAACTACAGACTTTATTTTTCACAGAATTAGAGGCAACTATTATAAAATTAAGATGAAACAAAAAAAGAGACCAAAAAGCCAAAGTAACCCTAAGCAAAAAGAATAATGCTAAAGATATCACAATACCTGGCTTCAAACTATACTATAATGTTCCAGTAACCAAAGCAGATGGTACTGGTATAAAAACAGACACATAGACCAAATTGAATCAAATAGAGAACAAATAAATAAAGCCACAGACCTCCACCCTGTTTATCTTTGACAAAGTTGACAAAAGCAAGCAATGGGGAAAGGACTCCCTACCTAATAAATGGTGCTGTAATAGCTGGATAGCCATATGCAGAAGAATGAAAGTGGACCCCTGCCTTTCACTATATACAAAAATTAAATCATGATGAAATAAAGATTTAAATGTAATAACTCAAACTAAGAAGCCTAGAAGGAAGCCTACAAAACCCCATTCTGAACATTGGCCATGGGAAATAATGTATGACTAAATCCTCAAAAGCAATTGCAAGCAAAACAAAAATTGACAAGAGGGACCTAATTAAACTAAAGAGCTTTTGCACA
The DNA here is from genome assembly GCF_000001405.40 of Homo sapiens. NCBI lineage: Eukaryota > Metazoa > Chordata > Mammalia > Primates > Hominidae > Homo > Homo sapiens. The sequence continues at coordinate 42,276 of NW_025791755.1, forward strand.
GCAAAAGAAACTATCAACTGGGTAAGCAAACAACCTATAGAAAGGGATAAAATAGATTTTCTAGTTTATTTGCATAGAGATGTTTATAGTATTCTCTGATGGTAGTTTGTACTTCTGTGAGATCAGTGGTGATATTCCCTTTATCATATTTTACTGTGTCTATTTGATTCTTCTCTCTTTTCTTCTTTATTAGTCTGCCTAGCATTCTATCTGTTTTGTTAATCTTTTCAAAAAACCAGCTCCTGGATTCACTGAATTTTTGAAGGGATTTTTTGTGTCTCTATCTCCTTCAATTCTGCTCTGATCTTAGTTATTTCTTGTCTTCTGCTAGCTTTTGAATTTGTTTGCTCCTGCTTCTCTAGTTCTTTTAATTGTGATGTTAGGGTGTCAATTTTATATCTTTCCCACTTTCTCCTGTGGGCATTTAGTGCTATAAATTTACCTCTAAACACTGCTTTAGCTGTGTTCCAGAGATTCTGGTACATTGTGTCTTTGTTCGCATTGGTTTCAAATAACTTACTTATTTCTGCCTTTATTTCATTAATTACCCAGTGGTCATTCAGAAGCAGGTTGTTCAGTTTCCATGTGGTTGTGTGGTTTTGAGTGAGTTTTGTAATCCTGAGTTCTAATCTGATTGCACTGTGGTCTGAGAGACTGTTACGATTTTCATTCTTTTGCATTTGCTGAGGAGTGTTTTACTTCCAATTATGTGGTTGATTTTAGAGTAAGTGTTATGTGGTGCTGAGAAGAATGTATATTCTGTTGATTTGGGGTGGAGAGTTCTGTAAATGTCTATTAGGTCTGCTTGGTCCAGAGCTAAGTGCAAGTCCTGAATATCCTTGTTAATTTTCTATCTCATTGATCTGTCTAATATTGACAGTGGGGTGTTAAAGTCTCCCACTATTATTGTGTGGGAGTTTAAGTCTCTTTGTAGGTCTCTAAGAACTTGCTTTATGAATCAGAGTGCTCCTGTATTGGGTGCATATATATTTAGGATGGTTAGCTCTGCTTATTGCATTGATCCCTTTACCATTATGTAATGTCCTTCTTTGTCTTTTTTGATCTTTGTTGGTTTGAAGTCTGTTTAATCAGAGACTAGGATTGTAAACCCTGAATTTTTTTTTTTTTTTTTTTTTTTTGCTTTCCATTTGCTTGGTAAATCTTCCTCCATCCATTTATTTTGAGCCTATGTATGTCTTTGCACATGAGATGGGTCTCCTGAATACAGCACACTGATGGGTCTTTACTCTATCCAATTTGCCAGTCTGGGCCTTTTAATTGGGGCATTTAGCCCATTTACATTTAAGGTTAATATTGTTATGTGTGAATTTGATCCTGTCATTATGATGTAAGCTGGTTATTTTGCCCATTAGTTAATGCAGTTTCTTCATAGTGTCAATGGCCTTTACATTTTTGTTTGTTTGGGCAGTGGCTGGTACAGGTTTTTCTTTTTCATATTTAGTGCTTCCTTCAGGAGCTCTTGTAAGGCCGGCGTGGTAGTGACAAAATCTCTCAGCATTTGCTTGTCTGTAAAGGATTTTATTTCTCCTTCACATATGAAGCTTAGTTTGGCTGGATATGAAATTCTGGGTTGAAAATTTTTTGATTTAAGAATGTTGAATATTGACCCACACTCTCTTCTGGTTTGTAGGGTTTCTGCAGAGAGATCCACTCCTAGTCTGATGGGCTTCCTTTTGTGGGTAACCCGATCTTTCTCTCTGGCTGCCCTTAACATTTTTTCCTTCATTTCAACCTTGGAGACTCTGACAATTACATGTCTTGGGGTTGCTCAATCATCTAATCTTTGACAAATCTGACAGAAACAAGCAATAGAGAAAGGATTCCCTATTTAATAAATGGTGTTAGGAAAACTAGCTAGCCATATGCAGAAAATTGAAACTGGATCCCTTCCTTACACCTTATACAAAAATTAACTCAAGATGAATTACAGATTTAAATGTAAGACCTAAAACCATAAAAACCTTAGAAGAAAACCTAGGCAATACCATTTAGGACATAGGCGTGAGCAAACACTTCATGACTAAAACACCAAAACCAATTGCAACAAAAGCAAAAATTGACAAATGGGATCTAATTAAATTAAAGAGCTTCTGCACAGCAAAAGAAACTATCCTGAGAGTGAACAGGCAACCAATAGAATGGGAGAAAATGTTTGCAATCTATCCATCTGACAAAGGGCTAATATCCAGAATCTACAAGGAACTTAAACAAATGTACAAGAGAAAAACAAACAACCCCATCAGAAAGTGGGCAAAGGATATGAACGGACACTTTTCAAAAGAAGACATTTATATGGCCAACAAACATATAATAAAATGCTCATCATCACTGGTCATTAGAGAAATGCAAATCAAAACCACTGTGAGATACCATCTCACACCAGTTAGAATGGTAATCATCAAAAAGTCAGGACACAACAGATGCTGGAGAGGATATGGAGAAATAGGAACACTTTTACACTGTTGGTGGGAATGTAAATTAGTTCAACCATTGTGGAAGACAGTGTGGCAATTCCTCAAGGATCTAGGACTAGAAATACCATTTGACCCAGCAATCTCATTACTGGGTATATACCCAAAGGATTATAAATCATTCTACTATAAGGACACATGCACACGTATGTTTATTGCAGTACTATTCACAATAGCAAAGACTTGGAACCAACACAAATGCCTGTCAATGTCAGACTAGATAAAGAAAATGTGGCAGATATATGCCATGGAATACTATGTAGCCATTTAAAAAAATGAGTCAATGTCCTTTGCAGGGACATGGATGAAGTTGGAAACCATCATTCTCAGCACACTAACACAGGAACAGAAAACCAAATGCCACATGTTCCCACTCATAAGTGGAAGTTGAACAATGAGAACATATGGGCACAGGGAGTGGAACATCACACACTGGGGCCTGTTGAAGTGTGGGGGGCAAGGGGAGAGAGAGCATCAGGAGAAATACTTAATGTAGATGATGGGTTGATGGGTGCAGCAAACCACCATGGCATATGTATACTTATGTAACAAACCTGCACATTCTGCACATGTACCCCAGAACTTAAAGTATAATTTTAAAAATTCGTTTAATCCAAAAAAGAAAGGGATAAAATATTCACAAACTGTGTATGCCAAAATGGTCTAAGATCTGCAGTATATAAGGAACTTAAATAATTCAACAAGCAAAAACAAACACCGCCATTAAAAAGTGGCCAATACCATGAATAAACACTTCTCAAAATAACACATATAATTGGCCACAAACATGAAAAAATGTTCAACATCACTAATCATCATAGAAATGCAAATCAAATCACAATGAGATACCATCTCATACCAGTCAAAATGGTCATTATTAAAAAGCCAAAAACAACAGATGCTGCTGAGGTTGTGGAGAAAAGGTAATGTTTATACACTGTTGGTGGGAATGTAAATCAATTCAGCCAATGTAGAAAACAGTTTGTAGGTTTTTCAAAGAACTTAAAACAGAGCTACCATTTGACCCAGTAATCCCATTACTGGGTATATACCCAAAGAAAAATAGATCATTATGCCAAAAAGACCCATGTACTTATATATTCAACACCATGCTATTCACAATAGCAAGACATGGAATCAACCTAGTTGCCCATCAATGGTAGATTGGATAAAGAAAATGTGGCAAAAAAAAAAAAAAAAAAGAAAATGTGGCACATATACACCACGAAATACTATGAAGCCATTAAAAAAGTATGAAATCCTGTCCTTTGCAGCAATATGGATAGAGCCAGAAGCCATCATCCCACGTGAATTACCACAGGAACAGAAAGCCAAATACTGGATGTTCCTACTCACAGATGGGAGCTAAACATTGAACACCTGGCCACAAAGATGGCAACCATTACATCCTAGAGGTGGGAGGAAGGGAGGGGGTAGGTGTTGAAAAACTGCTGGGTACCATGCTCACTACTTGAGTGATGGGATCATTTATAATCCAAACCTCAGCATCACACAATACACTCAGGCACATGTACGCCATGAATCTCAAATAAAGTGGAATGAATAAATAAATAAATAAAATGATTTTTTCAAAAGAAGTTAAATAAATGAATAGTAAAAATATAAAAGTTGGCCGAGTGCAGTGGTGCATGCCTGTAATTCCCACACTTTGGGAGGCCAAGGCATATGGATCACCTGAGGTCAGGAGCTCGAGGCCAGCCTGTCCAACATGGTGAAACCCCATCACTACTGAAAATACAAGATTAGCCAGGCGTGGTGGTGTATGCCTGTAGTCCCAGCTACTCGGGAGGCTGAGACAGGAAAATCACTTGAACCCTGGAGGTGGAGGCTGCAGTGAGCCAAGATCATGCCACTGCACTCCAGCCTGGGCAAGACAGAGTGAGACTCTTGTCTCAAAAAAAAAAAAAAAAAAAGTTGAAGTTAAAAAAATTAATTAACCTTTCTAGGAAAAACAACAGAAAACATTAAATCTAGTCCTTTTACATCAGAATTTCCAGATCTGTGTGTTTGTGTTTATTTATTTATAGATAGATGAAATGATTGATATATAGATGTGAATTGATAATATAAAAAATGATAATATTTTTGAGGTGCAACTTAACAAAATCAAAACTTTAAAAATATTCACACAAATGAATTAAATAATATTGACTGAGGAAAAGTCGATGAAGAAAACTTCCAAAATCTATACTCAAATTAGACATAAGGATTTAATCAGCACATTATTTTTTAGTCCCCTGAATTAAAACTGTATGTATGTTATAAAAATGGAGCATTAATTAAATAATATTGAGCATATCCATAAAGTATAGTACTTTGTGGATAGTGCATGCTACGTTTGGGAGAATATTTCACATCGGGGCACTTTTTATGTTGTATTTTGTGAACAATGCAAATTGTGGAATTACATGTTAACCCACAGACACTCATCACACACACATATATGTTGTTGTGTAAATGCCATATCTATTTATAGTGTTTAAGTTTCTGCATGTGTCTCTCTGTTGGTTCTCTACCTCTTGTTTAGTTACATAAAGCTCTTGTAGTTTACTGGTACATACACACACATACCCACGAACATACACACAAACAAACACATACAGTATAAATGCAATTTTGTAAGGATAATCATCTCTATGATGTGTTTTCGATAACCCTATCTGGTATTATGTTTTTCCCGATGGGTATGCGTTACCTTTATGCTCAAATAAAATAATAATTATTAAACTACCAACAAACATAACAGATGTTATGTTATTAAAATATAATAGAAATAAAGCTACTTTTTATCTTTTTAATGGCTTTCCACATTTGTTCCCACATTTCTCTGTGAGGAAGAGCTGCTGGCAGAACTTTCTGATGAAACACTCAGGAAATCAGTTTTACACTTTGAAGCACAGGAGTTGAAACATGTTCTCAAAGCCCATGTCACTTAAATGTTCACTGTTTTCCACCCCATCAATACACTTCTCATTAGCTGTAATAAGTCCGTCTCATTAAAGTCTCCTGAGATCCAAAAGGAAGAAACTTGCTCTTTCCCAGAGCACTTCATTCCATGTCCCTCAAAGAAAACTATTTAAACTCATGCCTCTTTTCAATCTGGGCGCTCCCTTGTCGCTCCAGGGATCTCAAAAGCAGAACACCCAGAATAATTCGGCACTCTTTACTGGTCTGCTGCTTTCTTCCTGCATTTTTAGTTTTTCAGACCTGTTTAGTTGCTAAATATTTCCCTGTAAAGATAAGAAATAGACATTATTACATGTTTCTAGAAGGCTGGAGAATTTATGCAATTTGTCCTGGCAATGCAAATTGTTTCAAGGATTTCTAAGGTGGCATTTATTTGTTTGGCTTAATAATACTTCCTTCTGCAGAGTTATATTACAAAAATAGCTCCTAATAAACTTGTTGCATGTCTCTCTTTGTCCTAACTCCATCATCAGTTGCTAAGGATACCTTCAGTCATGCCAAGTTCATAAATCCAAATTAGAAATCTATGCATACTGGATCTTCAGGGTAACATGCTGACAGCACTTTGGCATCCAGATGGCCTAGATGTTGAAGGATTTCCTGTTGTGGGTACCAATGACTATGAATTGCTTTGTGTGTTTTCTTCTTGGTATAAGTTAGATGAGAATTTAAGTCTACTAAATCTAATCATTTTTCCTTCTAGCAAAATATCACCTTCAACCTTCTAAAAAGTCTTAGTTCTTCATCGCTTGTTTAGTTACATAAAGTTGTTGTAGTTTGCCAGTAAGTTTTTGATTTACTAAATTATACATAACCTTCTCTATCTACTACTCTGAATGGCTATCCTGACAGATTCAGCTCTCTGTAAGTGACAGATAATCATCTTTTGTTGGAATACAGTTTGGAATAAAATTAGATATTTGGATAATTTTTATGAAAATTATGTATATTGTATTCCTTGATGTCTACTTAGTGATGTGTGTCACATGCTGTTTTGAGTGGGTGGCATTCAGATTGCATGGATGAGAGGAGATATGAGAAATGTGAGAACATATAGAACACATGAATACATTACTTTATGAAGCTCTTTGAAAATTAAATAATTGGATTTAATAGTTAAGGTTTTGTCTAAATGATGCAACATCCCTCAGTAAAATTAGGCAATTAAAATGGATCATCTAGGAGCTTCTGCTGTACTTAGACTCACTTTGTTTGTTCCACTCTTCCTATTCCCTTAATGAAAATCCAGGTCTTTTGGAATTATGCAGGAATTTCACAGGTAAGAAGTCAAATGCTGATGAGCACCTAGACTGACTCCTCCTCATAGTAGCACTTTAAATATTTGGTGCATATGCAAATGACCGGGTTGCCAGAACATTTCATTGTGGTCTGACTGAATTTACGTTCTTTATATGACATAAACAAGATTTACGTAAACTGGATCTAAGAAAGTTGAGGCAGAGTTGTCTGCAACTCCTGGGCTGGAAATCTCAGGCACAAGTATAATGAGGAATGACTGTCCCATTCCCTCCATGCCAAATGCAAGTGCATTGAGAAAAAGAGTGCCTGTCTGATTATCTGTGGGAATTACATGGAGTGAGTGTTGTAAATCTCAGGTAGAAGGATGCCATTGAGTGTAACAGTGCAAAGAATCTTTTCTTAAATGTTTGCTGCTTTTCTTAAAAAAATAATTTAAGCAAACTTTAGTCTTATGAATTAGATAGGATAAGGACAATACTGTTCGAAAGGCACAAAAGATCTAAAGGAAAAACCTGTACTTACTCCTAGTTTCTAAAGTACAGACTATGAACCAGGCTTCCTGAATCTCTGAACAGTGCATTGTCTTTATCTCCTTCCCCTCGTTTTACAGATAAGAACACTGATGATTGGAGAGTTGAAGATGCTTGCATTAAAGACACAGAGCTGACGTAAGGCAGACTCCTACAGGCATTCTAATTTCCAACATAGACTCGTTGCCTGACTGTCAAACGTGCAAGCATTTTAAAAATCCTTTTTTCCACAATGATTTCAAAGAATGTGCAGACACCTGGATTTCTCAGATCCACTTTGCCAGTGATTCACAGGCATTTTTTTAGTGTCCATCACACCAAGCATAAAATAAACTCTCATCAGAAATAACAGGTCTCTCTAGTAGAGGGGTTTATTCTAGTGTGTAGTCTCTTTATGGGTCTTGTAGGAGGTGTGTGTGGGTTGAAGAATGTGGTTCTAAGTTACTCTAAAATTGTCAGAGTACATTAGTGCTTTATTATCTAATAATTGTATGATTATTATTTCAATATGAGTTCATTCTTAATGATTCCAACTTTTTGAAATACTAAACAGAATTTAGGAACACGGAGAAAAACTAGGAACATATATTTTTGTATTTAGTCTCAAAATTGCACAGCACTGTATTGACCTGTCTTGAGAACTTCTCATGTGAAAAGGTAACTGTAAGTTTGAATGTGTATGTAATGACTCAATGTGTCTGCGATAACAACAGAAAAGTAATATTGCCAGTGTATTCTGTACAGGAAAAACCACACCTACAGTAATCTGTTGAAATTGAGGTATTATATTCTAAAATAGACATTGCAAAAGCTATCCCCAGTAAATACCTGGAAGTTGAGCACTTTGGAAAAAAATTCATACATGAATGCATAAAATAACTGGAGAAGTGTGACCGGTATAGAGAAGGAGGACAGAAAACCTTGTAGTCATATTCACATTATGAAATGTTGAATGTTGCAAAGAGAGAAAACTGGTTCCAAGCAGATTCAGAAGGCAAGGAAGAATCCTGCATGAAGCAGCTTTAATTTAAGCTAATGCAGAGCTTCCTAACAAGGCTGCTGCATTGAAGGAGCATGGAGCTTGCTCTTTTCTTTGGCAGAAACTTCACCAGTGGTCATAGGGAAGCAAGCAAAGGCTGCAACTTACAAGTTAGGAATTATCTTGTCACTTGATTTAAAGGATGGGCTTGGAGATCATCACAGTCCTGGGCAAGCATTGTGTCCTACCTTCAAACTGTAGTGATGTGGGAGGAAAATATTTGCGGCCATCCCTACTCAACCAACATGCACGCCTTATAAAATAGTACAGAATATTTACAAATGTCAGGATAACATAAATGCATTGATTTATCTCTTGGTGTACGGTATTATGCAATAAAAAATAGTTTAGGTAGGCCTAAAAGACAATTTTATCCAATAAAATTATGTCTATTTTATCCACTAACTTTTTAAAAATAATTTTCTCAAAATTTGCAGGCCAAGCATACTTCTGCTCTTCAAAGGCATTTAGATGTTCTGCAAGCTTAATTGAAATGCACAGTTTTTTCTGAGAATTTCTACTAAGTAACAATCCTTTCAAGTCAAAGGATACTTGGGGGAAAAGATAGACTTTAACTGCTGATGTAACTTCACTGGGAGCACCTGGGTTTACAGACCTTTTCTGAAGATCAGGAGGTATTTGCAATTTAAATTCATAGATTTTAGTTGAATATGTAGATTGCTTAAATGAGAGATTGAGAATTTGCACCCATTTACCAATAGTTTTGAAATAATTTGCAGATATCTTACATTTTACTTGGTATTGTATAAAATATTTGCACCTGTAACTATAAATTTCTTATTTGATTCTTAAAGTAACCCTGAATGTTTATTATATCAATTAATATAAGCAGATACTGAGGCTCAGGGTGTTTAGGAAGATAATCCAAGGTCACAGAATTAATTAATGTCGTGACCAGAGGAAGAACTCAATTCATTTAATTCTAAATTTTGTTTTACTGTATGTTGCCTTCATCATTTCAGAAACAAATGCCTATATAAAGTCACAGAATCATTCCAAACATTTTCTGATTATTTTTATGTGTACTAAACCATAGCAAAGCTGTATGATCTATGCCCAGGAGATATTCAACAAGTATAGTTACTTATTGTGCTCACTCTAGTGAGAGAGCAGATAATAAATTTAACAAAACATTTTACTTAAAATCATAATTTACTTTGAGGAGGGCTTGTTCTCTGATAAATTAGATCTTTTGTATGCAGATAGGAAAAGTAAGGCCACTTGGCTGCAAAATGGAGTAGACTTTAGAATTTCCCTTTGCATTGCTAGGTTTGCAGGGCTAGCTGGCCATAGAAAAAGCTAGAACCACAGAAGAGTTACATATATACATATATAAATCTATGGGAGGAAATTATGAATGTATATACTTATATATATATATATAATGGATAAAAGATCATCCTTTATATTCTTGAAGTTTGTTGTGGATTTTACTGTAACCTGAAATTGTATAAAACAGTCCCTCAGTTTTTCTTAATTGCCAGAGCTACGGAAAAATTCCAATTTCCAAAAATCATCGGTGAGTTATACCTCAATATGTATGTCCCTGTGCTATTACATATACGTGTGTGTGTGTGTGTATAAAATGGGAGTAAGGGTGAACAGACAGCAGAGACCACTGTTTGACTTTGTGAAGCAGCACATGATTTTCCCTCTGTTTCTGGTGTCTTATCGCATGATAAAAGTCAAACCGAAAATGTAGGAAGTGTGGAAGTAGCTGAAATACTGCTAATATTTAGGCTGCGACATAAACTGGAGAGGAGTTTCCCTTTAGAAATATATTTTTATAGGTTCCATTAATGAAACCTAAAAAAAGTAAAATGAGGGAGGTTGTAAGTAATGATGACATTGTACATAGTATCATAAAAATGTATAAAACCTGACACCAAATATTCTGAATTAGCAAAATATACATTATATATATATATAAAATATACATATGATGTATCTATGTGTACATTTTTATATATGTGTGTATATCTGTACACATAGTTTATATCCATAAAACAGCAATCCTGATTATAATAATTTATGTGATCTACTCTCAAGTATGACTAATTTTCATTAGTCACATTAGTTATTACATTGTTAACAATTTAGCAGGTTCACATGCTTGGTACATTTTATTTGCTAATTACAGTAAATGTCTAGCTGCTATTCCCATATAAAGCTTCCTATATACACAATGCCATGTGTATGAATATATAATGAATTGAGACTATCTAGTCCAAACACTCCTGGCACTAACAGACCCCGTGACCACCAACACGTTACCCTCAATGCTGTCATTGGTGAGAGGGGCTTTTATAGCTCCTCACTTCTTAGTTTTATTGTGAAGATCAGGGAGTCAATAGTTACAAAGTACTTCTTAGCATGACACTTTGCAAAATAAACTCCACGATGTCATCATCATTATTCTCAATAGCAACTTCTTTTTCTGGGCAATTGACTCAAATGCTAATATTTTTAGAATATTTAGAGGAGCACTAGACTAGTTTGATCAATTTTACTCCCAAATATGTTGGTAAAATGTCTTTCTTGGGACACTTTTAGCCTTAAACAATGTGAAAAATCATCCTTTACTTCCATGAAGTTTGTTGTGGATATTTGTTTCTTTATTGTAACCTGAAATTGTATAAAACACACTCAGTTTTTCTTAATTATGAAGAACTATGAAAAATTCTAATTTCCAAAAATAATCAGTGAATTATAGCTCAATGTTTACGTCCCTGTGGTATTTCCTCTGAATATTAATTGCTAATACTGATTTCTAATGGTCATGCTAATCATAATCCTAATGCTAATTCCTCATCATCTTAAAATTGAAAATAAATAAAATTCTACAACACTGAATGCCTCTTGTATTGAGAATAATTTTTATGTCTAAATTTGCAAGAGTAGTTTCCGTTGAGTTTCTGTTGCCCTTTTTATTTCATCCCTTATAATTTGTCTGGGACATGGATAAACTAACACCAAGTATACTCTCATGATGTAGACAGTGACTTGTGACCCAAATGGTAGATAACCCGTACTTGTAGCTAAATGGAAGACATGAGCTACTCACAGCCAGCACCAAAGATGTTTTGAAAGTAGTGGTGATGCCAACCATACAAAGACACATTAAATAATAATACAAATTTAAATGCATCTAAGGTAATACACACACGCATACACCGGACCATGGTATGCGTAACTGCTGTGTAGCATGGTATGCAACCTTAGGCATTGTTATGCACATCATCGTAATACAGTATCATCTGCTGACCTCATCTTCTCCAATGTATTTAAGCAATTATTGATTAATAATGACCAATTTTATTTAAAAACCTTCTGGAATAGAGTAAATGCTAGATATCAGTCTCAATGTGGCAAGAATACTATTTTTTAAATGTTTTCTTCCCACTTTTAAAAGTTTGCTGCCTAACAATTAATTCACATGTTGTTATTTTACTGCCCTGGGAATGCTATCATCTTATTTGGAAGATATTACCTTATATCGGCACAACTGTAGGATCAATGGAAGAGTACAACACATCCTCTACAGACTTCACTTTCATGGGGCTGTTCAACAGAAAGGAAACCTCAGGTCTTATTTTTGCCATCATCTCTATCATCTTCTTCACCGCACTGATGGCCAATGGGGTTATGATCTTCCTGATCCAAACAGATTTGCGCCTTCATACACCCATGTACTTCCTCCTCAGCCACCTTTCCTTAATTGACATGATGTATATTTCCACTATTGTGCCTAAGATGCTGGTTAATTACCTGCTGGATCAAAGGACCATTTCCTTTGTGGGGTGCACAGCTCAACACTTCCTCTACCTTACCCTTGTGGGAGCTGAATTCTTCCTGCTGGGCCTCATGGCCTATGACCGCTATGTGGCCATTTGCAACCCTCTGAGATACCCTGTCCTCATGAGCCGCCGGGTCTGTTGGATGATTATAGCAGGTTCCTGGTTTGGGGGCTCTTTGGATGGCTTCCTCCTAACCCCCATCACCATGAGCTTTCCCTTCTGCAATTCCCGGGAGATTAACCACTTCTTCTGTGAGGCACCAGCAGTCCTGAAGTTGGCATGTGCAGACACAGCCCTCTACGAGACAGTGATGTATGTGTGCTGTGTTTTGATGCTGCTGATTCCTTTCTCTGTAGTCCTTGCTTCCTATGCCCGAATCCTGACTACAGTTCAGTGCATGAGCTCAGTGGAGGGCAGGAAGAAGGCATTTGCCACTTGCTCATCCCACATGACTGTGGTGTCCTTGTTCTACGGGGCTGCCATGTACACCTACATGCTGCCACATTCTTACCACAAGCCAGCCCAGGACAAAGTCCTCTCTGTGTTTTACACCATTCTCACACCCATGCTGAACCCCCTCATCTACAGCCTTAGAAACAAGGATGTGACTGGAGCTCTGAAGAGGGCCTTGGGGAGGTTCAAGGGTCCTCAAAGGGTGTCAGGAGGTGTCTTTTGACAGTCGACTCCTTCCCATGCATATGGTAAATGGGGGACTCTGTGGTCACTGTGGCTGTGCTTTCATCAAAAGATGAAGCAAAAAGGGAGGGAGTCATATGATTACAATATTGGTTTTTTGGCTAGGGTTTCTGGTTCATAACTCCATAGTTATGATGTTGTGGTTTTTTAGGCCTCAGAAAACTGAATCTCTCTCTGTGATCTTCGCCTTCCCTCTTTTCACCTGCTTCTTTTTCTCCCCAAAGAAAGCCTTAGAAACTAAAAATATAATCCAATCTTTCCCCGCTTTTGGTCACAAAGAAATTATCTGACTACCTTGTCTGACTGTATGTCATAAGACCTCTGTTTCAAAAGAGGTCTTCTCTCATACCCTGGGGGAGGGAATGCTATACAGAGAGGCCAAGAAAAATCCGATCAGACAGGCCTTCGTGGGTGTCCCCACTCACTCTATCAACATTAGGTCATACTCTTTGTTCAATCATATTTCTGTGCAATTGTCCATGCTTCAATCATGACTATTCAATAAAGTCTCCATATAAGGGCCAAAAGGAGAGGACAGAAAACTTCTGGACAGCTAAACTCATGAAGCTGAACAGGAGGGTGATAAGAACCCATCCATGTGCCTGGAGGGTGGCATGTCCCAACTCCACAGAGGCAGAAGCTCTTATGCTCTTCCAGACCTCACCCTCTGTGTCTTTTCATCTGACTGTTTCTGTGTATCCTTTGTAATATCATTTATAACAAGTGGTAAACATAGGTAAGTGTTTCCTTGAATTCTGTGAGCCTTTATAGTAAACTAACTGAACCCAAGGAAGGGCCGTGGGATCCCCAATTTACAATCACTTGGTCAAAAGTACAGGACAACTTGGGGCTTTTAATTGGCACTGGAAATGGAAGGCAGTGTTATGGGACTGAGCCCTCACCCTGTGGGATCTGACACTATCTCCAGATAGATAGTGGCAGATGGTCATGGGAGTTTAGCTTGGGCTAGAGCATTTGACTGTAGATAGTGGCAGATGGTCACGGGAGTTTAGCTTGGGCTAGCGCATTTGACTGTAGATAGTGGCAGATGGTCACGGGAGTTTAGCTTGGGCTAGAGCATTTGACTGTAGATAGTGGCAGATGGTCACGGGAGTTTAGCTTGGGCTAGCGCATTTGACTGTAGATAGTGGCAGATGGTCACGGGAGTTTAGCTTGGGCTAGCGCATTTGACTGTAGATAGTGGCAGATGGTCACGGGAGTTTAGCTTGGGCTAGAGCATTTGACTGTAGATAGTGGCAGATGGTCACGGGAGTTTAGCTTGGGCTAGCGCATTTGACTGTAGATAGTGGCAGATGGTCACGGGAGTTTAGCTTGGGCTAGCGCATTTGACTGTAGATAGTGGCAGATGGTCACGGGAGTTTAGCTAGGGCTAGAGCATTTGACTGTAGATAGTGGCAGATGGTCACGGGAGTTTAGCTTGGGCTAGAGCATTTGACTGTAGATAGTGGCAGATGGTCACGGGAGTTTAGCTTGGGCTAGCGCATTTGACTGTAGATAGTGGCAGATGGTCACGGGAGTTTAGCTTGGGCTAGCGCATTTGACTGTAGATAGTGGCAGATGGTCACGGGAGTTTAGCTTGGGCTAGAGCATTTGACTGTAGATAGTGGCAGATGGTCACGGGAGTTTAGCTTGGGCTAGAGCATTTGACTGTAGATAGTGGCAGATGGTCACGGGAGTTTAGCTTGGGCTAGAGCATTTGACTGTAGATAGTGGCAGATGGTCACGGGAGTTTAGCTTGGGCTAGAGCATTTGACTGTAGATAGTGGCAGATGGTCACGGGAGTTTAGCTTGGGCTAGAGCATTTGACTGTAGATAGTGGCAGATGGTCACGGGAGTTTAGCTTGGACTAGCGCATTTGACTGTAGATAGTGGCCGATGGTCACGGGAGTTTAGCTTGGGCTAGCGCATTTGACTGTAGATAGTGGCAGATGGTCATAGGAGTTTAGCTTGGGCTAGCGCATTTGACTGTAGATAGTGGCCGAATGGAATTGATTTGGAGGACACCAAGTGGTGTCCACTGCAGAAATGATTGTTTACTTCGTGTGTATCAAAAATCCCCCACTCATTTGGTCCCATACATCTTATATGTTGGTTGTTGTGTGGTGTGGAAGCAGAGGAAAAACAGTTTCATGTGTTTTTTTCCTCAAAGAGCGTTCAACTTGGTGGGAAAAAAAAACTAATGTAAAAAAACGTCCTCTTGATCTCTTTTCCTTCTCTTTTCTTTTTTTCTTATACCTTCCGTTTCTCCTGCCATGTTCACATGTATTCTAAATAAATACAAGAGGGCTCCATAAACACAAAAATGTGTTTCCATCTGCAAGCTGGTAGAAAGAGTCATTGAACATAGTCTTCTTAAACAGGTATTGTACTCACTACAATCAGGTGCTTATTACTTTCAGTAAAAGTACGGTATTTATCTTTTTTTATTTTGCAACACATTAGTGAAAACTATTTGTCAGATAACTTAAAATAAATGGATGAAAGCAAAGGACATTGCCCAGAAAAGACATCATGAGAACACTGCATATCTGAGGGGTAACGGGGTTTCTAAAACACTGGAGAAACATACAGGGGGATGGGTTAGGAAGGCAGTAAAATGCTTTTCAAATATCTCATGAGATCATCAAGATTAAGCATATATCAGCCATGTAATAGTATTAGGGCATAGTTAATATTCATGTTCCATATGGATCCAGGAATTGAGGAAAGAAAGCATGTGCCGATACATGGTTAGTATCCCAATTATATAAAGAGTTCACTCATCATCAAAAGGGTGACTTTCTCAAAATTATAATTCACCATGTGGGGTTATCATTATACAAACATCATCATGGTCATAATCATAATCATATTCATCAATCTCTATCTAAAACTTAAAAATTTATGTGCCTTGCCAGGTTCATCATCCTTTAACAACTTCATAACAAAGGAAGCAGAACTTGTTATGAGTCATAGTTTACATGTAAGAACAGTAAGTTTCAGGGAAGCAAGAAAATTCTGTAGGATAATAATTCTAATTAATAGACTAGATGGCAGAATTTCAAGAAATGTGATTGATAGAACACTATATTCTTCAGATACAGCTTCCTCATTCATTCATTCATGCTTTATAGCTGTGACCAAGACAAACAAAGCAATTGCACTTGAGAAATTTGCATTCCAGTGTGGAAAAGACAATGAACAAAAATAAATACAACAAGTGAGCAAGCAAAAAAACACATATATCCACCATGTTGTGTGTGGTAGCTGTGACTAAAGCTAAACATATCCATATCCTGCACCCCTGCAGGTCCATTCTTGAGTGAATTCTTAATAGATATATTATAGTTTGAATTTGGTTTATTTTGCCCCCACCAAAGCTTATGTTGAAATTTGATCCCCAATATGGTGTTGTTGGGAGGTCAGGCCTAGTGGGAGATGTTTGGGTCATGGAGGCAGACCCTTCATGAATGGCTTGGTGCTATTCTTGTGTTAGTGAGCGAGTCCTCACCCTGGCAAGTCTGAACTACCTCTTGGAGGAATTAATTCATTTCTGGGAGAGTGGGTTGTTATAAAGCCAGTACATCCTTCAGGTTTTGCTCCACCTTTGACCTTCTCCACCATGTTTTGAGCTAGCATTTGTCCCTCACCAGAAGTCAAACAGATGCTGGCCCCATGTTTCTCATACTTCTCAGCCTTCAGAACGATAGTCAAAATCAGCTTCTTTTTTTTTAATAAATTACTCAGTCTCAGGTATTCTTCAATAGCAACATAAAATGGACTAAGACAGAAAATTGGTACCAGGGAGTGGGGTGTTGCTATAAAGATACATGAAAATATAGAAGTGGCTTGGAATTGGGTAATGGGCAGAATTTGGAAGAGTTTGGAGGAGGGGGCTAAAAAAAACTGCATTACCATGAAGGGTGCATTAAGGACAATTATTGTGAGGGCTTAGGAAAAGAGAAGGCTCAGGAGAAAATAAAAAGACAAGAGAAAATTTGCAACTTTTTAGAAATCGTTTTAGTGGTTCTGGCCAAAATGCTGTTAGAAATGTAGACAAGTAAAGGCCATTGTGATGAGTTCTCAGAAGGAAATGAGGAGTATTTATCTGCAAACTGGAGGAAAGGTCAACCTGGTTCTACAGTTGCAAAGAACTTGGGTCCATGATGTCCATGGCCTAGGACTTTATGGGAGACTGAATTTAAGAGTAATGAACTAGAATATCTGGTGGAAGAAATTTCTAAGCATAAAAGCTCTCATGCTGCTATGTAGCTACTTCTAACTGCATAAGGTTAACTGTCAGGAAAAGGGGAAGCAGAGTGTACATTTTTGGAAAATTTGCAGCCCAGCTATGTGGTAAAGAATTCGTGTTTTCAAGAGAGGAAACCAGAGGTACAGCCAAGAGACCCTTTGCTAAAGAGATTAGTGTGGATGAAAAGGAGCCAGGTGCTAATAGTCCAAACAAAGGGAACAAAATCCCAAAGGCATTTCAAAGCTCTTCCATGCTATCCTTCTCTTTGCAGTCCCACGGCCTGAGAAAGCAGAGTTATTTTGAAAGACTATCCTAAGCCTGGTGCCCTGTGTTGCATCAGGACCCTGCTTTGTACATCTAGCAGTGGCTCAAAAAGCCCCATATGTGTCTCTGGCTACTCCAGAGAGCCCAAATGGTAAGCCATAGCTTCCACATGGTAATCTGCAAGTGCCAAAATTAAAAGAGCCATAGAGATATTACATGTGCTACCTAGATTTCACAGGACAGCTTGGAAATCCTGAAAGTCCAGTCAGAAAACTGCCACAGGGGTGGAGCCACTGCCAAGAGCCTCTACTAAGGCAATTCCCACTGGAAATGTGAGCCCAGAGCTGCCACAGAGAGTCCCTACTGGGGCAATGGTTAACAGAACCATGGGGGCAGCATGGGAGTGGGGCCCCAGAATGTTGCAGCCACCAGCAGCATGCAATCTCAGCCTGGAGAAGTGGCAGGCATAGAACTCCAATTTGTGAGAGCAGATATGTGACTATGCCCAGCAATTCCATAAGGGCGGAGGTGCCTGAGGCCTTGGGAGCCCATCCCTTACACCAGTGTGCCCAGGATCATGGAGTCCAGTAAGATTTTTCTGGAACTTTAAGATTTAATGTGTGCCCTGCTGGGTTTCAGACTTACATGGGGTCTGTCATTTCTTTCTTTTGGTCAAATTCTCCTTTTTGGAATGAGAATGTTTACCAAATGTCTGTCCCACCATTGTAATGTGGAGGTAAATAACTTGCTTTGCTTTCACAGGCTCATAGTTGGAAGGAGCTTGCCTTCAGTCTCAAATGAGACTTTGTACTTTAAACTTTTGAGTTGGTGCTGGGACAAGTCAAGACTCTAGGGACTACTGGGATGGAATGATTGTATTTTTGTATGTAAGAAAGCCATTGGTTTTTGGAGTCAGAGGCAGAATGCTATGGTTTGGATATGGTTTGTCTCTACCAACATACATGTCGAAATTTGATTCCCGATGTGGTGGTGTTGAGAGGTGGTGCCTAGTGGAAGATATTTGGGTCATGGGGTCATATCCCTCATGAATGGCTTCATGCCATTCTTGTGATAGTGAGTGGGTTCTCACTCTGGCAAGACTGGATTAGTTCTTATAAAAATAGATTAGTTCCTAGGAGAGTGGGTGGCTATAAAGCCAGATGTTCCTCTGGTTTTTGCCTCTCTCTTCACACATATCTGCTTTACTCTGTGACCTTTACCATGTTTTGACCAAGCACATGGCCCTTACCAGAAACTGAGCAGATACTGGCACCATTTTTCTTGTATATCCTGCAGAAATGTGAGCTAAATAAATCTCTTTTATTTAAATTACTCAGCTTCAGATATGCTGTTACAATGACAAAAAACAGATAACATGTATGCATAATGTTACCAAAAGACATATGGTAACATAAAATATGGAAGCAATCAAAAGCCCACTGATGGCGAAATGGATAAATTGTGACATGTTCATAAAATAAGAATAGATGTTCTAATACTACTTACAAACATATTGTTGAACTAATGAAGCAAGCTACAAAAGAGTACCTTCATATGAAGTACAGATCCAGCAAAACTATCCTATACTGTTGGAGGGACGGTGGCTGGAAGGATGCATGAGCATGTTCTTGAATTTCTGTTTATTGATGTCAATGCTGATTGTATACCCAATGTTCAGTTTAAGAAAATCAATCAAGTCTAAATTTTTTGTATATTGAATACCTTTTTGTGTGTACATTATGCTCTGATACAAATTTAAAATATAACTCATAATAATGTGGTAAATACAATAGTATAATGGGATAGTGGAGGTAGGTGGAGGGTTACCCTAGATATGGTGTTCAAGAAGGTTTCTGAGGCTGTATTTGAGAAAAAAAAAGAGACAGGAATAGAAAGATCCAGGTGTAGAGCCTTCCAGGTAGGAAGAATAACACGGGCCAATGTTCTGAAATGGCAATGATGTGTTCAGAAGGCTTGACAGTGATGCAGATCCCGAATGAGTAATGGGTGGAGAAGGCAAGTCTGAAAACATGGGTAGTGACCAGATCAGAAAAGGCCTTTCATGCTGTGGTACAGAAGTTGGAACTTGACTTAATTTGCAAAGAAAAACCATTGAGAGGTTTCAAACAAAGAAAAGACAGATTATAAATAACATTCTGAGAATGCTACTCTAGCTGCTTTATAAAGAATGAACTAAAAACACCTGTTAGGAGGCTTTTCCTGCGTTCTAAAGAGAGACATTTTCAGCACGGGTTAGAGTTTTAGGAGTAGAGGTGACAGGAAGTAGTATCACTGGGATGCACTTGAAGGTGTGAATAACAGGCGATGATTAATAAAGTATGAGGTCTGAAGGAAATAGAATCCAGAAGAGTGCCCAGGTTTTAAGCTTGAGCAACAAAATTGATAGTGGATCTATTTGTTGAAATGGAGTGAAGACATTTCTATACTTTTAATTTATTTTTTATGTTTTTGAGGAATATTGTGCTTTGATTGTATCAAGTTAAGCAAGAGATGATAACAGCATGATGAGTTTTGCCTTTCAGAAAGCAGTAGCATTTATCGAGCCCGAGAAGTTGAGTCTGTAGTGAGCCATGATCGTGCCCTGCACTCCAGCCTGGATGACAGAGTGGGACCTTGTCTCAGAAAAGAAAAAAAAAAGCAAAAAGCAGTAGCATTTAGAAAGCAGTTATTACTATATTTGACTCTCAATGACGGAAGATATCATAAGTCAACACCTAGAAAAGGCTAGCGATAGATACTTTTATTGATTTAAAGTACTTTTTAATGGCTAGTGATGGATACATCTTATGAACTTTCCTTTTGGGTTATGCATCTTGGCATTTCAAAAATAATCTTTGGGTAATGTTTTCAAAACTTTAACATTTTCAAAAAGCTCTGTTTGAAATACCATTTGACCCAGCAATCCCATTACTGGGTATATACCCAAAGGATTATAAATCATGCTGCTATAAAGACACATGCACACATATGTTTATTGGGGCACTATTCACAATAGCAAAGACTTGGAACCAACCCAAATGTCCAACAATGATAGACTGGATTAAGAAAATGTGGCACATATACACCATGGAATACTATGCAGCCATAAAAAATGATGAGTTCATGTCCTTTGTAGGGACATGGATGAAGCTGGAAACCATCATTCTCAGCAAACTATTTCAAGGACAAAAAGCCAAACGCCGCATGTTCTCACTCATAGGTGGGAATTGAACAATGAGAACACATGGACACAGGAAGGGGAACATCACACACCAGGGCCTGTTGTGGGGTCGGGGGGAGAGGGATAGCATTTGGAGATATACCTAATGTTAAATGAAGAGTTACTGGGTGCAGCACACCAACATGGCACATGTATACATATGTAACTAACCTGCACATTGTGCACATGTACCCTAAAACTTAAAGTATAATAATAAAAATAAAGAAAACACAGAAAAAAACCCCAAAAAGCTCTGTTTTACCTCAATCCAATGATTTTATGCATCAATATTCTTTCTTATGAGCACGGTCATCTGCAGGGGAATGTGGGGTGTGTGTATAAGATTAAGAGCTTTATTATGAGTATGTTAAGTTTGAAATGTCTATTGAATATCTAAATAAAAATGTCAAGCAGCTAGATATTTTAGTCTAGATATCATTTTAGGTGGTAGATGTGAAGACAGGTTTCAGAATTATTGATACGCAGATTATGTGTTAACAGAATTAAAGAATAGGACAAGAGAATTTCAATATTTAAATACTAGACCACAAAAAAAGTGACAAGAAAGGGATAAAAAAGATGTGGAGCACCCAGAGGAGTGTGGTGTGGTAGAAACTTAGAAAAGACAGTCTTTTTAATAGAAGGGAGGGGTCTACATGTGAGTTTTTGGGTAAAGTTTAAGTAATGTGAAACAGAAAGTTGATTGCCTGAGAGTGCAAGATAACAGTCGTTCCTATCCTTCACAGAGGGGCTTCGATGGAGTGATTGGACAGAATATCTTGTGAAGTAGACTAAGGAGAAAGGAGGCTCAAAAATTGAAGAAAATCACAAAAGTTTGCTCTGAATAATGGAACAAATATAAAGTTATACATGGATAGTGACATGGGGTTAAGGGAATATTTTTTATATATGTATATGTACATATACATATATGTGTATGTATTTTTATATTTATTATGTATATTACATATAATATATATGTATGTTATATATATTTTTATATATGTATATATATGTGTGTGTGTGTGTGTGTATATATATATGCTGTTGACAAAAGCCAAACTCTCTAAAATATTTGAAGAGGTTTATTTTGAGCCAGATATGAGTGATCATGGCCTGTAACACAGCCTCAAGAAATCCCAAGAATAATCTTACCAAAATTGGTCAGGTGACAGCTTGGTTTTATACATTTTAAGATGACAGAAATTACAGGCAATATACATTTTAAGGAGAAGACAGAAATTAGAGGCAAAGACATAAATCAATGCATGTAAGATGTATGTTGGTTTGGCACGGAAAGGCGGGACTTCTTGAAGTGACAACTTATAGGTCATAGGTGGATTCAAAGATTTTATTATCAGCAGTTCGTTGAAAGAGTCAATCCTTGTCTAAAGACTTAAGAAATCAGTAGAAAGAAATGCTTCAGTTAGGGTAAGATGGTTTTCAAAACCACAGTTCTTGTTATATAGACGAAGCCTCTAAGTAGCAGGCTGCAGAGGGAATAGATTGTAAAATGTGTAAGACTCTTAGTTAAGTATCTTCTGGGTCCATAAAAGACCCAGAAACGGAAGGAGATTCTCTAGAGAATGCAAATTTCCCCCACAGGAAATGGCTTTGCAGGACCATTCTAAAATGTGTCAAAAATATATTTTGGGGTAAAAGATCTTGATTTTCTTCAGGACCTGCTATCTGTCATATGATACTATGCCAGAGTGAGGTTAGAATTTGGTATCTTGTTGCTGCAGAGAGTCTGTTTTGTCAGCCTCAGGACCTCTATTTTAACATTACTGTTGCTCAGTTGTGCCTAAACTCCAAAGAGAGGGGGTAGAAAGAGTCATGTCTGAACTCTCTTCTAGTTGTTTGGTTTCTTTGCGATCTCCTTAACCAGGAGAGTGTCAGTTGGGGTGGGGGCTTAGACTTTTATTTTTGGTTTACATTATTCTCCCTCAGGTCAAGATTTTCCAGAGGCAACATTGATGGCCAAAGTTTTATTTGTCCTCTATTGTTGCCAGAGTGTGTGGCTATGGCTATCTGCCCCAGGTGCATCATGTTCTTTGGTGGGATCCGTATGGCCAAGGGGCTTAGAGCCAAAAGACTTATAGCAAATTTAAATGTTGTAGGGCTGGATGAGAATGGAGATGGGCAGGCATTTATCAGCCGTTAAGATCTTTAAGCAATATAAGAGCCCAAAACCAAAAGATAAGGTTACAAAATTGACTTATCAATACATTCTGTGCATTGAGCAATACAATAATCTTGATTTTTGTTACAGACTTCTAGCAATTAGCTGTAAATAACAAAAGCATTTTGTTGAAACCATTTAAGCTAAAGAACACAGAGGCTTGTTTTGTGCTGCAGTGCTTTTTCGTGGTCTTTTTCATCATTTGTCCTGAGGTGGCTGATTTAAAAAGTTACATATATCTGCATAAATCTCACAGCTAGGAGCAGTATATCCAGGAGGCTTTGTGACGAGGTTTCTTGTTATGCTCTTGGTAATTTTCTTTTAATCCTGGGACAAGCATAAAATTCTTTATAGTTGGGATGGATGGAAAGCAGCCATGTAATAGCCCAGGAGGAAAAGGCCCCTACCTTGCCAGCTGTTTAGGCATCTGGATGTCTGTCCTTGATTTGGAGGCTCTGAAATAATTCTGTCTCTGAAATTAATCCCTTACAAGCTCACCTGCCCACCTCTTCCACAGTAGCCCCTGGGTCTAGAGGGAAGGTGCCTATGTAGCCTTAGTAGCAAGGTGTTAGCAATGAAGACAGATCAGGCCCAGTGAGAGTCTAAGCAGGTTTTACATTTGGCAGATATTAGGTAGAGAGACAAAGGTAATCTATCTGTGTTTTACCAATTTTGTAAGCTACATATAGCTCAAAAGGAAAAGGCATTTCTTTTTTTACTCTGGAAAACAAAATGTAAGGAATCAGCAACATTTTAAAGAAAAAGAGCTTAATTCCTGCCTTGCTCTGACAGAAGACGGAAACTCACAGGTAGCTAGCATTTATTATCTAACATTAAGGCATAGAACAAATTATATTAATTTAGATAGAGAAAAAATTATTAAATGAGTATTCATGCCTTTGTATACAAGCCTGGTTTAGTGTCATACAAAAGCAGTTTTTTTCACTCTCATCTTCTCCCAGCTCTGAAGATGAGGCTTTGGTTAACTTACATTTGATGTCAGATACTGATAGCGACAGGAAGCAGAAAAATTCTGGGCCGAAGAGGGTGGGTGAGGGCCCCACCCTCAAACCTGGAACTGTGGCCCAGAGTGAGAACATACATTCCTGTTTCCCACTCTAATGTTGCCTTTTCTAAAACTACCAATGGCCTGTCCCCACCATCATCCTGTGCCCATAAAATCCCAGGCTCAGCTGGCAAAGAAGAGAAGCAGCAGGACATCAGTGACTATGCCTGGATGTTGGAGCAAATTGGCTTCATTTCAGAGAGACAGCTTGATGGTATAGCTTCAGAGCTTTAGGGGAAGCTTACCTTCCCAATCCATTCCCTTTTCTGCTCCCCTTCCCACTGAGACCCACTTTCATCAGCAATGAAATCCCCGCATTTACCATCTCCAATTTGTTCCTGCAACCTCATTCCTCTTGGATGTCAGACAAGAACTTGGGTGCAGGTGCAAAAGGCTGTCACATTTACCCTCCACTAAGCTGTTAACACTTAAGCCATCTGTGGATGTCAAAGCTAAAAGGGCACTGACTGTAACACTCCTTCTGGGGCTTTGGGGGTCACAGGCACTCCCCTAGACGCTGCCATGGGGCCAGAATGAAGTTCGTTCCTGCCGGCACCCAAAAGTGCTAGCCCCAGCTCCTGCACCTGCTCAGCTGCATGCTTCCTCCCGTGATGGGTTGATCACAGCAGGTTTGAGTGAACAGAGTTTGCACCTGCTGGCACCGTGCACTCCAGTTCCTGCCCACAAAGGACTCAGGGAAAATTTCTCGCTTCAATGTCAGCATTGACATTTAAGATTCAGTAGGAGTCAGTGCTCCTTTTTAAATGAGATATGTGTACCCAGAAGTCAAATACCTGAAACTTAAGAGCAAAAAGGTTAGTAACAATATTTGATAAAGACCCTTTTCAATGAGGCTGGAGGGAGTTTTTTAGGTGAGATCTAATCATCAGGCTGGAGGTGGTGATAGTGGAGTTTATGACTTAATTGAAAACTGTAAAAAGATGGTATAGCACTGGGTAATTAATTTGTATAGTTTTGATGAACCCCCGGCAATAAGTCTAAGTCAGAGACTTAACTTAGAATTTGATTTTTGAGGATGTTTGTCAAAAGATATTGAAAGGCTCAAAACATTTGATTAAAATGAATCAAAAGTCATTGTAAAATAATAGTTATTCATTTAACCAGAATGGTAATCAAAAGACTTCAAAAGCAATATAGAAAGTTACATGAATATAAAACCCTACCTGGTTTTAAACCTATACTTTTAGGTTTTAAAATGGTTAAGGGTTTTATAACAACACAGTAATTATCTTAAAATCTGTATTTCCTAGGCTAGCTGTCAAAAAGTAAAGAAAAACCTTATGCAGAGTGATTGTTTTGAGTCATTGGAAGCCCATTTGGATAACCTGAAAGTCAAGCCTCATGAAAAGATAATGTGAATTAATCAGACACAGGAAGAGTGTGTTCCATGTCATGAGTGAACACTGTTATAGAGACCTTGAGCAGGGGAATATGTGACTCTTAGCAACAGCATGGGATGTTGCCTGGGTATACTGAGCACTTTTAAACCTATGTTAGAGCTCAGAAAACAATATCCCAAAATGAAGGATTTAGAGGCAGCTGCAGAAGTAAAAGTTTTTCTTTGGCCTTCTTCTGGCTTCCTGTTTGCAAGTCCCATGCTCCCTCAAGGCGGGTCATAGCAACTAGAATCTCGCTTTCCCAAGATGAGTCCTCAAAACTGAAACTCCTTTTTCTCAAAGCCAGCCATAAAACCTAAAAATATTACTCCAATATTTTCTCTGCCTTTCTGTGAAAGAACATAAGGATATTATCTGATCTTCCTTTTGAACTGTAGAGTGCAAGACCCCCACACAGAGAAGGAAGAAAATGAATGTTCAAGGAGGTTAAGAAGAATCTACACAGGCAGGTCTTGCTGGGGTTTCCCCACACAGTCCACTAACATTGAATTATACCCTTTTCCATCATATTTTTAGATGGATGTCCCTAATTTTTTGAACCTAAGCATAAAAATGCACAATTTCCCCCATTTATTGGATCTTTGTTCTGAGCACACCCATGTATACATGCCCAAAAAACTGCATATCTGCTTCTCAATGAATCTGTCTTTTTTGAGTTGATTTTTCAGTGAACCTTCAAAGGGACCCTGGCCCCTACACATTTTAAGAAAAGTCAAGAGTAACAAATTAAGTTACAACAGAGGAAGACATCACTTTTTTAAATCTTCAAAAGAAAACATTTTAGTATCAGGCTATAACACAGTTAGAATTGAAGAAAAAAATAGTTATAGGAGACAACAAAAGTTAAAAGAGGGAGTTACCATTCCAGGCCTTCTCAAAGGGAGAAAAGCTGAAAACAGTGGGGTATATCAGGAGTTAAGCTTCTGAAATATCAATCTGAGAGATTTCTTTCTTTTTTTTTTTTTTTTTTTTGAGATGGAGTCTCGGTCTGTCACCCAGGCTGCAGTGCAGTGGCGCAATCTCAGCTCACTCCAACCTCCACCTCCTGGGTTCACGCCATTCTCCTGCCCCAGCCTCCCAAGTAGCTGGGACTACAAGTACCCGCCACCACACCCAGCTAATTTTTTGTATTTTTAGTAGAGACAGGGTTTCGCCGTGCTAGCCAGGATGGTCTCAATCTCCTGACCTCATGATCCACCCACCTCGGCCTTCCAAAACACTGGGATTACAGGCGTGAGCCACCATGCCTGGCCTCAGAGAAATTTCAAAAAGAGATTATAGAATTAAAAATGTAAAGCTTTTTGTAATTTCATCAAAAGTAAATCAATACTTTAAGAAAATATATTTGTTCTAACCAATTCGTCAGTTTTATATTCATGTATTTTATGAACTTTTATTTTAGGTTCAGGGGGGTACTTGGGTAGGTGTCATATAGGTAAATTGCATGTAACAAGGGATTGGTGTACAGATTATTTCATCACCCAAGTAATAAGCATAGTACCCAATAGGTGGTTTTTCTATTTGTGTATTTTTAATATTAAATCCCAATCTCTAAAAACACTAATACGAATAATTCTTTTTAAATTATCACCAGCTTAATCACATACAAAATTGTTTTGCAGTGAGCAGGTCTATACAAACCTATCCAAAGTTGGAGGAAGCTGAGATGCTGAAGAAAGAGGCTGATAAATACAGTTTCTTAGGCAGAAACAATTAATAGGGACTTATGAACAGAAGCCATGTCTGTGTCTCAGGCAGCAGTGAGATAAGATGGTAAATTCCTGTGCCATTAACCCCAGAACCCAGGGCTTATATGCCATAGAGAAGGAATGATTCAGAAGGCATATGTGGGACAACTGAAGTATGATAATGTAAAAGTTGTTTGTCCTAAGGGCAGGATTTATAATAAGTACCTGTTCTTACACAAGGAGCAATAAATAAACTGGAAATCTTAAAGGTCTTCCCACCTGGAGTTAATCAGAAGCCAACAGGGCAGATCACCATTCAAGATGGAGTTACTTGAGCCTCCCATCTAAGAAAGAGTAGCTTTAGCCTCCAAAACATTTCTTTCATAAATTCTCTTTATAAACTTTATCATATCTTACACAGACTATTTATGACATACTTGGACTTTCTGTTTTGTCCAAAATTTCCCTCTTTCTTAAATAACGAGTTTTTTTTTTTTTTAGGACTAAATTTACTATACAAGACTCTTTCTCATACAAAATTATTCTTTTTACCCAATTTTTAAAATAAATACATCTTTGGATTTGTATAATAGCCTTTGAATTTGACAAAGATTATTTTCCTTTTAATAAGAACATATTTTTATGTCTTTATTATAATTTCTTTTTCATAAAAAAACTTACTTTGGCACTCTTTGAATACAGAATTATATATTAACAAGAATTTTTATTCTTAGTAACCTTAATTTTTTGTGAAAACCTAGGAAGTAGTAAATCTTGAATTGTCTGTCATATATCAGTATTTTATAGATGAGAACCGTTTTATATTATTTTAGAAATATGTTTTTCTGTTTTTTAAATTAGAAGTGATCCAGACACTAAATGAGTATTATTTAATTTAACTTTAAGATTTTAAATTATATGACAAGTTCATTTATAAGCACTTATCCCATTAAAGTTAACTAACTTATTTTTTAAAATAGTTTTCCTAGGTTACTTATAAAAACTGACATATTAGACAAAGCTAGTCATCATTAGTTATTTTCAGCTAACCATTCTTATAGGCTGTGTTTATTTCAGGTGTTTACCTACATAAGAACCTAAATGTTAAATATATGTTTATTTGATTTTTTTTTTTGCCAGCTAAGGTTTTACCTATTTTCAATAAATCAACAATATTAAATGTCTTATTTATAAAAAATTATGCAAAGATCATTAAGGGATGGGTTTTATAGTTTTATAACCTTCATGACAAAGTTTGGTACTTTATAATATCAACACAGCTAAATACAAAACTATTTTACCAATAAATCCAGACAAAAATGTACGCTGACAATTCTGAAGGCATTTCAAATTTTATTTTACTAATAATTATAAAACCAGATTACTTATTGAAGATTTACTTGTCATGTGAACTTGAAGAGCATTTGGACTTTATTAGTTTATGAGTAATCCTTTATTTTTAAGCCCATTTGATACCTTGCAGTTACAACATATAAGAAAATACATGTACATGTAACATAAACACAACTCAACATAGATACACGGATACAAAGATCCCATAGATTTTATTTCAGAATTCTAGTCACAAGACAGCAATACAGATTCACCAGCTTGCAAAAGATGGTTTAATTTAAACAATGGGTTTTATCTCAATACCAGTAGAAAAGCAACAATACATTTAAAACAGAAAAAGAAAAGAGAGAAATCAAGAACTAAGCAGATGCCATATTTAATTCTATAGTTGCAGGTCAACTTTGAGCTCTGAATTTACCCATCAGTTTACAAATGTGCCAGAACAGACTATAATACATAACCAGCCAGAGTACTAGAAAACCAAGCATGCTCTCAAAACTTCACATTTACACAAACAATTGCGAGTGCCATAAAACCCCCAGGGGTGCCCCAAAGGAGGTCATCTCCTTGTCTTTTCTCAATCTTAGAGGATTTGCTTCCCAGGTTTTCTTTTTTTTAATGGAGGAGCCAGACTGTAGTGTGGGTTTCAGTGCAGTGGGGCTCAGAAGCTGTCTCTCATTCATTTACACAAAGTCAGGTTTTTCAAGCAAATGCACAGATGAACCAATTGAGACTAATTTTTGGAGAAAAAAGCAATGAGAAGACTCTAGAATGAACCTGTGAATCCAAAATTAGAATCTGAAACAACAAGTTCCCAGGAAAAGACCAGCTCAGAATAAACCAAAGTACTATTAACCACGTAAGGGTTCTGTGGCTCAGGAAGACTTACTTACCAGTTCCACCTATGGAGAAGCTCAAAGTCAGGAGGCTTTCAATGAGCCTGCAGCAGGAGAATATGATCTGGAGACCTGGAGACAGGGAACTTAAGGCCAATTTATGCTAACTTCCTAAAAGAGAAAACACCAAGGTCTGGAAGCAGGACCTGGACAACTTGTAGTCAAGACCCTCCACTGGTAACAAGCCCATATTGGTACCTTATTTCCAAGTTCACACAACTTCTTTTGGGGAGGAGAGTCCTTAGTCTTCTCTGAGGTCCTGCATTGGGCACCAAATAATGTTGATGAAGAAAAGTGAAACTCTAAAATATTTGAAGAGGTTTATTCTGAGCCATGAGTGACCATGGCCCAGGACACAACCCCAGATGTTCCTGAGAATATGTGCCCATTGTGGTTGGGTTATAGCTTGGTTTGATACATTTTAGGGAGACAAAGTTATAATCAAAGAGATAAATCAATACATGAAGGGTATATATTGGTTCCAGAAAATTTAGACATGTTAAAGTCAAGGCTCCCAGGTCAGAAATAGATTCACCAATTTTCTGATTGGCAATTGGTTGAGTTAAGCTTTGTCTAAAGACTTAAAACGTCAGTAGAAAGGAATGCATAAGATTACATAGTTGTGGAAGCCAAGGTTTTTGTTATAGAAAGAAACGCTTGAGTTAAGATAATGGGGTTGCGGAAGCCAACGTTCTTGTCATGTAGAGGAAGCTTCCATGTATCAGGCTTTAGAAACAATAGTTGGCAAATGTCTCTCTTTCACCTTAAAAGGTGTCAGGTTCTTAGTTACTCTCTCCTGGATCTGGAAAAGGCTTAGCGGCATTAATAAAGTTTCTCTACAGATGCAAAATTTCCCCCACAAAAGATAGCTTTGCAGGGCCATTTCAAAATTTGTCGAATAAATATATTTCAGGGTAAAGTATTTTTATTTACTTCATGGTTTGCTATCTGTCATGTGGTGCTATATGAGAGTCAGGTTGAAATTTAGTATCTTATTACCACCTATAATCTGTTTTGTCAGTCTCATGATCTCTGTTTTAATGTTAATGCTGGTCAGTCATTTAGCACTCAATGGAAATGCTAGAGACCACAAGTATTTAGCTTAACTCTTTCAACAAATTGCCAGTCAAAAAACTTTTTAATCCACCTATGAAAGCTTCTCAGTAGCAGGCTTCAGAGAGGATAGATGGTAAAAGGTGTCAGACTCTTAGTTAAATGTTTTCTGGATCCTTATGAGACATAGAAAGGGAAGCAGATTCTATACAGAATTCAGATTTCCCCCAGAAGAGTTGGCTTTGCAGGGCCATTCCAAAACATGTCAAAGAAATACATTCTGCGGTAAAATACTTTTATTTCCTTCAGGGCCTGTTATCTGTCATGTGATTCTATATCAGAGTCAGGTTGGAATTTGCTATTGTTGCCACAGTCTGTTTTGTCCGTCTTATAATCACTGTGTTAATGTTAATGCTGGTCAGTTGTACCTAAACTCCAAACAAACGGAGTACAAGGAGTCATGTCTGACCTCCCTTCCTGTCATGGCCTGAACTAGTTTTTCAGATTTCTTTGAGATCTCCCTGGGCAAGAGAGTTCCCATTCAGTCAACTACAGGGCTTGGGATTTATTTTATTATTATTATTATTACTATTTTCTGAGGTTGCAACACAGAGCCCAAGTAGGAGGTCTAATTTTGGATAGAGGCAGAAACACTGTCTCATGGAATGCAAGAGTAAATACAATAAAATCAGAGAGATGGAAAATAGAGTACACTCAAGTATGTTGCTTATTTTCAGTCTTCTGATGCCTAATCCCTCATTGTTTTGTAGTCACATGGTTATTTCTTGGTTCTTTTATAACATTTTTCACAACTGGATTGCTATGATTGTGCAGACACTGTCTACTAGAGTCAAATTTTGTTTTGAAATAGTTCATTATTTTATTTAACTGCGTAAACTAGTTTAGTCTATGATGAATTAATAGACAGATGTGAAAAATTTTAAACTCCTCTGTCAGGGCTCAGAACAAGATCCTTCCAAATATGGCTTCTTGATGAAATCTAAAAGTAAAACCCTAAGCCCCCCAATCAACTGAATGGATTCCCCTTCTTGGCCAGTGGAGCTGAGAGCAATCTGAAAAAGTAAATTTCAGGCCATGAGGGAAGGGGGATTGGGCACACCTTGTTGCACTCCCTCCATTGTGGAATTAACATTAAAATAGAGATCACAGGACTGACAAAACAATAAGATACCAAATTCCAACCTGACTCCCATATAGCATCACATGACAGATAGTAGACACTGAAAGAAATAAAAATATTTTACCACAAAATATATTTATATGACAGATTTCGAAATGGCCCTGCAAAGCTATCTTTTGTGGGGGAAATTTTGCATCTGCCATTAGTGCAGCTAGGCCTTTTCCAGATCCAGGAAAGATAGACTGTGAGGCTCACACCTTTTAAGGTCCAAAAAGAGACATTTACCATCTATTCTTTCTGAAGCCAGCTACATGGAGGCTTCATATATGTAACAAGAATCTTAGCTTCCACAAACTCCCTTACCTTAACTCAAACATTTTTTTCTACTGACTTCAAGTCTTTAGTTTAACTCTTTCAACCAATTGCCAATCAGAAAAATCTTTGCATCCACCTATGACTCATAAGCCTTCCACTTCATGTCCTGCTTTTTCAGGCTGAAACAATGTATATTTTACATGTATTGATTTATGACTTTGCCTGCAAGTTCTTTCCCTAAGTTTTAGGGAGACAGAAGTTACCCTGGGCACACTTTCTCAGGATCTTCTGAGGCTTTTCCCCGGCCATCGTCACTCATATTGGCTCAGAATAAACCTCTTTAAATATTTTACAGTGTTCAGCTTTTTCATCAAATGCAAACTTGACATACTAAATAAGCTGAAGAAAACTGAGAAAACCGAAGAGGTAGAAAAGTCACTTTCTGATTTTTTCTGCCCTTCTCCCCTGAGAGCTGTCCACAAAAGAATTCTCAGACCTACCTGTTCTGAGAGAAGGTAATAAGCCCTTTATTCCAGAGGGGCCCTGACCAATGCCCAGAGGGAAAAAAATGTCACATGGGGAGGCCACTAAGAATCTGAACAAACCTCGCTAAGTCCTCCTCCTAAGTTTATTTCCATTATATCATATTTTTAAATGTTCTAATCATACTTTTAAGGCTCGCATGCCTCATGAAACTTCTACTAAGTAAATTTGCTATACTTTTCTGTTGCTAATCTGTCTTTTGTTAGAAGTTACCAACCACGAACCTTTTGATGAGCAAGGAAAAAATGTCTTACTTCCCCCCCACCCCCGCCCCCTGTACCACTAATTATAAACTTTGCAAAGTTTTGATACTATCATCTTATGGTGTGACCCATCTCATTCACAGGGAAGTCACAACACAGCTCATGTGGTCCATGCAGTCCATTTATACGGGATTTTGCTAAAGTTTCTATACTCCTAGATTCTTAGGCTTAGCATCACTAAGAGGGATAGAATGTGTGTCTGAACTGTATCCGTTCATTATATCAGGGACAGAATGTGTGTCTGAACTGTATGCATTCATTATATCAGGGATAGAATGTGTGTCTGAACTGTATGCATTCATTATAACAGGGATAGAATGTGTCTCTGAACTGTATCAGTTCATTATATCAGGGATAGAATGTGTGTCGGAACTGTATCCGTTCATTATATCACGGATATGAGGTGTGTCTGAACTGTATGCATTCATTATATCAGGGATAGAATGTGTCTCTGAACTGTATCAGTTCATTATATCAGGGATTCAATG
The DNA here is from genome assembly GCF_000001405.40 of Homo sapiens. NCBI lineage: Eukaryota > Metazoa > Chordata > Mammalia > Primates > Hominidae > Homo > Homo sapiens. Next base: position 75,241 of record NW_025791755.1, read on the forward strand.
TGTGTCTGTGAACTGTATCCGTTTATTATATCAGGGATATGAGTTGTGTCTGAACTGTATCAGTTCATTATATCAGGGATACAATGTGTGTCTGTGAACTGTATCAGTTCATTATATCAGGGATATGAGGTGTGTCTGAACTGTATCAGTTCATTATATCAGGGATACAATGTGTGTCTGAACTGTATCAATACACATAACCTACTTCTGAAACACAGTAAGGACAGGGCTTGGCCCCCACTCCTACTATCACATTTTTTTTCCCGTACCTGCCAACTTCCAGACCTTGCACCACCACCTCCACTGGCACGATACCCACTGCATGGATAACTTGAAGAAACTAAGATAAGCAGCATTCCACCATAAATCTTATTCAAGGGAGTTAACCTTATCACTCACATGTGCATAAGACCAGAAGAATGACTGATCTTTACCCCTTGCTTCATTATAATACTAAAATCTCCACCCAGGGAAGGGCTTACCCACCATTTTTTGATCATGCAATGTATGTGTTCACATAATTTCTCACTGTGCCTGCATATCCTGTGCTCCACTCCACATGTATAAAGAGCCTCCCATACCTCATGATTATCCATGTCACTCATCTTAAAACACAGCAAAGGCCTAGCCATGGGGAACCAGCCAGAGAACTGTCATTCCAGTGCTGTCTCCCTTGTGTTCGAGCACAAGCCCTTAATAAAGCCTTGTCTGGAAAACTTGCTTGGTCTCATGTCCATTTCTATTGCACAGGAGCCCAAGAACCTGTGGTTAGTAATACTTTCACATTTTGGCCTGAATGAATCAGGTACTGTCTGTTTAGCTGATAGGTGACTAGTTTCCTTTATTATTTTCATAGTTTTACATCTTATGTATCAATATGGTTTGGCTCTGTGTCCCCACCTAAATCTCATGTTGAATTGTAATTCCCAGTGTTCAGGGAGGTAGCTGGTAGGAGGTGATTGGATCCTGGGGTGGATTTCCCCCTTGCTGTACTCATGATTCTGAGTGAGTTCTCCTGAGATCTAGTTGCTTGAAAGTGTGAAGCACTTCCCCTTTCACTCTCTCTCTCCTGCTCAGCCTTGTAAAGATTGTACCTGCTTCCCCTCCACCTTCCCCCATGATTGTGTGTTTCCCGGGGCCTCCCCAGCCATGCTTTCTGTAAAGCCTAAGCAACTGTGAGTCAATTAAACCTCTTTTCTCCATAAATTACCCAGTCCCAGGTATGTCTTTATGGCAGCATGAGGACGGACTAATACGGTATCTATCTGTAAACAACAGAGTTTACTCTTGCCTAATTTTGAACTTTAAAAATGAAGTTACTTTGAATATATTATTTTGACTTTTTTGCTAAATATAATTTTTGTGATATTCAGCTCATTATCTTGTATAGTTTGCTCATTTTCCTTAGCATATGCAATGTCATTGAATATCTTAATTGATATATTTATTCTATAGTTATTTGGTATGTATGTTATTTTCAGCTTGGGGCTATTATGAATGTTTTTGCTATTGACATTTATGTCCTTATGTTTTCATATATAAATGCAAAAAACATAGTGCATATACCTATGGGTAGAATTGATGGGTATATATTTTTCTGACTTATAATGAGGTTGAGTAACTTTTCTTTGATTTATCAGCCATTTAGAGTTTCTCTTTTGTAAAGTACCTATTCAAGTATTTTTCCCATTTGCTATCAAATTTTGGCCTTTTGTTATAGACACATAAGAATTTTTTTATACATGTGCTGGATATTTTGTTTTCAGTTTTGTTACACATCTGCTAGTTTGTGACCTATCCAAGTGTTTAAATTTTATTTATTTGTAAATTGAATTACCAACATTTTACTTTATATTAGTTCTTTTTGTGTCTTAACTAATCTGTTCACAAGCTGAAGTCAAGAAAATATTATCCTATCTTATCTTCTAAAAGCTCATAGTTTTTTTTTTTGTTTGTTTCTTCACCTTTTAGTTTTTAACCCGCCTAAAACATATCTGTGGTATGTGACTTTAGGCAAATTTTCCATTCCCCATATGAACAAACAATTTTCCCAATACAACTTGATAAATTTATTTTTCCCAGATCTGCAGTGACATCTCTGTCTCCTTTATAGTCACATTCCACAAAAGCTTTGCCTGCTCTTGGTCTCCCTAATTCCTCCACTGTCCTCTCTATTCAGGATATTTACCTCTCATTTCAATGATCTTTATGTGGATAAATCAAATCTTTCAGGGCCATCAGCACAGTTTTTGTTTGTCTGTTTTTTTCCTTGTTTTGATATAACTGTCTATTCCCTCGATTGAAGATGTGTGTTTTGTTTTGTTTTGTTGCATTTTCATCTGTCTTCAAGTACACCATACTGATGGCTTTTCCTAACTCATTGTTTTGTTTTTCCTTTTAATTTTTTTTCTCCTTGTGTCATTTCTCCAGGCCCACTTCTTAATACTGGAGGGCTCCTAGCTCAGTTATGGGTCCTCTTCTTTTTTTTCCTGTACCTTTTCTCTGTTAAGCTCATTGGGGTTCTTAGCTATAAACATGTATCTATATAATAATATCTATGTATTAATGACTGCAGTTCAAAGCAAACTTGGCATTCACCAAACTGATCTGTGCCTCTGTCTTCCCACCCTAAACTTCCTGCAACTGCGTCTTTCCTTAGGCCCACTGGTAGGAGGTCCATAATTTCAGTTGCTCAATCCAAGCCCTTAGAGTTGCCCCTGGTGCTTCTCTTTCCCTTGAAACTGACATCCAACTAGTAAAGGAATCCTGTTGGCTCTACCTTCAGAAGACACCTAGGTTCCAACCATTTCTACAATATGTTCCTGCTTTACCTAAATCCTCTAAGGGTTATTTCTAAAGCAGCAGTTGAAGAAACGTCAGATCATGCCACTTTGGTGATTAAAACCCCACTGCAGCTCACCGTTTATTGGGAGTAAAATCTAAAATTCTTACAGGAAGCTCTACAGGGCCCTTTTACATGCTCCTCTGCCCCATTGCCTCTTAGATGTCTGCTTGTGCCACTGTTTCCCTCACTGCTCTAGCCATCCTGGCCTTCTTGTCATTCTTTGAATAAGCCATGTACACTCTCACCTCAGGCCTGTCCTACCAGTTTTGTTTTGTTTTTTTTTCTCCACTTGGGATCCCTCCCACCCCAACACTCTCTTCAGGGCTAAATTCTTTATGTCCTCAAGACTGCATGAATGTTATCCTTCCAAAGAGATCTGTACTATCGATGACATTGTAAAAAGCAACAAACATTACCACAGCTTCAGCAATTCTTTCTCTCTCTTAATCTACTTTTTCCCTTTCTCTATACCATTTGACATTGACAGACTATATAGTTAACTTCTTTCTTCTGTTTGTTATTGTTCACTGCCTCTGGGCTACATGGGCAGCTTCATGAGGACAGGCACCTATTTTGCAAACAAATATATCCCAAGGGTCTTAATAGTTCAACAGATGGCTGTACATAGTATAAATTCGACAAACATTTGTCAGATGAAATAAGGTTTCATAAAATTTCTGTAGATACATGGACCTATTTCTGAACTCTTTATTCTTTTTTTTTTTTTTTTTGGTTTATTTGTCTTGTGATGTGTGAGTTGTATACTGTTTAACAGTTTAACTTTGAAAGTAAATCTGAATTTCTGGTATGACAATTTATCTGCATTGTTCTTATTTAACATTATCTTGGCTGCTATTCTTGGCTCTTTGATCATCATTTTAAGAATCAGCTTGCCAGATTGTATTCATATCCTCCGGCTATCTATCTAGCTATCTGTCTATCTTGGGAGAGAGAGAACATTGAATCTATATCTCTAACTGTAGTTCTGGCTCTAAGTATCTATCTTCATTAATCTCTGAATCTATTTCTATTTCTTCAGTATCTCAAACAATCAGTTCCTTTTTAAACTCCCTTTATTATTATGTTAAAGTATTTCAAGGTAAATAGCCAGTGTTTTGTCATTCTAGCCCCAACCATATTCCTATGCATCCATGAAAAGGGAGAACAGTGCACCAGTCTGCTCACACTGAGTCCTTCATAGGACTTACCTACAACACCCCAAAATCTCAGTGACTTACACAACAAATGTGTATGTCTCAACTTATAGAAGATACCATTCAAAAGAATTTCAAAATTATTTTTGAAATTCAAAAGAATTAAAATCACGAACTCAGAAAATTGTACAACAGAGTTCATAGCTCCATTATTTACGATAGCCAAAAGGTTGTGTCCATCAATAGACAAATAAATGAGCAAAATGTGATATATACAAACAATGTGATACTATTCTGCCTTCAAAAGGAATGAAACTCTGATATTTTCTGCCACATGGATGAACCCTGAAAATGAAGTGAAGTAAGTATAAAGGCAAATATTGTATGATTCTACTCATTTGAGGTACCCTGTTGGAGGCCGAAAGAGTGAGGGTCGTGATCAACTGAGTACCCCACTGGAGGCTGGGTGAGTAAGCAGCAAAACTGCTTCTCATAAATGCAGAATGTTGGCAAACTGACAAACTGCGTTTGCCACACAGAGGTTATGCTGAGGGCGGTCACGCCCCAGGCACAAGTGTTTCTTGTTATTAGGTACGTCTGAAAGTCTGATAGCAATGATGTGAACCTGTAATCAATCAAGTAGCTGACCAATTGTGACATCCTCCTCCCTGCTCTTTCTACCCAATAAATACGGAGGGCTGAGAAGCTCGGGCGGCTGCCTTTACTGACTAGCAGCTGGGATCTCTCTTCTTCCCCTAAGCGAGCCTTTCCTTAAAACCATTTTCTTCTGTCTTTTGTTACTATTTCTACGTTCATTTCTTCATTCAGTCCTGTAATGATGGTCTCAAGTAGTAATTGTACAAGTCTGTCACAAGTGGTGCCTGAACAGGGGCATCTAGGGACAAGTATAGACCTGAAGAGGCCTGGAGGGATAAATAGATTAGCAGGGATAGAGAGAAAGAGTATAGGTAGGGAAAGACAGGAACTTGCAGGAACTAACAGGGACCATGGGGACAGATAGGGATAGATAAAGACTAGCAGAGACCAGCAGAAACTTGCAGGGACAGACAGGGTCCTATAGAGACTTGAACGAGGAAGGTCTGCTGGAACAGAAACTAAAACTAGCCAGACAAACGAGAAGCCCCATTACAAGTCTGCCAGCAGCAACATAAGGCTAGTGCTCTAAAAAGGTACTTGTCAGTGCCCCAGAGGTTTGAAGAACGGGAAGTTTTTGAATCAGGGTAGCATGGGGAAGAATTTGGTTATTTTTTTCTTTCATTTGGAGTTTGGTACATACCTTTTCTGTTATTTCAGGGCCGGAGAGACTATTTTGCCCCACTTAGAGCACCTATCAAAAGTGGTAAACGAGGGAGAATGAAAACTGGCTGGCAGCATCTTTTGTGGCTACAGAAATGCTCACTTTGACTATGGCTTATGAGGCTACAAATGTGGATTGGGAACGTGCAGTGGCACCTGTGAGGTGTGCAGAAAGTTCAGGAGGTTTTCTTAGTTTTTCAAGATGTGGGAACTGAGCTTCACTACTTTATAATGTTGATTCAGGCAACGGATAATTTTGGTAGTTGACGGATCTAAAAGGAGCCAAGGGTTGAGCCCTAGAGTGGAAAAGCTGTAAGTGTAGAGAATCGGACGTTGCAAAAGAGAATGCCGTCAGACCTCTGGGCAGAAGGGGTCTTTAAAACAGTTCTCTTCTCAACAGAAAAAGTGCCAGGACTTTGCCCTCGTTGAAATAAGGGAAATCACTAGGCTAATCAATGCTACTCTATATTTGACCAGAACGGCACTCCCTGTGGGGAAACCAGAAGCGGGCCTGGACCTGGGCACCTCGAACAAGGGGGCTTCCCCAGTCCAGGCCGCAACTCCGTTTCAGGGGGGTTTCTGGAGGTGCTTTGACTCCCCCTCCTCAAGCACCAGGAAGCCCAGGATTAGATCTCCCAAATGAACGGGTTTAGGGGAAAGCAACCGGCCTTGGAGGGGGAAAGCAACCGGCCTTGGCGGGGAAAGCAACCGGCCTTGGGGGGGAAAGCAACCTGACTCACACTGGCGTTTGGGACCTTTGCCAACAGGATAGGTGGGATTAATTTTAGGCAGAAGTCATCTTAACTTGCGGGGCATTACTGAAGTCCCAGGAGTTCTTCGGCTTATGGAGAAATTCAGGTAGCGGTCATGTCCCAAGATCTCTGGGTTTTGAAGCAGGAGAATATATTGCGCAGCTGTTGCTCATCCCCTGTAAATTGTACCCTTCTCTACGTAAGAAGCGAGGAGGTCAGGCATCTGCAAGTACAGCTGGGAGAAAGCTATCACAACCCACAGCATCTAACAGACCCGCCTGTGTAAGTGCAAATGGAAGGTTTAAGGATTGCTTTTTTGCTACACTGTTGCACGAGAAGGATAAGCCTCAACTTGTTTTCTCTGTGCCTTCTGTTCATCAGAAAAAGCTGCTTTCACTATCAACGGAAAGTTTTACCCCGCAGCAATTAGGCCAAGAGGCAGAAGCTGCGCCGCAGCTTGTGGAGCGGAGGCCTCGGCAATGGCCTGGCTCCCGGCTGCAGCCCCAGAAAGCTTTTTGCTTTTGTAGAGTTACTAACGTGGGGACAGGACATGCCTGTGTCTTTACAGGAGATGAACCGTGTGGGTGCCCTCGGGACCGAGGGCCGACCGCAGTCCCGCTGACCTCAACCCCCATAATACAGGGACAGACATAATTTAAAAAAGGGTTGGAGGCCGAAAGGGCGAGGGTCGCGATCGGCTCGGTTTACCACTGGAGGCCGGACGAGTAAGCAGCAAAACTGCTTCTCACAAATGCAGAATGTTGGCAAACTGAGAGACTGCGTTTCCGCGCGGAGGTGGAGCGGAGGGCGTCACGCGCAGGCACGAGTGTGTCATTAGGTGCGTGGGAAAGTCCGATCGCAACCATGTGCACCTGCGATCAGTCACGCAGCTGATCAATCGTGCGTCCTCCTCCCTGCTCCTACTCGATCCATGCGGAGTGCTGAGAAGCTGGGGCGGCTGCCCTTGCTCACTAGAAGCTGGGAGCTCTTCTTCCCCGAGCTTAGCCTTCGAACAGTGTTTTTCCCCCACTTCTACCTCCCTTCGCTCAGTCCTGTAATGAGCATCTCAAGCAGTAACAGTAACTGCGGTAGTGACCGTCTCAAGTAGCAATTGTACAGGTTTGCTACAGTACCTAGAAGAGGAAAATCCACAGAAACAGAATACACCTTACCCCAGAGATGAGGAAAAGGAGAAAATACAGTTAATGTTTAATGGGTACAGAAGATTTGTTTGGGATGAGGAAAAAGTCCTGGAGATGGATGGTGGTGATGGTTGTATCAACCTAAAGGAAAAAACTGAGGCAAAGTTAACACGCATATTTGGACCAAGATTGGGAAATGCAATCTGAGGAGACAGATTCTAGTAGCCTTAAATAAATGCTCCAACTAACAGCAGTTATAATGGGGCCTCTAAGGGAAAAGGGAAGTTCTAAGCTGACATAAACTATTGATCAACTAGACATTGTTCTTTTGTAGCTATTGATAAGCTATACACTATTCTCTGTAGGGAACATGAAGATGGTTGGTAAAGGTCATATTGTACAACTTGTAACATTTTAGGTAACTTATCAGCTAGTCTGGAAACTTCGGGGGAGCGGGGGGAAGTATAAAATTCCTTTAAACAACCCCAGGTGCGCATGTGTGAGCAGGGCTGGGTAGGGAAGTTATTGAATTCTCATGCTCGCGTCTCTGAGCCTAAGACGTTTTGTAAAGCTCACATTCTTCAGACTGCTCTGAATCATTTTTCTCAGTTTCAAATATTTTCTAAGGTCAGCTTTTGGGGAAGCTAAGGCAGGTCATATATGAAAGTAATTTAACAGTGGCTTTCTCAGATTGGACCTCAATCCTAAACAAAGGGGAAAGACCCAAAGAATTTTCTAAACTACCAAAAAACTTAAAAAATTTCAACCAACCATACTAGGATTGAATCATCTCTTCTTGCTTATAGAAAATATTAGAGTACATAGTAATGTAGCCAGTTGTTGGAAAAAATGGTAAAAGTGGTAAGTTCAACCAGTTAAGATTTAAGTTGAGGTGTTTATGTATTTCTTCGTGGTATTTTGTCAGCTTTCTAAAGGTGTAATTTTGTTGGAGTTTCACTGAAGAGAATATTATACCTGTGCAATCATGATTTGTAGCCTGTTTTCTTAAGATGCCCCAGATTGCATAAGCTTCAGCCTCAGAAAACCTGAATTCCAACCCCCACTAACTTAAACACCAGTGAGGTAAATATGAATTACATGAAAGCCAAGATCATGCAGGCATAGATTGCAGCACAACAAGACTGCAGGGTCTAAAATTCCCCCCCACCCTTCCCGCTCCCCCCAGGAATCGTTGTGGGCCCTTTTGAGAATACTGGATGAGAAAAGGTCTGTCTTCTTGAAGTAACTCAAAGATCTTATATACACTGAGATTAGTAAAATGAATATTTTTAAATGCTTGCAATGCTGAAAGTTTTATGTATTACAAGTTACAAGAAAGACAGGATGATTACATACTAATACTTGAGTGATGGGGAATGGCCCAAAATGTATCTTTTGCAAGACAATACTTCCTTAGAAACATTGATTTCTATTTCAAGAGAGATGCCTGAAAGTTGGAAGTGTAAAAAGAGAAACTTTCAAAACAATGTCGTGAACAAAGTAAAAGAGAAAAAAGCAATTTAAGTTGCAGCTGCCAGCAACCTGACTTATCTTGGGTGTTTACTTTGTAAATTGAGAGGTTACATTTTTCTTAAGGAGTCTGTCACATTTTATATGAACTGTAATTGCAGGCTAGGGACAAGGACCCCAGAGACAGTGATGTCAATGTATCTCCTGAATGGGAGTACTAGCCATCACCATGATGCAAGCTCTATTTGTCACTGGATCTCTATCTTAACAGCCTGCATAATGCAGCTGCTGTCAACTGACATTAGGCATTTACAGATTCAGGCTGTTCTATTTCTCGATCTTCAAAGGATTCACCTATCACTGTATTTTAAAAAGTCTCAATAAGTTAGGGACTGACCCTTATCCTTCTGCCAACAAGATGTAATTCCCACGCCTAATCCACTGTACCTTCTTGTTTGAATTCATACTCTCCCTGCCTGTACTCCCCTGTTTCAGTTCAGAAAACAAGTTTGAAATACAGAACATAGAATACCTCCAGTTTAGAAAGTCTGATGTATGCCTCTTAGTTCCCCATACTTACTACATAAAAGGAAATGCTGAACAATTGCATGTACTACCTTAGTTCTGTAAGGTTTCTCTCTAAATATTCAGATCATCGTGTTTGGGGAAGATACTGTGTAAGGTAAGTTTGCAGTCTTGATGCTGATCAATCGCAGGATGCTTTAAATAGATTCTGGACTTACTAGAAAGTTTTGGTTCAAACCAGAGAAATACTGGAGAATGTTGAAGTTTGATACATCTGATTTTGAACTGCAGATACTTGTGGATAGTACTAATATACAAATCTTAGATAATTCAATCTCGTTTCTTAGTAGTTATGGACTCTTATCTTTTCTGTACATCAGAATGTAGCAGATTACTTGAATTCTATGCAGATCTGTCTGCATAATGATTCCAACAGTTTTTATCATTGCAACATATATTCACCTATAATTTTAAAATCTTTATAAAGAGCTTATCTAAATCGTAGTATTCCACCTTGTTAGGTACCTCATAAGCATCTCTAAAAATGGTTTAGTTAGGAAGACCCTCCATATCCTGCTCCGAGAAACCATTGCAGCATACTTAATACTTAGAAGTTCCCAGAAGCTGAAAAGAATGTGAGTGGCTTGCCAGACGTCCAGAAGCTTATCAGTGATGAAGATAGAATATAAAGCCAGCTTTGATTAAAAACCATGTCATGTAGCATTGTGAACATTAAACATGCCAAGAATGTTTCAAGGGTTAGGAATAGACAGGGGAAGAACTCAGTTCAACTTCTGTAGAGACTGAAGGTGATCATGCCCTTGGTCTGCTTCAAGACAATCCCTCGGCCTTAATCAAAACTTCTCTATCGTTCTAAAGATTCCCCAAGTGATTTTACTTTAGTTGTGGAAGAAAAGCCATTTTCTAGAAGTGACACTTCATGTGAAAATACTGCTGGGGAGGAAACATAATGAATCTGATTGTACAGAGAATTAAATGTCTTATAGTCAGGGTCACCATTTAGCCCTGTTTTCTCAAGATATTCCCTTTCTTATGCCTGTTGTCCTCATGTCCTGTCTAGCTTAGCCTTTTAGCACTCAAACGTATTCTGAGTTAGATGGTCACCAAGAATTGTGCCAATCTTTGATGCAGAGCAGGGTCTGACAGAACGACAACAAAAATGAAAAAGTAGAAAACTTGGCTACCTGCTGCTGGACCTGCTATTGAAGAGAAAAACATAATGGACAGCAAAGGGTGAGATTCCCAAAGCTAACTGTCGCTATCACAGTCTTAAGGTTAACCTGGCACTCATTTTTAGTACTCGCTTTTTATACCAGAATTTGTACATGCAACAAGGGTGAAAACTAATTTTACCCATGACAGTGTTCCCACATTTCCAACAGTTCTCCTTGTTACTTAGGTCATTCCTGCTCATCATTCACACTTGAACTCCTGCTTATTTGAAGAACTCCAATTAGATAGAATTCACTGGCATGATCTTAAAGTACAAATTTATCATGGTTGATCTCATAAACCAATGGTTGCATAGTTTTAATGTCTAGACCAAAGATTTTAAGTGCATAGAAAATTACATTAAAAATTTTAAATTGTATATTAATCACATACCTCGATGGAAAATATTTTTTTTCAAAAATCCAGCACACAGAATGAAAATGTCTGAAATATTTCAAAACTTTTTGGCCTAAACATCAAAGTTACAATTACATGTATGTAACTCGGGGGGCAAAATAGCTGCACTAAATTGAACAAAAGAATAGTCTATAGATTTTTATTTTTTATTAATAATCTTGACAAATCACCTATATAGAAAAGGTCATGAAAAATCAAAATAGCCAAAATATACACTATGTTCAATTTTTTTCATAATCAAATCCATATTGTGAGTTTCGATACTAGTGCTAAATGCTGGGGCAAGCATGATGCTGCCGCAAGTGTGTTCTCTTACTGTTAAGCATTTAACAACTTGGTGATAAGCTTCTAAAGCATAGTAAACCATTGTCCATGAATTATGCCAGAGAATTCACCTCATAATACTGCATATAAGCAAACTCAACAACGTGAATGTGAACCAAGCTGAGTGTCTCATATTCAATCACAGCAATAGTCTCTATAAAGACTGGGAAAGATGTGCTAAATATTAAGTATACATAGAACTGGACGTTTACTAAGGTTTGGAATTATGCATAGACAATTATTACATGGGGCATGGTATAATCCAGTTGATTCCTTTATTTTCCAAGTATTCTTAAATGTTGCTATACTGGGTAACTCTTAAAATACAGTGAATGAATCAACACTACCAGAGTTGGAAGATGGTTGTAAAATCTGAGTGGTTATGGAGCCACTCATATCTCCCCTTTCCCTTTGTGAAGTAAGCTGGGGAGATCCCCAGAGTCTCATTAGCAAGTTTCAGGGCCAGGAGTATTCATGGTCAGGGTTCAGGACACAGCTGCCCTGATAAGGATATTTTTGGACCAATTTTTTCGTCTTGGGCTTTAATATTCCCAGTGGACCAATAGCAGTCACTGTGGCTGGTCCCCAGTAGGTAGCCACCATTCTCTGAATTTACTGTGAAATAACAAGCACGGCCCTCCAAGGATCTTGTTCTTATTAAATTATGGACAACCAGGTCTGGGTGAGCATTCAGCACTCTCCATCATACGAATTGCTACTAAATGTTTGCCTTTAATTTTCCCACTGGCTTAACAGTTTTTAAAATAATAAAGATACATTATAAATCAGCTGATGGAAAGCCCTGGCATAAAGCTGGTAATATTTCAAGAATGAGAACTGAAAAATGCATAAGGATATAATGTGGGTTTCATCAGTAAAAATCTGAATTTTCATCGTTTTCCATCCATCCACTGTGGCATGGTTGTGGTGGAATGTACTGAGGGGCCCTGGTGTGAAGTTCCTGTCTACCAGCCAGTGGGCTGCAGCTTCCATCATTTTTATTGTCCTTTGTTCACATACCAAGTAAGTCAAAACTGCTGAGGTCTTAAAACCATTCTGAAAGTGCACCTGTGGTCACACAACACACGTTCATGTGCCTCAATTCTAGGCTCGAAGACAGATGATGTCTTACATTCTTTCAGGGTCTTTCAGAATATCAAACTTTGGCTTACCCAATGTGCCTCTCGGGAAATATTTACGGAATGAATTGATGTCTACTTTGTCCTGTTGGAAAACAGCATAGAACAAATTATACTGTCACTGTTTAAAGAACAATGTTCCTCCTTGGGGAAGTTTCCTTAAGCCTCATTTTCAACTGTAGAATGGTCTAGTATCTTACACAGTTGTTTGGAAATGTAAAATTTACGAATCAGTTATTAATGTTCTTACTGCTATTTGCAGGTGAATGCATATACAAGTAAAGCCATTTTTCTAATTTGGTACACACCTAAATTTTTTGGCTCAATTCTAATTTGTGGTGTTTAATTCTGGAGGACTTGTTTGGATGAAGGTAATTGGAGCTGTCATATTCCCAGGAATAACTCTAACCAGTGCTGCCTAGTAGAAATCCTAGGGGAGCCACAGAGAATTCTAAATTTTCTAGTAACCACATTAAAAATGTAAAGAATAGGTGAAACTAATTTTAATCTATATTATCCAAATATATCTAAAAGTTACCATAATATAAAGTTTTAAGAAGACGTGTTGCATATATTTTTAACAGGTGTTTGAATTGTTAACTTTGTGCTGATGGCACATCTTGATTTGGAGCAGTCGTGTTTCAGGGGCTCCACAGCTTCATAAGCCTCATGGCTACCACCCTGGATAGTGCAGATCTATATGATGCAGGGAGAAGCTATCCAAATAACTCATAAGTGGTCCTAAATTGTGGTAAAATATTTAACTGATATGGATACATATGCAGAATCTAACTTCAAGTTTGAGAGATCCCTTCTTTTGGGATACACTAGCTCTAATACTTAAACTAGTTTATTTTTTCATAAGTTAAATGGGATTCTAACATTTTAACGAGTTGTATGTTAATAATCGGTAGTTTGCTGCTGCAAGAAGGAAAGCAAACACCACTTGACCCTCAACGTTTTCTCCCATGATTTTTCCTCCTATGAATTCTTGGATGACTTCTCAGAACTCAGCTCTTTTTATTCAACACAGGCTCATTCTGCAATACTCCACCTGATACATGTAAGTTGAGCACTCAAATTTTACAATGTACAAGTGTGTCAAGAATGGTGTAAATTAGGTCAAATAATGCAGTTATTCTTCCATAGGCAAATATATACTCGTGGTGATCTTCAAACTGGATTCTAAGTGTGAGAACTAGAGTCTAGTATAAGGAGAGCAGTGTAGGATGTGGACAATCCTCCTTTCCTCCCCACCACCCTATCCTATTGAATCAGGCTGGTTCCATTCTTATGTCTTATATGCATCCTCACCAATGTAAGGTGGTACTCGAAAGACAGAAATAAATGGTCATGAACAAAAAGATTGTTTGATCATGAACTCTAAATAGTAATCACCAAATCAAGAAAATCCTTAAATGAACAATGATGGTATAATGAGATGTAGCACAATCCTGCTCAGGCAGTTCTCTCAGGGAAATTATGAGCTTCAAGAAATAAGATTTTGACCTTGGTTTCATGACTACATCATAATGTTTTATGTAAATCAGATACCTTTCCAACTTTATCATATCTCTTTCGTGTACCCTACAGAGCTATGGAGCAGAGCAATTATTCCGTGTATGCCGACTTTATCCTTCTGGGTTTGTTCAGCAACGCCCGTTTCCCCTGGCTTCTTTGCCCTCATTCTCCTGGTCTTTGTGACCTCCATAGCCAGCAACGTGGTCAAGATCATTCTCATCCACATAGACTCCCGCCTCCACACCCCCATGTACTTCCTGCTCAGCCAGCTCTCCCTCAGGGACATCCTGTATATTTCCACCATTGTGCCCAAAATGCTGGTCGACCAGGTGATGAGCCAGAGAGCCATTTCCTTTGCTGGATGCACTGCCCAACACTTCCTCTACTTGACCTTAGCAGGGGCTGAGTTCTTCCTCCTAGGACTCATGTCCTGTGATCGCTACGTAGCCATCTGCAACCCTCTGCACTATCCTGACCTCATGAGCCGCAAGATCTGCTGGTTGATTGTGGCGGCAGCCTGGCTGGGAGGGTCTATCGATGGTTTCTTGCTCACCCCCGTCACCATGCAGTTCCCCTTCTGTGCCTCTCGGGAGATCAACCACTTCTTCTGCGAGGTGCCTGCCCTTCTGAAGCTCTCCTGCACGGACACATCAGCCTACGAGACAGCCATGTATGTCTGCTGTATTATGATGCTCCTCATCCCTTTCTCTGTGATCTCGGGCTCTTACACAAGAATTCTCATTACTGTTTATAGGATGAGCGAGGCAGAGGGGAGGCGAAAGGCTGTGGCCACCTGCTCCTCACACATGGTGGTTGTCAGCCTCTTCTATGGGGCTGCCATGTACACATACGTGCTGCCTCATTCTTACCACACCCCTGAGCAGGACAAAGCTGTATCTGCCTTCTACACCATCCTCACTCCCATGCTCAATCCACTCATTTACAGCCTTAGGAACAAGGATGTCACGGGGGCCCTACAGAAGGTTGTTGGGAGGTGTGTGTCCTCAGGAAAGGTAACCACTTTCTAAACAAATTGCATATGCTGCTAGAGACTTGAAATGAAGGATACAAGACTTTATCATTGCCCTTGAGTTTAAATATTCTCTGCCTGGAAACAAGTGACCCACATGCCAGCAACTGTGGGGCATTTATGGGATTTGGAAAGCTGCCTGGGATTTTTAAGGATTTCATTTTTTTGAAAGGTATGAAGGCTCTGAACAATGAACAGTTTGGGCTGGGGTAGGCATAAAGCTGAGGTTTAGTAGTCACCCATGAGCTCTTAACAAGGTGTGTATTCCACTAAAAATCATGGACTAGCCTGTTTCTGGCTCTGCTCAGTCATGGCAAAAACGGTCATCTTCAACTACTTCCCTGACTTCTCTCGACTTTTCCCCTTTAGACAGTCTGTCCATTGACCATTATAAAGAATCAACTCAAATATTATATTTCAAATATAGCAGTCACCATCTTATCCTCAGGCTGTGTTCTAAGTCTTTTGGGGGAAGCCTGAAACCATAGTATAGAACTATAGAACCTGACTGCTGTCAGTCACAACATATTTGCTCATCTTCTACCATAAATGTAATACGTTTTCTTTCTTACCTAAGCACTTATCACACACTGTGGCTGTAGGTTTTGCAGTTTGAGGTGTGACAGCAAAATTACCACAAATGTGTTTTTCCTCCTACACAATTTCAAAGAAGATTCATTCTTACTGTAGATCTTGGCAATCTCAGCATATTTTTCTTGCCAGAACCTCCAGTTAAGAACTTATTAGAATGTGTCTCTGATAATGGTTTGGCTGTTTCCCCACCCAAATATCATCTTGAATTGTAGCTCCTATAATCCCCATGTGTAGTGGGAGGGGCCTGGTGGGAGTTAATTGAATCCTGGGGGTGGGTTTTTCCCATGCTGTTCTCATGATGAATAAGTCTCACGAGATCTGATGGTTTTACAAAGGGTGGTTCCCCTGCACATGAGTCTTGCCTGCTGCCATGTAAGACATGCCTTTGCTTCTCCTTCACCTTCCACCATTGGCTGTGAGGCCTCCCCAGCCATGTGGAACTGAGCCCACTTAACCTCTTCATAAATTACCCAGTTTGGGGTGTTTTATAGCAGTGTGAAAATGGATTAATAGTCTGTTTTTCAGAGACATGAGCAGAGGGCCAATATCTTTAGAAATATAGAACACTTAAAAATTAAGTCTTATAGGAGCTAGCAAGGTTTTGCCAAATACAGATTCACCCAAAAATGTCAAGTGGCACTTTGGAATGGAGTGAGAGTGGGCAGGCAGAATTATCTGAAATTAAAACAATCTAAACTCCAAACTGTGGGAGTCAGTCTTGGCTTGTAGCAACCAAGTCTATACCTACTGATGATATAAAAAGGATTACTTCCTGAAGAGAGTTAAAGGGAAGGAAAAGAGAAAAAGTGAATAAGAAACATGGAAGATTGAGACACCACAAAATACCTCTTGTAAAAAGTCTAAATTATATAAGATAACTAAGTTCAACACTAGACAAAGTATTGTGACACATGAACATGAGTTAGAAACTAATACCAATCAATACACTGTTCACAGGTCTGTTTTTTCCTTAAGTTGGGCTTGTATTAACAATTTTCCAAACTGATACAGCAGCACTTCTCAAACGCTTTCATGACATAACTATAAAAATTAGTGATATGGCACCTTGAGGAAAACTGATGTGGCTGTTGACAGCAAAATCAACTCCCCTGTGGCTGTAGCCAAATCGGGCACTGAAGACCAATCCAGGGTTGAGAGGATCAATATTGGTTGTAACCCATTTGTGGCTCTGGAGAAAGACACATCACACCAGAGGGAAGAGTGTATCCAATCAATCCAATAGTTAGTTGGAGAACTTTATTTATGGATGACATATAAAATATTCAGGAATTATTGAATAACATTCTAAAGGCTGAAAAAGGGTATGGGTTTTCTGCTTATCTGCAACAGAGGGTATAAGGTATGTGTCCAATGGATTTGTGATGACTAGCAATCATAAGTAATGTTGCCCATTAGCTGACTTAATGCATGAAAAGCATTCAATGATGTTGTTTGGGAAGCAGAACTTTAGTAATAAGACCACCTTCTTTTCCCCATTAGAGAAATAAATGTTAGGAAGTTCAATTTTCCTAATGTTTAAATATCTTAATGTGCTCTGGTGAAAACTTTAGAAAATGCATAACTTGTATTACCCTCACTTTTTTCTCTACCAATTGCGTTATTTCCATCATTTTTCTTATGTCTCCTTTATTCCTACTGAGGTCAATATTCTTCTGTAGTACACGTAAGACAAATAATTCTGAAAAACACTTAACCTAAGTGACAAATGCCACTTTTGTGAAAATAGAAGATAGGAGAAAGTAGAAGGAAAATCTCTTGGGACCCAAACTCACTAAGCCAAAGGGAAAAGTCAAGCTTGGGAACTCTGTCATGCAAAACTATATTCCATATCTGTTCCCGACTGTATGGCTACAGATTCCATACTGTTCCGGAATGGACAGCTACACAGGTAGAAGGCTACATACCTCCCCAAGGGACCTCCCTCACAATCTGCTAGCAAGGAAATTCCTTGCTGGCCCAAAGATCTTTACCCGAAAACCATTCTCTTGAATTGTCATGCTGACAATGTAAATGAATGGCTTATCTTGACAGGCAGTGGACAAAGACAGGCCTGGGAGTCATCCCTCCACTCCCCTGAAACAAATGCATATTTGACTGCTTCCTCTACTGTGTACCTTATCTTATATACAATCCAGATTCACTGAGCAGGAGATGAACGCCCAGTTGAGTGTTCCTCTAAACCCTCTCCTGTCACATCTAAAGTGCGAATTCAGTCAACACTGATTAAAGCCTGCAAAGAAGGAAACTACTTCATTTATTCACACTTCCTTTTTCTTTTTTTTCCTCTAATGCCCACTGTTTCCCTTTTAAATATTGAAGTCTCCCAACCGTCTTTGGAAGAAGCACAAATCTCAGATGCTCCTGTCATATTGTGTTCCTTTTTCCCAGGTGCATCCTCAACCTTGGCACCAGAAACATCTACATTGATTGAGACTTGGCTCCAATGCTTTTTGGTTCACACTTATTTATAACTTTAAAGATTTCTCCCCAAACAAGAGGCCAGTGACTTTTGAGAAAGAGCTTTTTTAGTTTGTCATAGCCTCTATTTCTAAAGAAATTTAAAATCTAATTTTCAATTTAGAGCGAGGCTCTTATCCCCACATCACTGCCTTTAAAATCTCTCTGGAGAGATGCCAAGATTCAGTAAGACATTTTCATGATGAAATACCAAGAAACGATTCCAGTCCTTCACTTGGGAAAACAATGCACCCTCTGCAAGAAAGGACAGGCTGCTTCTAAAGTTCATGGTAAACCCAGTCAACTTGGATTAATTGCTAACCCAGGAATTCTTCCTGGGGGATGTGGGACTCTATTAGTGAAAAGACTTTTTGACCTAGCCTCACCCCTACACAATGTATTTAATAAGAAGTCTGACATTCCACTACTGCTTTAGAAAGACTTGGACCCAGCTTCTCTGAGGTAGGATCCTTAGATCTTCATGAAAAACAGAACATCACCCAGATACTGGGATGTTTTCTTCAGGTATTACTCTGTAACTATTAGAAGGCCACGTTACTACTGTGAGCTTATCTGCTAATAACTGAGGCAGTGGTCTTCTCAAGATTAAGCATAAATAACATATATTCACTATCTGGCAAGCAGACAACTGGAAAAGGGCATTTAGCATGAAACGTGGGAAGCTAAGGGAAATGTAATAGTTTAGAAGAACATGAATAGATTTACTGAAGGAAAATGGCATGTAAGAGCCGACAGTTAGAAGAATGTGCTTGGTATTCACAATGAGAAAGTTTCAGAATTAATTGGTAGCAGGGGTGCATACTATTGGATAAGCATAGATTGCCCTCTGAATATTTTGTTAAAATTTTAATTTACATTTTAAGTTAAATGATTAATTGCTCCGTTCATATGCATTTAGGTGTGGCTGAAGACTTCATGCTTGGAGGGAAATCATGATTTTTTTTTTTCATTTTAACCTCCTTCCTCTTTTATTGAACCCATAAGGCATCCACGTGTGCCTTAAGATCTTTTTTTTTAATAAAACTATTAGAGGTCTCCTAGAAGCCATCTTAGCATGGCATATAAAAGCCTGTTGAGCTGAGTAACTGGAGCCCAGGGGGAGATGTGGACATGTTGGAAGCTCAGGCTGTAGGGGTATAATAATGAGTGCATTGTGTTTATAGTTGCAGGTGTCTGCCCCTTGCTTCAGCTCACCTCACCTCACCACTGCTGTTCCTGTGTAATCCTCCATGCCCTTACTCTCCATTTCCTCTTCCACAGTATTAGTAGGGTGGACTAGATGGGCTCGCCTCGCCTCACCTCGCCTCTGCTGCTCCTGTGTAATCCTCCATTCCCTTACTCTCCATTTCCTCTTCCACAGCGTTAGCAGGGTGGACTGGATGGGCCATATGCCAGATCCTTTGATTTCTATTTGCCACCACACGAACTGACACTGCTGCCCAGAAGCATTCCCCTGCACATCCACATCACAGCCCTCCTGCTGGCAGCTTGGAATTTAGACCTTTTACTCTCAATGCTCCAGGAAACCAGATGTACTTCTTTCTTTCTTGTCCATTGGTGATATCCTTGACAATGTAGTTTAGGTAAGTTGGCATGTAGCATTAAAACCTGTATTCTTCAAACTGAACTAACTTCTGGCATAGTAAGTGTTCAGTAAATGTTCACCTACATGCCATTATAGTGCTGATTTTTTTTTTTTTTTTAAAGCCAAGAAAACTTCTATCTTATGCCTAATTTTCCACACTGAAAATTTCCAAATTGTCAGTTGGGATGGGAGGGAAAGTAGACTACTTTTCCATGAATGAAAACAGTTACCATTTAAATAAATAGGCAGATAAAGGGGGGTGGTAACTAAGGCAGTATGTAATTAGAACTGGAGATAAGGTAAGGGAAAAGAGAAATTCACATCATTGGATACTACGTTGCTGTGGAGAGAAGGGGATAAAATCTGATTAATGTAGGAAGCAAGGTCCAAATGCGTTCATTCATAAAAGCAGACGGAGTACAGGAGTAGCTTGTGTAGGTAGAAGAAGAAAAGGAGTTCCTGGCCAAAGCCCACTGTGGCTATGAACACTTATGAGTAGCAATTAATATTAATCTTGCTTTCAAGACTAAAACTGCCAGGTGGATCTTTCATAAGTACCTTATTTCAGCATGTAACTTTCTGACTGAAACAACTCCCATTTGCACCTTATTTCTCGACGCTGAGTTCTGGTCTCCCTGCCTTCACTTTCCAGCCGCACTCCACCCCACACACCTCAGCTCTCCACGGGCTCTTCAGCTGTAGTTAGACTGGACTCTCCCCTCTCTCTTCCACCCCTAGTGCCTGCTAATTCCCATTTGCGAGCCTTTTGACATTATTTACATTGTCTCTGATCATGTCCTCTCTCCTTCAGTCTCGAGTTTCGGAATCAGACCGGTTTCCCTCTCTACTATTGCACTGTTTAACTGAACTGACTCCTGTCTTCTCCTGGTTCTTGTGATCCACTATTTTCAAAGCAGTGATCACTTAGATGCTCTTTAAAAGTTTCATGCTTTAAGATCCTTTCAGTCTCTAGCCCTAGGGTTGAACCTTTGAGGTAAAGAATTCTGACATGGTATTCCTCTCTTTAACACTTTCATTTCCATAGTTTTAGTTAACCTGCAATCCGCCAGGTTGCTATCTACCATGTGTAGAAAATATTAAATGAAAAATCTCAAATTTTAAATTGCCCACCATTTTGAGTAGTGTGGTGGAAATATCATCCCTCTGTGTAGTTGATTCACACTGTCTATGCTACCCCCTGAGTCATTCAGTAGCTGTCTAGGTTATCAAATCGACTGTGGCGGACTCAGTGCTTGTGTTCAAGTAACTCAGTTTTTCTTAATGGCTCCAAAGAGATGGAGTTAGTGAAGCTGGCGATTTAGATGTGCCAAAGAGAGGCTGTAAGGTGCTTGCTTTAACTAAAAAGGTGAAAGTTCTTGACTTAAGGAGAGAGAAACCCTCATAAGCTGACTTTGCCAAGATCTATATTAAGAAAAACTTTATCTTTGAAATCATGAAGGAAAAAATTATGCAAGTTTTGCTGTCACATCAAACTGAAAAAGTTATAGCCACAGTATATTGTCTTAGGTATTCTATTTTATTATTGTTAATCTCTTACTGTGCCTAACTTATAAATTCAACTTGATCATAGGTATGTATGCATGGGATAAAATATGGTATATATATAGGGCTCAGTACTGTCTGCAGTTCCAGATATCCAGTGGGGGTCTTGAAAACTGTCTCCCACTGATAAGGGGAAACTGTACCTTTGTCCACTACTCAAACTGATGCATAGCATCTTCTGGTTTGCTATGACTTCATGTATGTAAAACTTCTAAAGTACCTGGCACACGTAAAGCCCTATTGGTTTATGGTTTGGGGAATACCAAACTTCCTGTTTCTCTTCCTCCGTCTCTTAGTGCCTTCCACACCATTATCTTCTCTCATAAGCTTTAATCAAAGCAGAAAGATCCCAATATACTATCCTTGGCCCCCTTTTTCTCATTCAGGAACAAATAATCGATGACTCTTAGAGCTATGTGGCACTTAGGATTAGTAACATGTTGGTGACATGCCATTCTTTTACTGAAAGAACACTGAGGTCTGGAGAAGTAACTATGCGTGTCATCCCCAGAGCAATTTGACAGCTGAGCAAAGCACAATGGCATTAGCTGTTATTTGTGGCTAAACACCTTTAAAAAGTCCCCAATATATTTTCATTTTTAGAAATCCCCACTTTAGACTTAAAATGATCTGTTTCTATGAGGATTTTTGATATGATACATTAATCAAACTTAACTATGTGCCCCTTAAGAATATTGTCAGTTCTATCAATCTTCATAGCTCACCCAGTGCTAGGTGAGTGTTTTGAACACGGAATGTGTTTGTGCTTCAGGCATTCTGTCTCTAAGGATGGAATGGAAAACCCTTCCCTTTCAAGCTTTACAGGTACGTTGTGTCAAGTGGAGAAGATCAGTTCTGGTTAGCAGCTTTATTGCCACAGAAAGGACACTGGCAGATACTTCTCATAGCTCTAGTCATGCGGAATTCCCGGAAAGGGGTGTCAGAATGAATTGCTCTAAGCTCTTCTCCCTGGTAGAAGAACCTGTGACTTCTCTTGGAGATCTCTTCAATTTTCGGTGAGTCACCAATTGTTCTTGATTTCTATGGCTTCTCCCAGAACAACTCCAGGGCTGTTGTCCTGAAACATACAGCTTTGATCACCTGGCACCCTGCAGAGATTCTCCTTTCCCTCTTCTCCATGTGGCAGACCACAGGTAGAATAAATGCCTCTTGGCGAGCTCACTCATCCCTCATCCATCAGCCCCAAGTGTGCAGATAACAGATGTGGAGCTCCTGTGCTTGGTGTCCTCCACCTCTCGGCTTGATCTTCCCACCCTCCCATTCCTGCCAGATGATTATGTTGCAACACTGGGTGATGTTATAACTGGTCCTGGGGGTCAGGGGTTCTGGGTTATGTTCTAATCTGCACTGGGGAGAAATCATTCACCGCCTTGAAGAGCCTGAAGCTTTGATCACGCAAATAAAAGCTTTTTCTTTTTCTTTTTCTTTTTCTTTTTTTTTTTTTTTGGAAAGACTAGTTGATGAAGGGGAACCTAAGTGTCTTAGAGTGGAGAATGATGATAGTGAGGGAAAGATGACCTGATGGGGAATGGAATCTAGGATCTTGTATGTGTGAATAAGTCAAACCACACATCGTAATGCTAAATAGCATCAACTCTAATGTTAAAATGTAGATGCTCGGAACTGATGTAAACAGAAGTAACTGATGACATGTTTTGTCCATAATGCAGATATTTTCCCTGTCTACTTGCAATGCCCAGTAGCCTATGGAATAACATTAGGCATGCATTTGAACATGTCACATTTGGTTCTAAATATTGGCTTCATTGAAATGGGTGAATTGCTCGTTTGTGCCAAGCAGTGTAGTTCTGCTCTTTAGCAGGGCCTTTTCCCTACACATATCCCCACCCACTCACAGATGCACACACCACACATACCATGCTCACACACTCACATATGAACACACTACACACACATGTACACACAACGCTCACACTCACAAGGAACCTCTTTTTTTTTTTTTAACACGGTCTCGGTTGTATAAAAATGAGGTGGCTAAAATCATATCTTTCTCCTGTTTCAGCTTTTTTACTCTCCTCTTCTGGGATCCTACAGTAAGATAAGATCTAGGAGTTGAAAACGTTCTTATCCTTTTATCATAGACATTTGAGGCAATAGTGTTTTACCTCCTCTTTGAATACCTTGTGGAGTCTGATTATTTACATGAAACAAAATGCTCTGGTTCATGTTCTGATTCAAAAGTAATTGGTTATTTTCTTAGGTCATTTTCGTTTGTCTCATTCTTGCCTATTTCAGTTCCTCAAAGTATATTTTTAAAAGGATGATTGTCAGCTAACCTAACACTATAGTAATTAATGTATAATATCCATAATGCATTTAACTGAAACAATAGATGTGGGTCAAGACAAACTTACTGTCTGCGAGATTAATATTTTTAATTTCCAACAAGCTATTGCAAAAGCCACTGCAAATGGAATTGTATATTTAAATAGTCTCTTGACCCATGATTCGAAGCTGTGGCTATCACAAGAAAATCTTTCACCTGTTAGAGAAGGCAAAAGTAGCTGACTTTTATCACGCTTGACAGGAGTTAATATTTGATGCTCATGTATTTTTTTCTCCTCAACCAAGGTGTGACAAACTGAAGTTTCAGCACAGACCAACACAAAAATTGCTTTTTTTTCTTTCTCCCTTTGGATGTTTATTCATCTTTTAGGCCTATTACTCATATCTCCATCTCTGAGCACTAAGAAGGAAAACTCTACTGTTGCTATTGTTTTTGCTTCAACATAAGGAGAGTTTATTCCTTGATGCTTCAGGGACTGTAAATTTTGACTATTCTAGAACCAAAAGATTCAGATACATTTGTAGTATTGGTGGCCAAAACGTTTGACAGAAAACAAGTTTCTTCAGTAATCCTGTCACTAAAATGAGAAGAAATACACCATAATCTAATAAAGAAAAATTCATCCCTCAGTATTCCTGAACATATAAAAGGGACACACATTCATATTACTCAAAAAAGCATGAGAATTCATTCCATTGATTCAAGGAATGTTTGATACTGCTGTGTCGCGTCTGAGTTCAGAAATTTCTTTACCATCTATAGTTTTTGTTTTCTTGTTTTGTTTTTTGAGACAAAGTCTTACTCTTGTCCCCCAGGCTGGAGTGCAATGGCACGATCTCAGCTCACTGCAACCTCCGCCTCTCAAGTTCAAGCGATTCTCCTTCCTCAGCCTCCTGAGTAGCTGGGATTGTACAGGCACCTGCCACCATGCCCGATTAATCTTTGTATTTTTAGTAGAGATGAGGTTTCACCATGTTGGCCAGGCTGGTCTCGAAGTCCTGACCTCAAGTGATCTGCCTGCCTCGGCCACCCAAAGTGCTAGGATCACGGGTGGGAGCCACTGCACCCGACTGTAGTTATTTTTACTTATAAACATGAAGGATCAGTAAAATGGTAGAGAAATAAACTTGAGGAAAAAACCCAAGTAGCAGTGGATTACTAGGATGATATAATATTAGGACAGGTTCAGGATGCCACTCTGTCAGAGAAACTCTAACATTTTGGCTAAACAATATTTTAAGATGAGGTCATGATTGAATTCTATGATGCAGCATCTAAATTTTAGCAGAATTCATTGTCAACTGGAAAGACCACCAGGATAACGAAACTAAAGCCCTGTTCTGAAGCAGTTTGTGGTGGTTGTCCTGCCAGATTTATGATCCCCAAATTATTCTGTGAGAACAAATAGACACAAGTTCTCACAGCAGTCCATGCCTAAAAGATGAACTCCTTTTGCAGGACAAAAGTCTAACCACAAGACAGTGTGGCTCCTGACCCCAAATGAGGTCATCTGTACTGCTTTGATGTTCCCGACTTTCATAAAGCTGTTCAGTAACAACAGCAGCCAAAAAAGTCAGTTATCTAGATGTTTTCTATCAATTTAAGTCACAAATAGACGTCTGTGGATGACTCTAGTACAATCATCTCGATGGAGATGCAGAGAGCAATTTAAATTCAAATCATTTCGCTAGGCGAAATGGGAAATAAGGCACAGTAACCACCCTCAGAAAACTTTCAATCTAAAAGTGATAAGATTATGAAATGTATTCAGAAGATAGTTCAAAGTAAAAATCAGATTCTAAACCAGGTACTGTATGAATTACATTTACATCTCACATCCAGCCTGTAGAGTACAGAACTATGATGACCTTTCACAGATGATGAAATTGAGTTGAGATTAATTTTCTGTCCAATATCATACAGATCATTAATACTGAAACCCAGGATTTCAAATGATCCTGAAGTAGGTGATCTTTTCTTGATCTCACGCTGCTTCTGACATACTATTCCTGGTGGGCTCTTCCTACATATCAGGTCGTTAAATAAGCTGCCAGATTTCTGCCTTTACAGCCCAAGGAGCTTGTCATGGACCATGGGCATGGAGGGTCTTCTCCAGAACTCCACTAACTTCGTCCTCACAGGCCTCATCACCCATCCTGCCTTCCCCGGGCTTCTCTTTGCAATAGTCTTCTCCATCTTTGTGGTGGCTATAACAGCCAACTTGGTCATGATTCTGCTCATCCACATGGACTCCCGCCTCCACACACCCATGTACTTCTTGCTCAGCCAGCTCTCCATCATGGATACCATCTACATCTGTATCACTGTCCCCAAGATGCTCCAGGACCTCCTGTCCAAGGACAAGACCATTTCCTTCCTGGGCTGTGCAGTTCAGATCTTCCTCTACCTGACCCTGATTGGAGGGGAATTCTTCCTGCTGGGTCTCATGGCCTATGACCGCTATGTGGCTGTGTGCAACCCTCTACGGTACCCTCTCCTCATGAACCGCAGGGTTTGCTTATTCATGGTGGTCGGCTCCTGGGTTGGTGGTTCCTTGGATGGGTTCATGCTGACTCCTGTCACTATGAGTTTCCCCTTCTGTAGATCCCGAGAGATCAATCACTTTTTCTGTGAGATCCCAGCCGTGCTGAAGTTGTCTTGCACAGACACGTCACTCTATGAGACCCTGATGTATGCCTGCTGCGTGCTGATGCTGCTTATCCCTCTATCTGTCATCTCTGTCTCCTACACGCACATCCTCCTGACTGTCCACAGGATGAACTCTGCTGAGGGCCGGCGCAAAGCCTTTGCTACGTGTTCCTCCCACATTATGGTGGTGAGCGTTTTCTACGGGGCAGCCTTCTACACCAACGTGCTGCCCCACTCCTACCACACTCCAGAGAAAGATAAAGTGGTGTCTGCCTTCTACACCATCCTCACCCCCATGCTCAACCCACTCATCTACAGCTTGAGGAATAAAGATGTGGCTGCAGCTCTGAGGAAAGTACTAGGGAGATGTGGTTCCTCCCAGAGCATCAGGGTGGCGACTGTGATCAGGAAGGGCTAGCAGGGACTCCCACAGCATCAGAGTGGTGACTGTGATCGGGAAGGATTAGCGGGGACTCCCAGAGCATCAGGGGTGGTGACTGATCAGGAAGGACTAGCAAGGACTAGCGCAAACATCTGCGGTGCTGCGGCCAATAACGCAGCTATTACAGAAAATATGGTATTGGTTCTGAAGAATGTTCAGTGTCACTTTCAGCAATTCAAAATTAACAGGCAAAATCATCCTGTTGCAAGGATTACTTAGGAACAGTAGCGAAGTTGGTGAGCATCTCCGCATTAGTCAACTTTGTTCAACTGGATTCACAAACATTTCCAGAGGGCATTCTCAGTCAAGTAGCCCTACAAACCATTCATGGCACGCCAAGCAGCTCTTGGAAGTGCCCATGTTAACATGTGACCATGAGTCCTTCCTGTCTGTATTGCTAACGTGTGATCATGAGTCCTGCCTGCCTGTATTGCTGACGTGTGATCATGAGTCCTGCCTGTCTGTATTGCTAACGTGTGATGAGTCCTTCTGTGTCTGTATTGCTAACGTGTGATCGTGAGTCCTTCCTGTCTATATTGCTAATGTGTGACCATGAGTCCTGCCTGTCTGTATTGCTAACGTGTGACCATGAGTCCTGCCTGTCTGTATTGCTAACGTGTGATCATGGGTCCTGCCTGTCTGTATTGCTAACGTGTGATCATGGGTCCTGCCTGTCTGTATTGCTAACACGTGATTGAGTCCTGCCTGTCTCTATTGTTAACCTGTGATCATGAGTCCTGCCTGTCTGTCTGTATTGCTGACCAACTTTTGAATGGAAATTGGAAGGAGCATTTGCCACCTCCTTGATGACTTAATTTCAAACATTCAATACAAGTAAAATATTTTCTAGTGCTAAATGTGTAGCAATTTTATTAGAAAACATTTAGGAAGGTGATACTATTTTTGGTTCCATGTTCTTAGTTACATTTTATGAATGTTATCACTTACCTCTGAAATTAAATACTTGCCCTGCCTTTATTCACATGGAGTCCAATATATTCCTGGAAATATTGATTCATTGATTGAAAATTGACTCTGCCATTAAGATTGTTACATGGCCAAAAACCTACAAAACTGCCATTTATGCTCAAATTGTTAATAGATAAATGTAGAATGAATAAACCAAGACATTTTATTAGCTAACTTAGTTCCCGTGGAATAAGTTGCTCAATTTTCTTATTCTCAACATCTTCATTGATATGCTGAAGACAAGTATTTTTGTAATTAGTTGGAGTTAGGTGTGGTGCTTTGATAGATGTGTAACTTTGGTGGAATACTAACTAAGCAAAGACTACACTGACCCCACCATTCATGTAACTTTAGTTTCTCCTGTGTGTAAGGTCCTGAAATATGAGACATAAAAAATATTGACGGACCTGGTGTTTATTTTCTTTGTTGATACGAGGCTTAGAAAACATTGGACAGAGCGGTTACATAGTTGACAAAGACTAAGCAAAGGTTACTCAGCCTTATGTTGTTCTAGTGTCAACACAGATAGAAGGAAAAATGTTTCCTCCATTGTTGCTGACGTAGATAAAGAATATTCCCTTCAATATGCTAACCCCTAGGTGGCTTTTCATTCAGAAGGTTCCTAATAATTTGATCTTTACCCTGAAATCAAACACATGGAAAAGAGATGGAAGAATGTCCTGGAGGGATTAAGTGAAGAAACAGACCAGGATTCATTTATGAAATATCCTCGGTGTTATTTCAATTCAGCTCCATTCACATTTTATTCTTTTGTGTCTCTGCACTAATGCCCTCCATATTCTCCATTCTCCTGCCTTAGCTAGCACCTTCTCGATCTTCCCTCTACAAAACTCCTTCAGTTCACATTGCATTTGTGCTCTATCCTGGGATATGTGTTTTCTTTCCCATTTCCTCAGTTGCTATGTATTAAAAATTAGGACTTTTATTCTTATGTTTCCAAGATTAATTCTTTGCATATTTAACTAGAATATTTAACTCTAACATTGACAGACATTTCAAGAGTATACCTGAAGCAATAAGCGAAATGCATTTTGACAAGTTTCTAGGGATATCATGGACATTAGTGATCGGGGCATGGAAGGAGGTGACTTATTCAATGTTTGAGTCTATTTAACAAATTTCATGGTGGTTACATCAACGTGTTCTTTTCCTGGTGATTTATCAATCTTTCCACTGTTGATGTGTGTGCTTTTCTGTTAGGCTCTACTTTAATACAACTTAAAAAAAAATTTTAATCTCATTTTACACATGGTGTGTATCCACTCCCTTCACACATAAAACTAGTCCCACTGTAAAAGGGAGTGACCAAGGATTTTTCCCCAGTCATCTCACCAAATTCTTACATAAGGTAATTTGTGGTCACCAGATTTGCTTCTTTATTAAAATAATATATAAATTTTAATATTGAGTAATACACATCATATTTAAGTTACTAAATTATCAGTTGTATACCTGAAACATGGCATGCACTAATCCAGGTAATGAGGAAAAAATAGAAGACTGTCCCTAGTTTTGAAAACATTTAACTACATTACCTGATTTTGATTCTGATCTTCACAAATTCTTATAAAGTATTTAGAGAAAGAATTAGCCCCATGGGAGATGAAGAAGCTGATGTTCACAGCAAATTATTGCCCCATTCCAGCAAGAGGCAGATGGGGCTTCAGAACCACGTCTTCTAACCTCTGGTCTGGTGTTTTGTGCCAAGCCATGATACTGATAAACAATTTACAAATGAGAGAAGTGGCTGGGCATGGTGGCTCATGCCTGTAATCTCAGCACTTTGGGAGGCCGAGGCAGTTGGATCACTTGAGGCCAGGAGTTCGAGACCAGCCTGGCCAACATGGCGAAACCCTGTCTCTACTAAAAATACAAAAAATTAACTGGGCGTGGTGGCACATGCCTGTAATCCCAGCTACTTGGTAGGTGAGGCAGGAGAATCGCTTGAACTCAGAGTGGAGGTTACAGTGAGTCAAGATTGTGCCACTGCACTCCAGCCTTGGCAACAGAGCAAGACTGTCTCAAAAACAAAACAAAGGGGAGAAGCACATGGCACAATGTGTATCTGCCAGCTTGTTAACCCTAATAATGACCTGGGGACAAAGGTCCCTTCAGAGCAACATGCTGATAAAAGCCATGTTCATTTGCTGTTGGATGCTAGTTAGGCTGGTCTAGCCAAGGACCTGATGACCCACATTGAGGGGTAATCAGATTCCCTGTGGGGTCTTTCTGCAGGTAAGGGATATGGATATAAAATTAACTTGCTTCTACAGACTTGTTTTATACAATAAACATCTATATGCAATATAAAATTGTAATAGAAGAAAGCATAAAGTCTACTTATTAAATACCTTATTAACTGCTTTATTCAATGCTCAGGAAGATATCAGGCAAAAAGGAATGATCAGAGAAACTGAAGATAATTAGATAATTATTTAGCGTAAAGAAAACAAAATGCAGACCTCTGTATCCACAAAAATTAAAAATCTGAAAAAGTGACAGAACATCCCTGTCAAGTTGGACAACTGACTTTAAATGAAGTGAAGTTCTGCTAAAGAATTCTGACAATTCTGTGAAAACAAAATGACTGAAATGTCAGGTCCTGACTCTACAAAGAAGTTCCATACATAAAGCAATTGTATTCATAGACAACTTTATGGCATCGATAGGTTATTTAGTTAAAACAACAGGCTGATTCACACACAAATGATAAAAACCAGATGCATTTTTAAGCTTCTTTTTCAGCTGTGATTGTACTGAGGATGGATTTCTTAAACCTGGGTGACTCCCGTGACCATGTCACACACTTAGCAGCATTTCACTGTGTGCTTCCTTCTAAATCCCAGGTAATAAAGGCCAGGAAAATACTTGGTTTGTTTTGACTACATTCCTTTGGTTTATACAACTAGCAAAGAATATAAAATGGTAAATACCTGTAGCTTGAACTCTGGTTGTTTCACATTGTATTTTTTATGAGCACTTTAAGCTTATTTGGTTTTATTAAATCATCACATACCTAAAAACAAGAATTGTTAGGCATCGCAAGCACTTAAAATTTTTCCTAATACAGAATTTGCCCTTAATAAATACTAGTGTAATAAATGAATGAAAAACTTTCATTTTAGAAGGCTTAGTACCTTTTAAAAATCTTTAAAAGAAAGTTTCCTTGGCATCTCAGGTTTGAAGAGACGACGTGGAAACTGAAGATTAACAAAGTTAGACTTTTATAGGCTCACATAGAACTGCATGTCAAGGGTGATGCTAGAAGCAAAAAAACACCAAAAAACTAAAATTATTTCCAGCTTCACTGATAAGTGGTTTAACTATTTTAAAATTGGAGCTTATGTAAAAAAGTCATTGGCTTTTGCTAGATTCTTCATATATTCCTTCTTTGAAGCAAACAGGAGGTAAGTCCCATTAAGGGGCATTTCTCAAGGGTAGAAGCAGAAAACACTTTCATGACTGAAAATTTAAATGCAAAGTTTAGGATTACATATGTCAGTTGATGTTATCAAAATTGTTCTTTCCCTGGATTTCCAAAGTGTTTAATTGAAATGACCAGTGATGTTAATGAAGTATTCTATAAACTTGGAAAAATTAAAATCAGAAAACATGTTTGAACATAGTTAAAACCATATCTTTGGGCCTCAGCTTCTGAATAGCTGAAGGTTTAATGAAGAGAACTGCTTTTCTGTCTCCCTGTATAAACTGGGGAAACTACTTCAAAGGGAGAAAGGATAATATAGTCTTGGCCCAAGGCAGGGATGCTTGCAAATAATGGCTTTGTGTAATTTGAAAGATTGTAAAAATCTTTACCTTTTTTGATTATCTTTGAAATGAAATCCCTTAATACATACACAGCATGTATTATAATCTTGTTCTTAGAAATAGAGAATACAGTTGTAAGGAGATGATTATATAGGTTGAAAATATGCCACCTTTTCACTTAAGAATACAATGAACCTGCTATAGGATGAAGAATGAACATAGATCACCTCACATTCCACTGGTCACTTAGAATTCTATTATGTACTAAAACCTAAATTATTTAGTACGTGTCCAGTTAGCAGACGCTTAGGTTACTTCCACTTTCTTATTGCAAATAACACCGGAATGCACTTTTTTAATAAATTGCCCACTCATCTGATTATTTCCATACTACGCTTCCCTAGGAGCGGAAGCTTGTACGTATTTTTTAAACTCCTGGCATTGACTCAGTGCACGCTCTCAAACCAGAAAACAAGACAGAAAACCCATTGTAATTCCCACCAGCAGTTTGAGATTCCCCCCTTTATCCTCGATGTTGATACAACCCAGCTCTCATGTAGAAGTTCAAGTTGAATAAGATTGACTGAAACTCTATTTCTGCACTGTGGCCCTTCTACATTGCTATCCTATTGAGGAAGCTTCGTGGGCTCATGCTCTAGGTAAGAATAAAATTAAGTTCAAGCCCTCTGCCTCTGGCAATCCAAGGCCCAGCTGAGTAGATCTGCATGTCATTGCATTTCATCGCCTTGCAAGAGTAAGAAGAATGTGACCCTAACTGTGCAGTGATAGACACGTATTAAGAGGGAGGGATGAGTTGTTTTCATGACTCCACCTAAGAGAGGCCTGAAAAGACCGCTTGATTGGCAAGAGGCCAAAAACAGCGTTAATTTTCCAAAGATGTTTAGTTCAATAACGAAGTCTAGATAATCTGGCTCAAGTCGTGAATAATCATTTCAGAAATGGTCCCTCAACTGTCCCCAATCCACAGCAGGGAGACTCTCCTGTAACTTAGTTCCCCCAAACTCCCAACTTTAGGGAACTTCTAAGAAAGTGATCTAGTGTGTTACAACAAAAGTAAACATCACCATAAGAATATAAAGTCTGACTACACAGTTGGCCCTTCAAATTATCTTTTAAAAAAATCTGTCCATTAGAGGTCTTCAGTACCTAGGAAAATATAGGATACGAGGACAATTATGTTGAAAAATTATCATAATTTAACTCATTGTTTCATTGCTTTGGCTAGGACTTTCAGTACCATGTTAAATAGAACTGGTGACAATGGACATCCTCACTTTGTACCAGACCATAGGAGAAACATTTTCATTTTTTATTAACTGTGGGCTTTTCTTATATGATGTGTTGAACTAAGTTCCTTCTATACCTGTTTTTCAGAGTTTTTACATGAATTGTCAAATGTTTTTGCTGCAAATTTTTTTATTCTCTTAATGTGTTATATCACACTGATTGATTTGCCTATGTTGAAGCATTCTTGCATCCCAGAGATACATTTCAGTTGGCTATGGTTTATTCTCTTTTTAATGGGCTGTTGAATTTGGTTTGTTAGTATTTTGTTGAAGATTTTTACACCTATGTTTATCAGTGATATTGACCTGCAGTTTTATTTGCTTGTGATTATCTTTGTCTGGCTTTGATATAAGTGTATGATGGCCTCATAAAATGAGTTTGGGGCGTTCTCTCCTGGTTTTTGAAAGAGTTTAAGAAGGATTGCTATTCTTCTTTGAATGTTTAGAATTCATCCACGAAGCCATTTGGTTCTGGTCTTTTCTCTGGGAATCTTTTGTTTACTAATTTGTTCTTATTGGTCTGTTCAGGCTTCCTATTTCCTCTTTAGTTTTGGTAGGTTGTATAAATCAAGAAGTTTGATTTCTTATAGATTATCTAATTTATAAGTGCATAATTTTCATAATAGTCTTTTATGATCCTTTTCATTTTGAGGCATTTGTTCTAATGACTCCTCCTATTTCTCATTTTAGTTTAGGATACTTTTTTTCTTAGTCTAGCTAAGGTTTATCACCTTTTAATTTTTAAATAGTTTTGCTGATTTTTCTAGTTTTTCCAGTCTCCTATTTCTACTTTAATATTTTATTCTCTATGATAACTTTGGACTTAGGCTTTCTGTTTCTAGTTTCTTGAGGTAAAAAGTTGGTTAATTTGAATTTTTTCTTTCATGTGGCTATTCGTTGCAATCAACTTTTCTCTTAGTACTGGATTTGGTGCATGTCATAAGTTTTAGTATATTGTATTTTTTGTTTGTCTTGAGATTTTAATTCTCCTTTGATTTTTCCTTTTGCCCAGTCATTGCTCAATTTAATGGTATGTATGTTAACACACCAATATGTGATAGAGCACATAAACCTCCAAATTACTAAAGTTATAAAAGATTTATACAACATACTTAATGGCAACAAAACTTGTAGATATGAATGCTCACAACAATAAGAAAAGTCCACGTTATTTTCTAGTGCACATGGGATTCTCACCAAAATCAATCACAGGTGGGCCTTTGACAGAATAATATAAACACGACATAAAACGTGTAGGATGCAGCTAAACCAGTGGTTACAGAAAAATTTGTCCCCATAGATCATTAAGAAGAAAGGAAGCCTAAATATTGACTAATCTCCTAATTCAAGAAGATAGAATAAAAAAATTCAAATTATATCTATAAAATGTGAAAAAAGGATGAAGTAGACACCATCTATATATAAATGTGTGTAGAAATCATAGATTAATATTCATGTTTCTGATTTCAGTTCCAGATCAAAATGTCTATAATCATTTTTCCACTTTCATGTTCTTTTTGCATTATTTTAAAAAATATTTTTAATTGAAATATTAAAATACATATTTTATGGGGTACAATGTGATATTTTGATACATGTATATTATTTGTAATGATGGAATTAACCTAAAGAACATATCACCAATTTTCATGGTGAGACATTTAAAATGTACCCACTTAGCAATTTTGATATATACAACACATATATTACATATATAATTATAATTTTGTATTATATATAATATACATTATACACATAAACATGTATATATGATATATACAATTATAATATTTTGATACATACAACACAATATCCAACTTTGATACAAATGAACAAGATTTTCTTCTATTTAAAGGCTGAATTACATTTCACTGTGGATATATGTCTTGTTTTCTATATCTATTCACCCATTGATGGATACTTAGGTTGATTCCATATCTTGGCTATTGTGAATAATGTTGCAATGAACATGGGAGTGCAGATATCTCTTTGACATACCCATTTAAATTGGATACATCCTTATTAATGGAATTCCTGAATCATAAGGGGTTCATACTATTAAGGCCTGCATCAAAAAGTCTGAAAGAGCACAAATAGGCAATCTAAGGTCACACCTCAAGGAACTAGAAAAACAAGAACAAACCAAACCCAAACCCAGCAGAAGAAAAGAAATAGCAAAAATCAGCGCAGAACTAAATGAAATTGAAACAAAAAATACAAAAGCTACATGAAACAATGTTGGTTCTTTGAAAAAAATAAGTAAAATTGATACTGTTAGCAAGATTAATCAGGAGAATAGTCAAATAAGCTCAACTAGAAATGAAACAGGTGATATGACAACCAATATCACAGAAATACGAAAGCTTATTGGTGGCTACTATGAACACCTTTATGCGTGTAAAATAGAAAACCTACAGATGATTTAATTTCTGTAAATATACAATGCTCCTAGATTAAACCAGGAAGAAATAGAAACTTTGAAGAGACCAGTAACAAGCAGCAAGATTGGAATGGTAATTAAAAAATGCCAACAAAAAAAGTCTGGGGCCAGATGGATTCACAGCTGAATTAATTGGCATCAATCCTACTGACACTATTCCACAAGATAGAGAGGGAAACCTTCCTAGATCATTCTATGAAGTCAGTATTGCCCTAATACCAAACCCAGGAAAGGACATAACAAAACCATAGACCAATATCCCTGATGAACATACATGCAAAAATTCTCAACAAAATACTATCTAACAGAATCCAACAGCATATCAAAAAGATAAATCATCATGATCAAGTGGGTTTCATAACAGGGATTCAGGGATGGTTTAACATATACAAGTCAATACATGTGATACATCACATAACCATGTGACTTGTGTTTTTAATTGTGTTTATCTCAATAGTTGCAGAAAAAGCATTTGACAAAATCCATCCCTTTATGATTAAAACCCTCAGCACAATCAGCATACAAGGGACATGCTGTAAGGTAATAAAAGTCACCTATGACAAACCCACAGCAAACATTATTCTGAATGGGGAAAAGTTGAAGGCATTCCCTGTGAGAACTGGAACAAGACAAGGATGCCCATTTTTGCCACTTATATTCAATATAGTTCTGGAAGTCCTAGCCAGAGCAATCAGACAAGAGAAAGAAGTAAAGGGCATCCAAATCAGTAAAGAGGAAGTTATGCTATCGGTTTGCTGATAATATGATCGTATACCAAGAAAACCCTAAAGACTCATCCAAAAAGCTCCTGGAACTGGTAAATGAAGTCAGCAAAGTTTCAGAATACAAAATTAATGTACACGACTCAGTAGCTCTGTTAATACAGCAATAGCTACCAAGCTGAGATTCAAATCAAGAGCTCAACCCAATTTACAATAGCTGCAAAATAAAATACTTAGGAATACCTAACCAAGGAGGTAAAAGACCTCTATGAGGAAAACTACAAATCACTGCTGAAAGAGATCGTAGATGACACAAATAAATTGAAACACATCCCATGCTCGTGGGTAGGTAGAATCAATAATTGAAAATGACCATATTGCCAAAGCAATGGACAAATTCAATGCACTTCCCATCAATACACCACCATCATTCTTCACAGAACAACAATCCTAAAATTCATATGGAACCAAAAAGCCCACATAGCCAAAGCAAGACTAGGAAAAAAAGAACGAAACCAGAGGCATCACATTACTCGACTTCAAACTATACTATAAGGCCATAGTCACCAAAATAGCTTGGTACTGGCATAAAAATCAGTATATAGACCAATGGAACAGTATAGAGAACCCAGAAATAAAACCAAATACTATAGCCAACTGATCTTCAACAAAGCAAACAAAAACATAAAAGTGGGGGAAAGGACACCCTATTCAACAAATGGTGCTGAGAAAATTGGCAAGCCACATGTAAAGAATGAAACTGGAACCTCATCTGTAACCTTATAGAAAAAACAACTCAAGATAGATCAGACTTAAACCTAAGACCTGAAATTATTAAAATTCTAGAAGATAACATCAGAAAATGTTATCTTGTAGACATTGGCTTAGGCAAAGACTTCATGACCAAGAACCCAAAAGCAAATGCAATAAAAACAAAAATAAATGAGACTTAATTAAACTAAAAGGCTTGTGCACAGCAAAAGACATAATCATCAGAGTAAACAGACAACCCATGGAGTGGGAGAAAATCTTCAGTCTCTACATCCAACAAAGGACTAATATCTAGAATCTACAAGAAACTCAAATCAGCAAGAACAAAACAAAGCCATTAAAAAGTGGGCTAAGGACACAAATAGACAATTCTCAAGAGAAAATATACAAATGGCCAACAAACATGAAAAAAATGCTCAACATCACTAATTATCAGGGAAATGAAATTCAAAACCACAATGCAATACCATCTCACTCCTGCAAGAATGGCCATAATCAAAAAATCTTTAAAAAATAGACATTGGTATGGATGTGCTGAAAAGAGAACACTTTTATACTGCTGGTGCAAATGTAAACTTGTACAACCACTATGGAAAAGTCTGGAGATTCCTTAAAGATCTAAAAGTATATCTACCATTTGATCCAGCAATCCCACTACTGGGTATCTACCCAAAGGAAAATAAATCATTACACGAAAAAGATACTTGCACACATGTTCACAGCACCACACTTCACAATTGCAAAAATATGGAAGCAGCCCAAATGATCATCAATCAATGAGTAGATAAAATCATATATATTCATATATTCACACATATACTCATATATTCATATATATTCATATATTCACACATATACTCATATATTCATATATACTCATATATTCATATATACTCATATTCATATATACTCATATATTCATATATACTCATATATCTTCATATGTATATAGATGAATGCTACTTAACCATGAAAAGGAATGAAATAATGGCATTTGCAGCAAACTGGATGGAATTAGAGACCGTTATTCTAAGTGAAGCAACTCAGGAATGAAAAACCAAACATTGTATGTTCTCACTCACACGTGGGAGGTAAGCTATGAGGATGCAAAGGGATAATAATGATACAATAGACTTTGGGGACTTGGGGGAAAGGGTGGAAGCAGGTGAGGGATAAAAGACTACACATCAGGTACAGTGTACACTACTTGGGTGATGAGTGCACCAAATTCTCAAATTGCCATGAAAGAACTTATTAATGTAACCAAACACCACCGGTTCCCCAAAAACCTATTGATATAAAAAATATAAATAAATATCATATATATATCATCCAGGGGCAGTAGCTTATGCCTATAATCCCAACACTTTGGAAGGCTGAGGTGGAAGGATTGCTTTAGCCTGGGTATTTGAGACCAGCCTGGGTAACATAGTGAGACCTCATCTCTCCAAAAATTAAATTTTAAAAAATCAGGGAGGCATAGTGGCACGTGTCTATAGTCCTAGCTACTCAGGAGGCTGAGGTGAGAGGATCGCTTGAGCCCGGGAGATTGAAGCTGCAGTGAGCCACAATTGCGAAACTGCACTCCAGCCTGGGTTGACAAAGCAAGACCCTGACTCAAAAACAGGGCGGTATATATTTTACAGATACATCAAAGTCTTATCTGTGCTCTCTTGAATTCCCTCTCTTAGTGTCCTCAGACCAATTTTTTTAAACAGGTGTGTATCTTCCCTATCAATTTTTAATATTTTTATTGCAGATATGTGTCCAAATGTAATATTTTAGTAGGATGTATTTGTTAAATGGTAACACACTGATCATTCTGCAACATATTTTCCTTCAACTTTACTAATTGAAATGTTCACAATAAATTGGTATTAATATTGATCATGTGTGCATTTTCTTTATATTAATATTTAGGTTTACCACTTTTTCATGCTTTATAATGTAAGAGTATCTATCCTTGTATAATCTCCTTGGAAGTCTTAGGTAGTGAAGAAAGAACATCTTCAATGTTATGAGATATTACTGAATTCATCTCTAAAGGAGTTGCACTAATCTCTCTAACCATCATTTTTCCTTCTTCATTTATTTAACAAATAATCAATTTTTACTATTATGTTGGTGCAAAAGTGATATATGCCAGGCATAGTGCTAATGTTAGAAAACAACAGAGAAGAAAATAAATATATTTTGGTCTCCTTGTGCAATAACAAAAACCCAAACAGTGAATAGGTAAAACATACGATGTGGTCATGCCAGATGATGATATGTTATGAACATAAAATAGGGAACACTGTTGCAAATTTTAAATATAATTATGGATCAGTCAGAATGCACAAGGTAATGCCATAGTAACATCTCAAGCTGCATAAAAACATTGTTTATGTGATGTTCACATTGTAAATCTGTCAGATGGTACTCGGGGTCCACTCATCAAAAGTCCCTCAAGGACCTAAGATGATGGATAACTTTGTTGACCATTTTGTCATTTTATGTTCTAGAATATGTTTATATTTGTGGCTATACATGAAGCTTGTACAACTATTGAAGTATATCCATAAAAAAATAAGTGTACAGCTCATTAAGGATTTCATAGCAGTACCTAAAATGTATCTAGAATTTTGCAATTTTACATATTAATAACCCTCCACCTGCCATTTTTAAATGCTTATTTAGATTTCTAACTTTCATACCTATACAGCATTTGGATAGCCCATTAATTTTTAATTATACATATTCATGTGGAATTTTCATTGAAACTTAGGAATAATTAAAATACAAGAGTGAGTTGAAGCTTGTGTGAAGAGTACAAAAGAAGGATTGTGATGTCTGAGGTGTGAGAGTTCTCACTGATTGAGTAGAGCACGCCTTCATAAAGAAATTGTCATATTATCTGAGCATTTATGACTGGTAGTTTATATAGAAATGCATTTGGTAAATTCACAGCAAAGAAGCAGGATACGAGAAGTTATGAAGGAATATGAAAGTGTGTGGTTTAAAGATACTCTGAGATATTGGAAGAAGCAATGTTGGAAGACAGGGTGGGTACCAGCCAAGGACAGAATATGCTCATTCTGTCTCCTGGTGTCAGTATCTGCTTCTGCAGTTGGGCTTATGAGTTGGATTCTGCATCTGAGGATTCAACCAATCATGGACTTAACCAATCATGGATTGAAAATATAATTAGGCTTATCATGGTCACATTGGTACAGACTTTTCTAAATTTTATTTTTGTTGTGACATAGGTGTATACATTTATGGGGTACATGAGATGTTTTGATACAGGAATGCAATGCATAATAAATGCATGATGAAAAATGGAGTATCCTCTCAAGCATTTATCTTTTGTGTTATAATTTTATTATACCCTTTTAGTTATTTTTAAGTGTACAATTAAATTGTTATTGACGATGTCAGTCTATTATGCTAGTACTTATTCATTCTAACAAATTTGTTGTATCCATTAACCATCCCCACCTACCCCTTCACCACCCCCAGTACCCTTCCCAGTATCTGCTAAGCATATTTCTAATTTATATCTCCATGAGTCCAGTTGTTTCGATTTTAAGGTGCCAGAAATAACTGAGAACATGCAATGTTTGTCTTTCTGTGCCTGGCTTATTTGACTTAGCATAATGGCCTCCAGTTCCATCTATGTTGTTGCAAATGACAGGATCTCATTATGTTTTGTGGCTATATAGTACCTATCATGTATAAGTACCACATTTTCTTTACCCATTCATCTGTTGATGGACACATAGGTTGCTTCCAAATTTTAGCTATTGTGAACAGAGCTGCAACAAACATGGAAGTGTAGATGTCTTTTCAGTATATTGATTTCTTTTCTTTTGGGTATATACCCAGCAGCGGGATTGCTGGATGATACGTTAGCTCTATTCTTAGTTTTTTCGAGGAACCTCCAAACTGTTCTCTGTTGCACCTTTAAATACAACTTTAAATGCAACTTCACATTCCCACAGAGTTTATGAGGGTTCCCTTTTCTCCATGTCCTCACCAGCATTTATTTTTGCATGTCTTTTGTATAAGAGCCATTTTAATTGGGATGAGATGGTATCTCATTGTAGCTTTGATCAGCATTTCTCTGATCAATGTTGAGCACTTTTTATGTGCCTGTTTTTGATTTGTATGTTGTCTTTTGAGAAATGTCTATTCAATCTTTTATCAATATATAAATCAGATTATTAGATTTTTTCCTATAGATTTATTTGAGCTCCCTATGTATTGTGGTTATTAATTCCTTGTCAGGTGTGTAGTTTGAAAACATTTTCTTCCATTTTGTGGGATGTCTCTTCGTTGATTTATTTCCTTCACTGTGCAGAAGCTTTTTAACATAATGTGCTCTCCTTTGTCCATGTTTGCTTTGGTTGCCTGTGTTATGGAGTATTACTCAAGAAATATTTGCCCAGACAAATATCCTGGAGATTTTCTCCAACGTTTTCTTCTGGTAGTTTCATAGTTTGAGTTCTTAAAGTCTTTAGTCCATTTTGACTATATCTTTGTATATGGCGAGAGACGGGACTAGTTTCATTTTTCTTCATATAGATATCCACTTTTCCCAGTACAGCTTATTGAAGAGACGATCTTTTCCCTGGTGTATGTTCCTTGCACCTTTGTAGAAAATGAGTTCACTGTAGGTATGTGGATTTGTTTCTGAGTATTCGGTTTTATTGGTCTATGTATCTGTGTTTATGCCAGAACCATGCTGTTTTGGTTATGGTAGCTCTGTTGTAGTATAATTTGAAGTCAGGCAATGGGATTCCTCCAGTTTTGGTGGGTTGGTTGGTTGGTGGTTTTGCTTAGAATAATTTTGGCTCTTCTGGGTGTTTTGTGCTTTCATACAAATGTTAGGATAGTGTCTTCTATATCTGTAAGAAATGTCATTGGTATTTTGATAAGGATAACATTGAATCTACAGATTGCTTTGAGTACTATGGATATTTTAACAATATTGATTCTTTTGGTTCATGAATCTGGAATATGTTTTCATTTTTAGTGTCCTCTTCAATTATTAATGCTTTATAGTTTATCATTAGAGAACTATTTCACTTCTTTGGTTAATTCCTATTTAATTTTATTTGTGGCTATCATAAATGAGATTACTTTTTAAATTTGTTTTAATCTATTTGCTATTGACATATAGAAATCTGCCTTGTATCCTGCAACTTTCCTGAATT
The DNA here is from genome assembly GCF_000001405.40 of Homo sapiens. NCBI lineage: Eukaryota > Metazoa > Chordata > Mammalia > Primates > Hominidae > Homo > Homo sapiens. The sequence goes on from NW_025791755.1 coordinate 116,967, forward strand.
TATTAGTTCTAATAGGTTTTTGGGGAGACTTTAGGTTTTTCCAAGTATAAGGTCCTATCATCTGTGAACGAAGATAATTTTACTTTTCTTTGAAATTTGATGCTATATCTATATCTCTATATCTATATCTATCTATATATATAGATATATTTACATATAGATAGATTTATTTATATTTGTTTCTCTTGTCTGATTGCTCTAGCTAGAACTTCCAGTAATATGTTGAATAACAATGGTAACAATAGTTGCACTAAAGTGCAAGACTAAGTCTCTCTTAATTTTCTTTAATTTTCTGTCCACTTTCCTCAAGCAGAAGGAGTCTTGCCCCATAGCCACCATAGCTGGTAATATGCTGAGTCTCACCCGGAGCCAGCATGCCTCAGAGTTTCACCCAAGGCCCTCATGACTCTAGCTGGTATCCAACCCTGATGTGGCTGAGCTGGTATCCAAGATGCAAGACAAAGTCCTCCTCACTCTTCCCTCTCCTCTCCTAAAGCAGAGGAAAGAGGCCTCTTTTGGAGCCACAAGCCGTGGAGGCTGAGGTTAGGGGATGAGTTTAGCTGCCCTGGCTGGTGTTTTAACAGGTCATGTGTCCCCCGAGTCCACTGGCTCTGGGCCCAGATTAGCATTAGGATTTGCAGCTCTTGTGGCCTAGACTGCCCTTCAGGTTTGTCTGTGGCTCCAGAGCCACTTTAGCCCTTCATGGTGAGGCTTGGGTAACTCAAGTTCCAAACACTGGGATTCGCAATTCCCTTCCAGCAATGGCTGGTTTAAATGCGCCCTTCATGGTGGGTGTCAGCTGAATTTGGTCTGGGTCTTCTTTCTGCTATAAGAAGGGCATCGCTGAGCTCAGTGTCTTAGAATTGCTGGCTCTCCCTCTCCTTAGTGCACAGAGAAGCTCTCCATACCACACCACCGCTGCTGGGGGATGAAGGGGTGGTAGTGTCAGTGATGCAATACTGTTTTTCCAACTTCTTCAATGCCTCATTCAGAAATATGAATTTAACTCCATGTACTGTGAGTGCTCACCTGAGTTTTGGTTCTTGAGAAGGTGTTTTTTGTGTAGATAGTTTTTAAATTGGTGTTCTTGCAGGGGGATGATCAGTGGAACCTTCTATTCTGCCATCTTGCTCCATCCTCCAGACTTTTTTCCTTGTCATTATTTCCTAAAAAATATAGTATAACAGCTATTTACATAGCATTCATATTGCATTAGTTGTTATAAGTAATCTAGACATGATTTCAAGCATACGGGAAGATTTGTGTAGGTTATATAGAAATACTCTGCCATTTCATATTAGGGTCTTTAGCATCATGGATTTTGGTATTTTCACGATGTCCTGGTACTGAGGACAGATAGTGAGGGATGACTGTACACAGGGATGAATACACTACTCAGTACTTGTACGTTTGTCATGCTAGAAAGACTCAGCAAAGTCTCGGAACCTTGCAGGCACTGAGAAAAGTGGCTCCCTTTTCCCATTCTCTTTCATTCCCAAATTATATAATCTAAATTCGATGAGACTAATATTTCAAGGGAAGTCTCTGAGCCTTTAAGGAGAGGGGCGATGTGGGAGAAGGTCACCCTGTCATGGAGAAATCTTAGACCACATTCGGTCATCAGATTCATAGATGTCTTAAGAGTCACAGAAGCATAGCAAGTACATAACACTCCTTTTGATTCTGAGAAAGTGACACTCAGAGCTTTTAGTGTCTTGACTAAGATTACACAATTAATTGGAAGCAAATATAATAAATGGTAAATGTTTTAGAACCTAAAAGGTTGTCAGACTCCGATATTTTCTCCTGAATCTGGGAAAGCCCCAGCTGTGTTAATGGAGAGTGTCTACAGATGCAACTTTTCCCCACGAAAGATGGCTTTGTAGGGCCATTTCAAAATATGTCAAATACATACTTTGGGGTGGAATATTTTGATTTTCCTCAGGGTCTGCTATCTGTCATGTGATGCTATACCAGAGTCAGGTTGGAATTTGGTATCTTATTGCCACTCAGTCTGTTTTGTCAGTCTTAGGAACTCTATTTCAATGTTATTGCTGGTCAGTTGTGCCTAAATTCCAAAAGATGGGTGTAATGAAGTGTGTCTCCCTTCTTATGTCCTGCAATTAAGCTTTTCAGCTTTCCTGAGATTCTCGTGGCCTAGAGGGGGTCTGTTCAGTTGATTAGGGGTCTTAGGATTTTAAATTTAGTTTACAGACTTCTGACACTGGTTTTGCATGATCCTCCCTTTGTGAAATTCAGATTTGCTTTTACAAAGAGAGCTTATTTTAAATGTCTGATATGAAAATATAATTTTAAACTAGAAAAATGAAGTTGTTTAAAAAATGTGCAACGTCATGAGAAAGATGGATTTGCTTTTGGATAGATGCATCGCATAAATGAAAAACATGTTTAATTCCCACGTGGACCGTGAGTGGAAAGTTAGAATATAACCATCAAAAACAAATAGCAAAAGAAAACAAAAATACCAAAATAGTGGATTCTGAGAGGGTCTTAAAGAAAATAGAAGCTCCAGGAAAGAGACAATGCCAAGTACAGGAAAGATGAATAAGAAGGAAAAAAAAAAAAAAAAAGGAAAACAAGGCAAAGAATTAAGCAATAAACACTCATCTCAATTCCCTAATGTGAAGAAACTGACGATGTAATTTTCTCATTTTCATTCTGAATTTAAACCCCTTTGCTTTGGCCTTAGAATGGTGAAAGCAGCTTCACTGAGCTGGCGTGGCTTAGATTTATTGTCTGATGGAACAGAAAAGATGGAGCAAAAGGTTTGTGCTCTATGTGCCGTGTTCGTCTCTTTGTTGAAAGGTGTCTTGATGACCTGTCTCTTCAGTGCTTTATAAAGGGGATAAGTAAGGAACAAAGATACCTGACTCTTGTTGCTAGCTCTTCATAATTCTGACTTTAGGTTTCCTGAAGTCCCAGGGTTTTTTTTTGTTTTGTCTCTTGTTTTGTGTGTGTGCTTTGTTTTTGTTTTGTTTTTTTGTTTTTTTGCCCTAGGAACAGTGCGTTGTATTTCACTTTGCATTTCCACATGCCTCAGTCACTATTAGTTTTTTCCTCAGCATTATTTCTCTAACCTGCAGTACAGCAACCCTGAGGATGACCAAACCTCAGTCATGGAGCTCCTGACTCTTCATTAGTCTAGAAGTTAGTGGGCTTTTTAACTTTGAGACAATTGTATCAAGCATGATTAAAACAATGCAACTGGAAAATTAAAACTGAAATATTCAGACAAAGCAGTCACTGAGCAAAGCTATGAATTTATGGGAGGGGATGGTGATTAGTTTGTTATGCAAAGGAGATGCAGGACAAGAGGATCCCTAGGCTTGGTTGCAGGGCTGCGGTTTTATGAAAGATTCAACACAACTGCCTCATGTGCTTTAACTTCATTTTTCAATCACTATGAACGGAATTTTGGACATTTTAGGCATGATTTTTGGGGGATAAATGGTATCAGCAAAATGAAAATAAATATTTTGTTTATATTTCAACTAAATACTTGATATTTAGGGCATCTGCAGCATTTATTGCTGTGATTTCTTGTAAAAATATTTCTCTGCCTGACAGTTAATAAATTAAATGCCTTAGATTTCACTGGGGACTGGGAGAGGGCTCACTGTGCCTACTGCTGCTCTCCTGCTCGGCACTAGTTCTGCACCCCAAGCTACTCTCCTCAGGCAGGCGGGACTCTCCCTCTGCTCCTCTGCCCCAGTCAGCACTACTTATGGAATGCAACCTTGTGAGGAATAGCAGAATAAATTGAAAAGTTTTCGTGAGGAAAGTGGACTTAAATGGAGATATATAATGGTAGAAGAAATTTAAGGAGATTTCCAGTTTTCAGATTATTTCATGGTATTAGTTATGATATTTGTACCATTAACAATATTAATATTAACCTTATCAGCCGTGATTTCCATCACTGAGTCCTGGATGAGCTACTGTATCCAAAAAGTAGTGAAAATTTCAACCCAACACTAACACTGTGTTACAGACCTAACGTGCATTCCCTACTTCAGTCTCTAACCATCCCACAAGGCCAGTATACTTGTGTTCTTAATTCTGGGGGGAAATAAGACATAGAGTGTACCTGTCTTCACTCTTGACTTAGCTCATGAATAGTCACCTCCCCAGATCTGTTTCGTAGTTCACTTTAGCTTGTGGCCAAGATACAACTTGACCTAAGATTTGAACTTATGATTTTATGTCAGTTTAAATCAATATTTAGAAAAATAATTCAAAGCACATGTCTTACCAGAAAAAGGTCAGGAAAGCCATGTACATAGGAAAGATTTAAAATTAATGACTTTTTTTTCCTCAGGGGGAAACTGAGCCAGTCATGTGCTCAGGGAATCAGACTTCTCAGAATCAAACAGCAAGCACTGATTTCACCCTCACGGGACTCTTTGCTGAGAGCAAGCATGCTGCCCTCCTCTACACCGTGACCTTCCTTCTTTTCTTGATGGCCCTCACTGGGAATGCCCTCCTCATCCTCCTCATCCACTCAGAGCCCCGCCTCCACACCCCCATGTACTTCTTCATCAGCCAGCTCGCGCTCATGGATCTCATGTACCTATGCGTGACTGTGCCCAAGATGCTTGTGGGCCAGGTCACTGGAGATGATACCATTTCCCCGTCAGGCTGTGGGATCCAGATGTTCTTCTACCTGACCCTGGCTGGAGCTGAGGTTTTCCTCCTGGCTGCCATGGCCTATGACCGATATGCTGCTGTTTGCAGACCTCTCCATTACCCACTGCTGATGAACCAGAGGGTGTGCCAGCTCCTGGTGTCAGCCTGCTGGGTTTTGGGAATGGTTGATGGTTTGTTGCTCACCCCCATTACCATGAGCTTCCCCTTTTGCCAGTCTAGGAAAATCCTGAGTTTTTTCTGTGAGACTCCTGCCCTGCTGAAGCTCTCCTGCTCTGACGTCTCCCTCTATAAGACGCTCATGTACCTGTGCTGCATCCTCATGCTTCTCGCCCCCATCATGGTCATCTCCAGCTCATACACCCTCATCCTGCATCTCATCCACAGGATGAATTCTGCCGCCGGCCACAGGAAGGCCTTGGCCACCTGCTCCTCCCACATGATCATAGTGCTGCTGCTCTTCGGTGCTTCCTTCTACACCTACATGCTCCCGAGTTCCTACCACACAGCTGAGCAGGACATGATGGTGTCTGCCTTTTACACCATCTTCACTCCTGTGCTGAACCCCCTCATTTACAGTCTCCGCAACAAAGATGTCACCAGGGCTCTGAGGAGCATGATGCAGTCAAGAATGAACCAAGAAAAGTAGTAAAGGGCAAGCATTGTCCCCTCCTCTTTCTATAATTCCGTTACTCCCTATCTCTCCTCTCTTTTGCCCTCAGGTCTCCGGGTCCCCAGCACAAAGCCCACTCATATTTTCCTTCTTTCTTATACGTGGCGTTTTCCCTCCATACTGCTTATTGCTCCCATTTATCTCATTAGATTTAATATCTTTAGAGTGTTTTTAACTGCACTGCAGTAGCTGACCTATGAAAGACCTTATAGAGTGCCTTTTATCTTATCTCCCATCCCAGGTTCATTGAGCATTTTAGTATGAGACTTGGTCTTAAACACTTTACCCCTCGAAGAGACTCATTGTAAAGACTTAGAATCCTAGCAGAGCCCTAGAGGAGGAGTATTGGCTGCTCCCTCCCTTTGCAATACATTGTAAACCTCGGTTCACATTGGCAGCCACTGGGGTCAGTGTTTCTGCTATTGTATCTCAGTAAGTACAAAGAAACGCATTTTCTCCAAAGGCTGAAGTGAACTTTGTAGTGTAAACACCAGTAGTTTTAGCATTGGCCATTGGAACCACCTAAACCAAAAATGAATCCATTTCAAAATTCAAAGAATAGGTTCATCTATTTCATAGTATGTAAATAAAAGTAGTTCCAGATTTAGTTTCTTTAGGATTTAGTCTATTCCAGACAATGGTCTACTATGTTTACAATAAATATCATAACAGTCGCGTGCGATAATGGAGACTTAGGAAAGCTTAACCCCCTCAGCATGTTTCTTCTGAAACTGGGAAAACCAGCAAAATGGTTATAAACTTGTCACTAACCTTTAGTTTGCCAGATGTATATCATGCTACAAAGGTAACTTCTGTAAATCTATGAGCATCAGATCACTATCATTTTCATTAACAAAATAATTCATGGGTCTAGTATTTCTGGAACGTGAGAAATTAGGAAAGAAATACATTTGTTCTAATATGCAAGAAGCTGAATCTCGAGCTGTATCGTGAAGCTGTTAATTTACTTCCCCTTGGCACAGCCCTGACCTTGCCTGATTTACCGACAATGAATGGAAGCCAGGTGTTCCCATGCCTATCGCATCTTCGAGAGAAATGACAAGTACTTGCTTTACATGACACATCGACCGAACACTTTTGCTTCTCACTGAAAATTATTCCTGCAGTGCATGAAAGGAGTTTGTCTGAGTTTGTGTACAGAGATCTGAATTTGGAAGTAAATTCCACCAAGTGGTGCAGAAATATCACTTGTAAGAGGGGGTTGTTAGAGGTAGGTAAAATTTGGTTTCAGAAATTGCTGTAATTAAATAAATGGGCAAAACTGCTCAAATGGACACCACAGATGACTAATTTAACAATGTTCTTATGTTGTCATTATATTATTTATATAATTATTTACCTCAGGAAGGTGTACAGAGTGGGATTGCTGAATTATAGAGTAGCTCTATTTTTAATCTTTATAGAACTGTCATACAGCTTTCAACACAGGCTGTTGCAACTTACGTTTCTACCAGCAATGCACATGTACAAGTGTTCCATTTCCTACACACACTTGACAGCACTTGCTATGTATTGCCTGGTAATAGCCATCCTAGCAGGTGTGAGCTGATATCTCATTGTGGTTTTGATTTGTGTGGCCCTGATGATTAGTGATGTTGAACATCTTTTCATTCACCTGTTGGCTATTTGTATTGCCTCTTTGGAAAAATGCCTATTCACACTGTCTTTACCATTTTTAAGTTGGGTAATTTGATATTTGCTAATGATTTTGTCAGTTTCTTTTATATTTTGGATGCTAACTCCTTATCCAAAATATGGTTTGCAGATATGTTCTCCCATTGCAGAGATTACCTTTTCATTTTATTGTTTCCTTTTCTGTGCAAAAGTTTTTGCATGTTGATGCAGTCCTACTTGCTTATTTTGCTTTTGTTGCCTTAATTTTTGTGTCATATCAAAAATATCACGGCCAAGATCAATGTCAAAGAGCTGTTTCCCTATGTCATCATCTAGGACTTTTACAAGTCCAGGTCTTCCATTTAAGTCTTCGATCCATTTAGATTTGGTTTTGGGGGAATAGTGTAGGATAAGAGTCCAATTTCGTTCCTCTGCATGTATGTATCTGGTTTTCCCAATGCCATTTATTGAACAGACTATCCTTTCTTCATGCTGCATTTTTGGCACCCTCATCAAAGACTAATTGACCATATAAGCATGGCTTTATTTCTATAATTTGTAATATAGTTTGAAATCGGAGTCTGAAGCCTCCAGCTTTGTTCTTTTTATCAATATTGCTTTGGCTATTTGATATTTTTGTGCATTCACAAAATTTCTAGAATGGTTTTATTCTATTTATGTAAAAAATGCCTGTGGATTTTAGTTGGGGTTATACTGAATCAGACATTTTCTGGAGTAATATGGACATTTAAAGAATATTAGTTATTCTAACCCATTAACATGAGATATCTTCCCACTTATTTATCTCCTCTTTAGTGAACAGATCTTTCACTCCCTCAGCTGTATTTATTCCTATGTATTTTATTCTATTGGATGGTATTGGGAATGGTATTCTTTTCTTAATTACATATTTGGATGGTTCCTTTTTGGTGTATAGAAATACAACTCATTTATATATGTTTATTTTGTATCCTGCAAGTTTCTTGAATTCTTTAACTCTGATGGGATTTTGCTGGAGTCTTGAGTTTTTTATATGTAAAATCATGTCATCTGCAAACAGATGGCAAGATAATTTAACGTCCTCTGATTTGAAAGCCTTTTCTTTCTTTTTATTGCCTAATTGCTCTGGCTAGTTTCTGGTATTATGTTGAATAGAAGCAGTGAGAGTGAGCACTCTTGTCTTGTTCCTGATCTTAGCGGAAAATCTTTCTCTCCATCGAGTATGATTTAGCTGTGAGATTTATTATGTAAAGGCACATTCCTTCTATAACAAATCTGCTGAGTTCTCATCATGAAAAGATGTCGAATTTTATCCAATGCTCTTTCTATGTCTATTGAGATGCACAATTGTTTTTGTCATTTATTCTGTTAATGTGGCATATCATATTTATTGATTGGTGTATGTTGAACCATCTTTGCATCTGTGGGAAAAAAACTTGGGACCCCAATTTACTATGCCAAAAGGAAAAAAGATACTAAGCTGAAAGCTGAGTTATGCAAGAAACTGCATTTCCTTTGGTTTTTGTTTTCTTTTTGTTCCTAATCAGTTAACTACAGATGAAAGGTTAGAGTAACAGGCAGTAACTCCACATTCTCCTTACCTGACGTAAAGCGATGATCCTTCTACTGAGTGTGAAAGGAATACATAAATGACTATTCACCTACCTGCTTCTTTGCTTCTTTTCTTCTTGCAACCTGTGGATTATCATACTCTCCCTCTTTCCCCTCTAGCCTGCTTTCCCCTTTAAATATTAAAGTCCTCAAAATTATCTTTAAAGAAAAGCACAGACCACAGACTGTTTCTGTAATTGTGTTCTTTTTTCCAAGCATGTCCTTTACCTTGGTGAAATAAACTTTCAATCTGATTGAGACCTGTCTCACATACTTTTGGTTTATACATCCTAGGAATAATCCCACTTGATTATGGTGAAGTATCCTTTTAATGCACTGCTTAATTTGGCTTGTTAGTATTTTGTTAGTTTTTACCAAAAATTATGAAAGCTGTTTTTCAGGAATATTGACCTATAATATTTTGGGAGTTAGTGTTCTTATCTGGCTTTGGTTTAAAGGTAATGTTGGCTTCAGTAAATGAATTTGGAAGTGTTTTTGCCCTTCAATGTTTTGAAAAAATCAGAGGAGGATATGTGTTAGTTCTTTAAGTGCTTGGATGAATTCACCATGAAGTCTTCTAGTCCTAGGCTTTTCTTGGGAGATTTTTTTTTTTTTTTTTTTTTTTTTTTTAGACGAAGTCTTACTCTGTTGCCCAGGCTGGAGTGCAGTGGCATGACCTCGGCTCACTGCAACCTCCGCCTCCTGGGTTCAAGTAATCATTTCATGTGCTGAGTACTCTTATACCTACTTTCTTAGCAATTTTCAAGTATATAATTGTTGAAACTGTAGTCAGCATGATGTACCATAAACCTCCTGAACTTATTTCTCCTGCTTAAATAAAATTTTGTATCCTTTGACCCACATCTTCTCTTTTCCTTCCTCACTCCAAACTCTGGTAACCACCATTTTACTCTTTGTTTCTATGTGTTTGACTATTGGACACTTCACATATAAATGAAATTGTGCAATATTTGTCCTATACCAGGCTTATTTTATTTAAAATATTGTCCTCTGGGCTCATCCATATTTTTCCAAATTATAGAATTGTCTTTGACTTTTGACAAACTGATCATAATATGTCTCAGGTATAATGTTTTGGTTTGTTCTTGCTTGGGTTCCTTTGAACTTTATGAATCTGCATGTCTCTATCACTCACAAATTTAGGAAATGTTGTCATTTTAGCTTTGTTTTTTTCTCCTTCTGTGAATGTCATAATACACATATATATTTGCTTGATGTTGTCTTATAGTTCCCAGATGCTTCTACATTTTATTTTTTTTGTTCCTCTAACTGTATGATCTAAATTCAAGTTCATTGCCTCCTTTCACTGTATGATGAAATATGTTGTCAAAGTACTCTGTTGACCTTTTCACTTCCATAATTGTATTCAGAATATTTTACAAGCTTTACACTAAAGTTAACGAGATTTACACACCTCCATTACAGTACTAGAGTGTTCCAAATTTGACTACAAATCTTCTCAGCACAAGAATTCTTTCCTTTTTTGATGTCAATGTCTTTATTATATTTCTCATTTTGTTTATGCATTTTTTTATTAGTTTTAGATCTCTGTTATTTTGAAGCTCTTTGATCCTATTTAATATGATTTTAAAATTCTTAGGCAATTCATAGATTTCCATTTCCTTGGGGTTGCTTAATGAAGCTTTATTACTTTGGTGGTATTTATTACTTTGGTGTCACATTTGCCTGATTTTTTTGTGACTCAAGTAGCTATGCATTGATGTGTGCACATTTGAAGTTGCAAACAGCTCTTCTGGTCTGCATAGACTGGTTTCAGTAGGTAAAGACATTCTCCTGTCATTTCTCTAGGCTAATAAGAATTACCTCCAGGACTGCAGTTGAGCAGGGTTAGAGCCATGTCATGTGGCTACTCCTGAGTCTACAGCAGAATTTTTAGTTGGCAAGCTTGTTACCAGAAGTCGAGTTGAGTATAAATCCTGTCTGGTCTCTTGGTAGAGAAGACTGCCTCTAGTACCTTGGTCAATAGGGCTATCGCTAGGACACTCTGCTTCAGGGTTCACATTTGGTTCTGTAGATGGCATGCCTGTTACCACGTACAGAAATGGGTGTGGATTCTATTGAGTCCCTTGAAGGACTCCCATTATATTGGTGGGAAAGTCTCTGGGCAAGAAGGATTGTCCCCAGACCACAGTTGAGAGGACCTGGAACTGAGTCTCAGGGCTGTGTCATGGACCACAGCTGAGTCTGAGGTCTTCTGTCCTGCATGGATGGGTGTACCTCCTGCATAGTCCCTGTAAATATAAGATATAAGATATCCCCAAGCTGTGGTTGAATGGAAGCTGGAGCTGGATAAGAGGGCTGATTCAGGATCTCCAGCTGACTGATGTCAGCAGTCTTGTTTACAGGGGCATCGATCAATGTGTCACCCAGGAGGTCACTGAGTGGGCAGGACTGCTTTTGAACAATGGAAAAGGGTGCCAAGTAACAGAGCTGCTTCAAGATTGGCAGTCGGACGTAGTTTTGAGAGCCTGCCTCTAGGCACATGAACAGGGTTGCCTCCTGGCAGGTCTCTGTGCAGGAAGGTCTATTCCCAGACCATGGCTGAGGGGGACTGGAGCTGGGTCATGGACTGCTTCAGGGTTCAGAGCTAGAACTAAGGTTAGCAGGCCTGTGACTTGAGGGTACTGGTCAATGTGAGTGCCCCTGGGCCCCTTGGCAGATGGTTCAGGTGGCAGGACCAATGCCAAACAGGGCACTAGCTGAGTCCAGAGGGATGTTAATTCTGTGTCTGTAGCCAGGACCACAGTCAGTGAGCCTGCCACCTGGGTGTGGCCCTGCCTTCTCAAAATAGCTCTCTTCAGTGTTGGGATTCACCAGTTTTGACACTTCCTGTCAAGATCCAGAAGTTCCCACCAAGGGACTTTTGTGCCAGACAGGCTGCTATATTATTGCTGCTTTGAGGGGATACGATTATAGGAGCTCCTCTTCAACCATCTTGCTAATGTTTTTAATCTCTTTGTATTAAGAATATTTCTCTAGCACATTATTCAACTTAGATTTTACTCAATAAGTTAATTTAAAACCTGTGACACCAGACAGCAAGTTATCTGCTGTCAAAATGCAACAGTGACACTCACATATAGGATAGACATTCCTATTCTGAAAAAGAGAAATTGGAAGTTAAATAGAAGTCTTAGAGCCAAAGCAAACTTGAGCCTGGCAGGGCAAGTTTCGTTAGATTTCAGGACTTGAGGTCCTCTTTGGCTTGATATCCTGACCTCCAGTCCATAAAGGTGGTGGCCCCTCTTCCTTTGTTCTGTGCATGTATCTTGCATTTCTTTATATCTCTGATGGTGCCTTCAGGATCATTTACAAAATGTTTGACATGTTTTATATATTTATAGTTTAATTCTTAAAATGTTATTTTTGTTTTTATAAATATTTTCTCAGTTTACATTTAAAATGTAAAAAAAGTAGAACTTTAAGCAGGGTTTCCACCATAAATATTAATGTTGAAAAAATATATATCAATAGCTTTTCTGTCACTGTTAATGCTTTTTAAGTATTTTTAAATGAAAAATATTCTCCAAAAAATTAAATTATAAAAATCTCAGAATCTCAATTATTGTGGAAGAATTTTATTAAAATTACTTTAAAATCCAGACCCGACCTCTAAGTATTTGGATATCTCTGTGAGACCTATTGTGCTTGTTTATAAAAATCTGCAACATTTTAACAATATCAATTCTTCCCAAATGTATTTCATTGTATTCTAATCAATACAATTAGTTAGAACTTTTGAACCTAGCCAAATAGATCAACTGAAAGGAAAAACAAACTTAAAAACTTGCTTATTTTGAACATGAACATACATGAAGACAAGAATTGTTTCACTAGTTGTTTAAAATTATCATGAGGGGACACCCAATAAAACAAGATATTTTAAAGGAATTCAGTGAAAGACCAATGGAAAAGAAGAGATAATGTGGAAACCTAGCCTCCCCTGCACTGGCTTCTGGTATAAGATGTTGACCCTCCTTCCTTGTGTGATCCCGTTGTTTCCTCCACACACCCTGGTTCTCAAAACCATGATTTCAGGACTGCCTTCTCTTATGACCTCTGGATTCGTGTATACACTAGCCTTGCATCATCTTCATGTAGATGTGTACTGGGCAACTGGAGTCCCAAATTTCAGTTTCAGCGTTCCATGCCAACCTGCCCAGCCCCAATATTCCTGTGTGTATAAACGGCAATCCAACTTCACCTCCTCCACCACACCCCTTGCCCAGACACCATATGTCTCATCAGGACTAGCTCAAACCCTTTCCTGCATTCTCGCTCAAGCCTTCTCAGTGATAATCATATACCTGTTCCAAATGTCTTTCCTCTCTGTCCGTCCTCCAGTGATATCTCAGAGTGGGATTCACCGAGAAGCAAGGAGAGTCAAAGCTTTGGGGCCCTTCACTCTCTGGAGATTCTCTGAGTGCTGTCTGTTGCTGGGAGTTGTATGGTGGGGTGGGGTGGGGAGGGGAAGCCAGGCTACAGTCAGAACAGACTGTGAGCATGCCTGGTAAACTTCCTGAAGAGTTCTTAGAAGACAGGGGCCAAACATTGGCTGAGACTTCCTTTCTTTTTCTAAGTGCACATGCACTCTCTTGAGTGCCGTGTATACTTTTGTCTTCCCTTTCTTAAACACACCTCTGCCTGTCCCTGGTCCTTCTCAGGACCATCATGATTTTATAGGACCGGTTCCTTGGTTCCACTTCTAACCCCATTTTCTGTTTTGCCAACTTTCTCACCTCAGTCTGGGGCCACAGATCTTCTTGCTGCTGTTCAAACGTTGCAAGTTACTTTCAGTCTCACAGCTTTTAACTTTCTCTGTTTCCTCTGCTTAAAGCATCTCTGCCCCGTTGTTTACGAGTGACTCCATTGTTTCATTTACGGATCTGATGAAATTTCACCTTCTAAATAAAGGGCTCCTAACTAGCCTGTGTTAAATAGATTCGCTAATCATTCCTATCTCATCTCTCTGCCTTTATTTTTTATTTACTGTGATTATTAATACTTGACATTTCATTACATATTTATTAGTTTATTGCCTGTATTTACCACTAGTATATAAATGCTGTGTGGGAAGAATCTTTGTTTCAAACATCATAAACCTAGATAGTGCCTGGAACAAACAGTTACTAATTATTTTTGAAATTAATGAATAAAAGAAAATACCATTCAACATTGGAATTTAATTTTAACTTAAAAGCAATAATGTTAGCAATTCACTGCATATCACACCCAAATAAATTATTTTTGTATTATAACTCAAAGGTACCAAAAAAACCTCTGAAACTCATTAAAAGTGTAAAGGTAGATGCTTTACATAATCCCCAAATGCATAAAGACTTTGTAAGCACAAAACAGTTAACGAAATTATTAAAGTTAATATATTAAACAAAATACTTTAAAAAATTCTGATGACACAAAATATCAGAATGAAACTGAAATAAAAATATTTTAGTTGATACTATTCACAAAGAGTTACTATTTTTTTTCTTTTCTTTTTGAGACAGAGTTTCACTCTTTTTGCCCAGGCTGGAGTGCAATAGCGTGATCTTGGCTCACTGCAACTTCTGCCTCCTAGGTTTGACTGAGTCTCCTGTCTCAGCCTCCCAAGTAGCTTGGATTACAGGCACGTGCTACCACACCAGCTAATTTTGTAGTTTTAGTAGAGATGGGGTTTCACCATGCTGGCCAGGCTGGTCCCGAACTCCTGACCCCAGGTGATCCACCCACCTCGGCCTCTCAAAGTGCTGGGATTACAGGTGTGAGCCACCGCATCTGGCCAGTTATTATTTTCATACCAAAAACACATTTATATTTATGAAGAAAACATTTCAATAGAAGCAGTAGTTACATGGATAAACATGAAAAGTTATATAAACATATTAATTAAAAAAGACAAATAATGATACACCTATGAAATTGACCAAGAAGGAAAAGCACACATAATTCAGAGCTGGTGCAAGTGAAGTTTAATTCTGCAGCAAAATTTGAAGAGGCTTTTGGAAAAGTAATTCAATGTTGTATATTAAGAAGTGTGAATCACCGTATATCAAATGGTAGATTGTCTCAGGGAAAAACTGACATTCAGAGTGTATTTTTTGTATAATTAGTTTTATTTCTGCATAATTTATAATGTTGAAATTTTTAATGTCACTATTCACTCTTAGGAGAAGATTGCAATTGTGATATAATTACTCTGATAGATATTAACTCCAGTAGATACTGTCCAGTCATATACGAACACTACATATTGCAAACCGAAGAGATGTAACACAGAAGATTGGTTAGAGGTGGCAAAGGGTTACAGGGAAGGCTGGAGAAGTGGGCAGGGGAGTGTTGTCATCCAAGGACCAAGAGTCCTCACCACTGGAGCCCCATGTGCCCCTCACTGCTGAGCTGATGGGAACTCTGCACTCCAGGGCTGCTGAGAGAACCCTGCCCTGGTGATGTGCAGCAACCCAGATGCCTGCATCTCCCCAATACGACTGAAACTGCCTCTCAGGTGCTGAAGTCTGAGGCCCCCCATGGTCCCTGTTGCTTATAGCTGCTGACCCACACCCCCATCAGAAACGGAAAAAAGTAGTTTACTTCTTCCTCTCACCCTGCAGTGTCCACCCACAAGGGCCTGCACTCTCAGAGCCTTACGAAAAGTGAAGTAGCAAAGAAGTCAGGACAAACCACGTGCAGGCTGCAGCACTGTGGGTCAGAGACTCCAGCCCTCAAACGTGCACCTAAAAACAGGACATTGTCTAGACAAAGGTGGTCATGAAAAGACCTCCATGATGTAGGAAAATGATCAACATTTTTCCAGAGCACGTCTTTAGAGAAAAGTTCAGAGGAATTTGGCTGCAAGATCTAAGATGGCGGTGCAGTTTCTTCTGTCTTCTTCCCTGTTTTATTCCAACAGCCTAATACAGGGTATACACTCAATGAATATTTGTAGTTTAAAGGGAAGATATAACATGTAAAGTATCATTTTTGTCTGGTTTATTACATTAGAGTCGATTTTAAAATTTTTATTCAACCAGTTTTACTTTAGATTTTTCTATGACTTTAATGACAGTATTTAAAACAAAAACAAAGATAAAAATCAAATGCAACACTAAAGCAATAAAGATTGCAAGTGAGTGAGAGGGAAACAGACTACAATCGGTCCTAATGAAGAGGGAGAAAGATGAAGATATGAAGATGACTCCAATTTTAGTTTTAATCAAGGTACTGATTTGTGGAGGTATCTTTGACACATCAGTTGACCTCTGAGTTTCAGATTCTATACCTGTGAAATGTTAGAATAAAAATAACAATATCTTACAACATTTACTTGAATATTAAATGAAGATCACACATATATATGGAATATATTTTATAATGTGGAAAAGGCTAAGGCTGTATATGAACTAACTCCTACATTTCATAAATAAGATTTTGATGATGATGAGATTTGAGATTACTATTACTAATATTGGTTAAAAGTTTGCATTTCATAACAGAGGTAAAAATTGTAAAAGCTATTAGAAGAAAACCAGAATTGTTCAGGAGAGATACCTACTGACTTCTTTAGCTCTCTTAATTGCATTCTTCTTCAACTCCCAGAGGTGATGTATCAACCGAAAGCTTTCAACCCCTCCCCTAGTGCACACGGTAAAACCAGGCAGGTCACTTTCTTACTCCTGTTGGTGCTCTTAACCTGGCCACACACCACCAGCCCATCTAGGTGAGGTTCAAGACATCATCTGATGGTGAGTTCAGCCAGACAGACAGGAGGTACTAGCAGGAAGAAAAGGGTCATCACTGCTCTCGACTTGTTCTGCTTCTGAAACGTTCTATTAGTTCTTCACAGCATTTCCTCATTTTTTCTTTATCATCTGTTTTTAATGGAGAAAAGCAAATGTTATTCTTTCTTATAACTTCTATACAACACTTATTTACTGTGACATAATGGTAAATAGATTTTTAATTTCCAATTATTTATGGACATAATAATATATATTCTATAGTTTTAGATTTTCATACAATGATGTATTTATTTTCCTGTCACTGAAGTTTTATAGAGGAAAAGTGACTGATTTTCTTTTGAGAGGGGATGATTTCTGAGGGTTACAAAACACTAGAAACAATGTCTCAATCATTTTATGTTTCTTTGATGAAACCCACAGACAGTGGCCTAAATCCAAAGTGTAGACTGCAGAGGGAGGATGGTGTCCCTGAGAGGAATCAGGCAGAGTTACGTGCGCTGGCTCTCTCTCTCGGGCTGAGACGTGCGTTCTATCTCAGGTTAGGTGTGTGATATTAGGCAGGTACCCTGAGAACCTGCATTTTTTAATATGTAAAGAGAGAAAATAATAGGAAGTAACTCATAGGCTCTTGGGAAAGAAGAAATGTAAAGTATTAATTTTAGTATTAGTATTAGAACAATTCCTGGGATGCTGTATGCTTCAAATAAAGATTTGACTCCATTTATACTTACAATAAATCCCCAAGTTAAACATGCATTAAGCAATTTACATGAAAGTCAAACAAGCGGGTACAGAAGAAGAATGAACAGGGGGCCAGTTCACTGTGTGTGGATAGTGTTCCCTTATCTGTCCCGTGTCCTGGTTGAGCTGTTGATAGTGGCTTAATGATAGTGGCTTAATGATAGTGATGGCCATTTCCTAAAGAGCAGCAGAGATTTCTTAGGAAACCCCGCATCTCCCTGCCCTCCTGCTCCCCCTCAATTTACTGAGCAAACACCTTTTAGGTCTTCACATGTGCTGGTCGCTCCTCTGGTCCTTGCTTCACTTTGGCCACAAATAATGGACGAGGTCAGCAGGTGTGTTTTGCAGTTTATTGGAATGTTTTTAAATTGTACACAGATCTCAGCCACCATTTGCCAGTAGGGGTAGTGTTTGATACACATTATCTATCTATCTATCTATCATCATCATCTATTCATATATATACATATGTACATAAAATGTGTCTCAGATTTGTTGGATATTTATATTAAAGCACCGAAGCATCCCAGAATGTTGGAAGTTTTGGTGAGTTGAATGTCTTAAATACTTTTTGTAATTACTACAAGAATACAAAATATATTTGAAACTTGTAAATTCATTCCAAAATGTCCCTGCATCATAATCACAGCTAAAGTCTTCCCAGAAAGAGGAGTTATTATGTCCTTATTCTTGGCAAGGGCTCTCAAAATTTAACATTTAATATGTCAGAAGTTGAAAAGTTGGAAAGTTTTAATTTCTTTCAGAGAAAATGTGGAAACAGCTATTATGGATTATTTCAGAACGGCCAGATATATTTTGTGTCTATTGCCCTTATTTATTTTGTAACTATTTAAAAATTCAACTTCAAATCACATTTACATAATAGTTGTTCCCTGAATAGACTGACTGTGACCTCCTTAAGTGCACTCAAGTTCAATTTTTCTTTGATTCATCTTCTGCATATAACACAGAGGCTGTGAGTATCATGATAGAGAAGGAAACAGTGAGTTGAAGTCAGAGGCGATTCATCGTCAGTATAACACAGGCTGTGAGTGTCACGGTAGAGGGAGAAACAGTGAGTTGAAGTCAGATGCCTCAGTGTTGTTTGATTTTCCTCCCTGCTTCTCAGTTTGTATGAAAGATTGATTGTGGCAAGTAATAAAGCACATGAGGTTTGCAAAAACAACTAAAGCCTTGTCTGATAAACAGCAGTGACCCTCCAAATTCTAGTTCTTCCTCGCTGAGATTTAATGAGCTTTAAAATGAGAGGAGCTTTAAGGAGATGAGGTTGGAGGACCACATACTAGGCAGGAAGGACATAGGAGTCTCCAAAAAGCTCTGCATAACCAGGGTTAAAATAAGAAATGTTATAGTTATATATTCACCTGTGTATGTTTACATAAATATATTATATATATTTATATAAAACCAGAGTATTTACACATAAACACACAAATATAAAATCCAAATTGTTTTTTTTTAAAGTGGGTCATATGCTTTATTTTGCAGAACTTCTGCCATTTTTATTTTGAAAGTCAGCTTCTTAAATGTATGAATAGGTACTGAATCTGGAGAATGGAAGTAATATATCTTATATAATAATAGTAGCAACAATCTCTTAGGTTGTGCAGAATAGTTAGCTTAAAGAGTTAACATCTACACTAAGAGTATATGTGTTTATTCATCGGAAACTGTACTATTCTAAGCACTTTCATTACATTTCCTCATTTTACCCTCACCACACCTGAGCTCAAACATGATTTTTATCCTTTTTGATGTAGATTGGAGAAAGGAATGGCAGACAGAGAAAAAGGTGGACCCATAGCTGGAGTCTACTGTGTGTGGGCTCCTCACTTCACGTCTCTCGATGTCTAAAGGGTCAGCTGTGTGTGAGGACCCTTCCCTGCTCATGAGAATGTGAGGCTCGCTCCACGCAATCACAGAGCCTCACAGCATGGCCTGATCCTATGGGAGGAGGAGGTTCAAACATCTGGCATAATTTTTTTTCCAAGTTACGCTTTAGTTACTTGCTAAATCTTTCTTATATCATATATACCTCTGAGTATTTTGAAGATGCCTATTGTTTCTTAAACCAGCGATGTTGATTCAATTCAGCTGTCTATGACAAAAACTCTACAATAAGGAGTTTGCTTTATCTTTCTTTCAATGAGTCACTGTTTGTGTTAGCAGAGGAGGGAGGTTCTGCAAATTTTCAGTACTTGTTGATAAATGGCATTATCATCAGGAAAGTTTATGAATTTGAACCGTGACAACCTTACTATCAGTTACCAATTCTTCTGGCCTATAGTTGTGAATTCTTAGTTTGTTTTGTGAATTTGTTATATGTCATTTATATACTCAAATCCCCAGACCCACGGGACTCAGGTTAGCACAATGAGCATACACAAATGTGAGTACTCACGAAACACTCATTACAAAGGGACGCGTTACACTGACTCCAAAACTCTCCTTGGTGGCCTAGGTGAAACCTCATGGCCAACATCACCAGGATGGCCAACCACACTGGAAAGTTGGATTTCATCCTCATGGGACTCTTCAGACGATCCAAACATCCAGCTCTACTTAGTGTGGTCATCTTTGTGGTTTTCCTGAAGGCGTTGTCTGGAAATGCTGTCCTGATCCTTCTGATACACTGTGACGCCCACCTCCACAGCCCCATGTACTTTTTCATCAGTCAATTGTCTCTCATGGACATGGCGTACATTTCTGTCACTGTGCCCAAGATGCTCCTGGACCAGGTCATGGGTGTGAATAAGGTCTCAGCCCCTGAGTGTGGGATGCAGATGTTCCTCTATCTGACACTAGCAGGTTCGGAATTTTTCCTTCTAGCCACCATGGCCTATGACCGCTACGTGGCCATCTGCCATCCTCTCCGTTACCCTGTCCTCATGAACCATAGGGTCTGTCTTTTCCTGGCATCGGGCTGCTGGTTCCTGGGCTCAGTGGATGGCTTCATGCTCACTCCCATCACCATGAGCTTCCCCTTCTGCAGATCCTGGGAGATTCATCATTTCTTCTGTGAAGTCCCTGCTGTAACGATCCTGTCCTGCTCAGACACCTCACTCTATGAGACCCTCATGTACCTATGCTGTGTCCTCATGCTCCTCATCCCTGTGACGATCATTTCAAGCTCCTATTTACTCATCCTCCTCACCGTCCACAGGATGAACTCAGCAGAGGGCCGGAAAAAGGCCTTTGCCACCTGCTCCTCCCACCTGACTGTGGTCATCCTCTTCTATGGGGCTGCCGTCTACACCTACATGCTCCCCAGCTCCTACCACACCCCTGAGAAGGACATGATGGTATCTGTCTTCTATACCATCCTCACTCCGGTGCTGAACCCTTTAATCTATAGTCTTAGGAATAAGGATGTCATGGGGGCTCTGAAGAAAATGTTAACTGTGAGATTCGTCCTTTAGGAAATTATAAAGTAGGAAATTTGGATATAAAGATTTATTTTCCTTTTCTCTACCCATCAGATACTTAGGATTTTATCCCTGTTATTCCTTAGACTCTCATACAATGATGCCTCATCTCATATTCATCTCATTTTGAGGAATTCTTTCACTGTGTGGAAACTCTATTTTATAGTCTTTGTCCATCCAAAATTCTTTTACAATTGTGTTATACTAATGTAACATTTTTGGAAGTTGATAACTGTTCTCTAATTTTGTGAAAAAATATTCTTAACCTCAGGAAATACTTAATATTTAGAGACAAAAAGGTCATGAGGTGTTCAAATGATGAGAGGGAAAGAGGGAGGGAGATAGAGAGGGGCAATGAAACAAACTGAGTTCAATGTTGCTGCCACACATGAGTATGGGTAAAGGGTATATAGGTATTAATTGTACTATTGTTTTTTAATGATTTTTGTGAAGTTGAAATCATTTACAAATAATTAAATACCAGGCTTTTCTCCCTTTTTGAAAATATTCTCCTTTCTGCTTGGTGGCAGTGTGACATCTTAGAAATCATGCTCATTTCATTATATCTAATCATTACCAAGAAAATCCAGTCATCGCCCCTTCTTTATTGAGGGCTACATTTTTCTGCATGGTCCAATTCTGATGGCGTCTAGTGGATTTATCTCTCCGAAATAATTACTGCCATGTGGTGTATTGAGGATGTAGGACCACATAAGTGACTGCAGAAAAAATATGACACCTGAGTGGAAGGAGTTTTAAGGAAGGTTACCTGCCCAGGGTGATTCCTGAGCTGAGATTTCAAACATGTAACTTGTTATACAAACAAGCAGAGGGATGGCATCAACATTCAATCCTTCATTTATTTAACAAGCATTTTGTACTATTTTATAATTAAAAATAGTTAAATAAGATTAAATTTTGAATAGCACATGGCTTTTACCAAGGAGTTTGAAAAATACATGTAGTTGTTTATGCAAACAAATGTAAGAAAATAAATAAGCTGTTTTGATACTCGTGTGAAGGGTGCAGCTCATAAGGACACACTAATTCTATCTGTGACATCTGAGTTCAAACAAGGAGCTGAGAGGAGACTCCGGGGCTCAGTGCTGAATAGTGACGAAAAGTTACCCTCAGATGAGTGTGTGATGTTGGAGCCAGGGGAACTTGCTGAGACACGCTGCAAGGGAAAAGGCACAGCATGAGCAAAGACAGGGCTGAGCAAGCGAGAGAGATCAATGCCCAGTAGATCTTTCTTATTTCATGTTAGGCTTATTTCTTGCCCTTGTGTGGCCCAGGGTTTTACAAACAATAGTGAAATGATCAGATTTGTATTTTAGAAATGTTATTTGTGTGGTGATCAATTGGAGATGTGCAAGACCAAAAACATAGAGACCAGGTACATGAGAATGGTGATCTAAATGATGTTGATCTAAGTGGAGTCGACCATGCCTTTACCCGAGAATAGGCTGATAGGAGGGCATTTGAGGTGGGGCCTGCTGAACCTGTTACCTAAAAGCATACATGTGGTAGCTGCATGCTATAACTTCCTAATTGGCTATGTACAACTTGCGAATAATCAGGTGTTTTCAACAGTACACATTCTTCTTTTCTCTCACCACACTCAATTATTTTATGACTATAATATAAAGATTCTGTAGTGCTTTGGAAAAATATGAGAGAACTAGTTTTTAATATTTTTCCTGAACTCAGACAATATAAAATGCATACTCTAACTTTGTATGAATTAAAGAGCATTTGTCAACTCTCAATTTGCTGGATTATAATTATAGACACATTTGATGGTTATCTTTAAAACATCCTTGTGAAAGGAAATGTAGCAAAATTTCATGAAAAATGATTTTTGTAGAGCTTTATTGTGCTAAAAATTGTTAGCTGCCTAAAATAACCTGTTATAATATGTTGGTAAGTCTCGTGGTAACTACAAAGCAAAAACCTGTAGTAGACATACAAAAATTTTTAAAAAACAAGGAATCAATGCATACCACTAGAAAAAACATCATTTAACCGTAAAAGAAGATAGTAAGAATGGAAGAAAAGAACAAAGTCTCTAGAAAACAACTGGAAAACTAACAAAATTGTAGCATTAAGTCCCTATGTATCAAAAATTATCTTAAATGTAAATGTATTAAATTATCCAATCAAAAGATATCTGGTGGCAGAATGTATAAAAAATGCCAACTACAACAGGTTACTTTAACCTGCAAGGACATATGCAGACGAAGTGAAGTGGTTGAAAAGGATATCCCATGCAAGTCGTAACCAGAAAAGAGCAGGAGTAGCTATGCTTATATCAGATAAAATAGACTGAAGTCCAGAACTGTAGAAAGAGACAAAGAAGATCATATATAATGATTAAAAAGTCAATTCAACAAAAAGTATATAATAATTGTGACTATGTATGAAACATTAACCTAAATACATAAAGTATTAATAGATCTAAGGGGATAGATAGCAATAAAATAATACTAAGAAACTTCAACACCCCTCTTTCAGCCATGGAAAGACTATCCAGACAGGAGGTAAACAATGAAATAACAGCTTCAAGTTGCACTCTAGGGCAATGGACCTAAAAAGCATATGCAAAACATTTTATTCAGTAGCTGCAGAATACACATTATACTCGATTGCACATGAAACATTTTCTAGGTTAGATCACATGTTTGACCACAAAAAAGTCTTAAAGATAAGAAGTTCAAAATAATATCAATCATCTTTTCTGATCACAGCAGTTTATAAACGAATGCAAGAATTCTCAGAAAGTTTACAAATAAATGGTGATTAAATAATATGCTCCTAAACAATAGATGGGTCAATGAAAAAATTAAAAGGGAAAATAAAAGGTTGTTTGAGACAAATAAAAATGGAAAACTCAACATACCAAAACCTACAGGACACAGCAAAAGCAGTTCAAAGAGGAAGTTTATAGTTTATAGCAATGAATGGCTACATCAATAAAGAAGAAAGACTTCAAATAAGGAAAGGTAATATTGTACCTTAATTAACTAGAAAAACAAGAATAAGCTAAACTCAAAATTAGTAGATACATTAATATTGATTAGAGGAGAAATAAAAAAATGATAAAAACAATGCAAAACATCAGATGAGTTGTTTTGTGAAAAAACAAAATAAACTAGACTAAGAAGGTTCAAATCAGAAATTTACAAAGGATATATTACAACTGAGGCCACAGAAATACAAAAGATTATGAAAGTATAATGAATAATTGCATGTCAAAAATTAGATAAGCTGGAAGACATGAATTGACTGATACATAAATCCTACGATAGTAAATCTTAGCAAACCAATAATGAATAATGCAGTGAAGTAGTAATAAAAGTCTCCCACCAGAAAAAAAAAAAAAAAAGCCCAGGACAATATGGACTCATTGCAAAATTCTATCAAAAATTTAAAGAACTAATACCAATTATTCTCAAACACTTCCAAAAAATTGAAGAAGTGGGAATACTTTCAAATTCATTATACAAGGCCAGAATTATCCTAATACCAAAGCCAGAGAAGGACATGGGAATGAAAAAGGAACTACAGGTCAATATCATTTGGGAACATGGATGTAAAATTCCTCAAAAAATGCTAGAAAACTGAATTTAAAAGCACATTTCAAAAAGCATTCATCATGATAAAATGGGATTCATCCCAGGGATGCAAGGATGCTTCAACAGATGCCAATTAATAAACATCACATAGCACAGTAACAGAATGAATGATACAATTTTATGATTATTTAGGTGGAGAGAAGCATTTGACAAAATTCCAAAACTCTCAACAAATTAGGTATACAAGGAATGTATCTCACCATAACAAAGGCCATATATGATAAGCCTACAGCTGACATAATACTTAATGATGAAATGTTGAAAGCTTTTTCTCTAAGATCCAGCAAAAGACCAGAACGGTCACTCTTGCCACTTTTATGTAACATAGCACTGAAAGTCCCAGCTAAAGCAATTAGGGAAGAAAAATAAATAGAAATGTAAATAGGAAAGGAAGAAGTGACATGTTTCTGTTTGTTAATAAAGTAATATTACATATAAAAAAACATAAAGCCTTCAACAAAAACTATTCCCTAACAAATTCAGGAAAGTTTCAGGAAATCAACAGACAGAAATTGGAGTTTCTATACTCTAACAGCAAACTGTATCTTTAAAAAGTTAAGAAAGACTCATAGAGAGGAGTTATAGCAACAAGATAGATGAATAGAAGATCCTCCAGCATCATTCATCCACACCCACAAAAATAGAACTGGAAACTATTCAAAAACAATAACATCCTGAATTCCCATGAATTCAGGAGAGAAAAAAGAGAAGCTGTGTCTGGTCTTAGAGCAATTAGGTAAAAGAAGGAAACAAAGGCCTCCAAATTGGAAAGAAGGAACTGAAATTTTCCCTGTTTACAGATGACATGGTCATATATTAAAAAAATCCTAATGACACCAGCAAAAACTGTGAGAACTGATAAATGAATTCAGTAAATTTGCAAGATACAAAATCAACATACAAAATTAGCATTTATATATGCCAACAGTGAGCAATCTGAAAGAGAAATAAGGCAATCCCATTTACAAAAACTAAAGTAAATACAAAATAACTAGGAATAAATTTAGCCAAAGTAAAAGATCTCTTCAAGAAAAACTATACAACTCTAATGAAAGAAATTGAAGAGATCACAAATAAATGGAAAGATTCCCCATGTTCGTGGATTAGAAGAATTGATATCATTAAAATGTCCATCTACCAAAAGAGAGCTACAGAATTAAGGCAATCACTATCCGAATACAAAAGATATTCTTCAGAGATAGAAAAAAACAATCCTAAAGTTCATATGGAAGCAAAAAAGACTCCAAATAGCCAATGCAATTCTGAGCAAAATGAATGAATATGTAGGCATCATACTACCCGATATACTACAAGCTATTAAACATCAAAAGAGAATGGTACTGGCATAAAAGCAGACACACAAACAGAAGAGAACCCCTGAGAGTCCAGATATAAATTCACTCATTTATAGTCAACTGATGTTTGACCAAGTTGAAAAGAACATACACCAAGAAAAGCACTACTTCCTCAATAAATGGTGATGCAAAAAATGCATATCCAAATACAGAATGAAACTAGACACTTATTTCACTATTTTAAACTCAAATTGGATTAAAGACTTTAATATCAGATCTTAAACTGTAAAACTTCTGGTAGAAAACACAGGCAGAATGCATCATCACTACATTGATCTGGGCAAGAATTTTTAAAGTAGAACCTCAAAATCACAGGGAAAAATTAAAAAATTAAAAAATGAGATTACATCATACTGAAAGGTTCTTCACAATAACGAAAACAATTCACAGAGTGAATAGATAACATACGAGTGGGAGAAAAGATTTGCCAACAATGCATTTGACAAGGGGTTCATATCCAGAATATATAAAGAACTCAAGTAACTGAGTACCAAAATTATCCCACAAATAATTTGATTTAAAAAATGGGCAAAAGACATCAAAAAACATATTTCAAAAGAAGACATACAAATGGCTAGCACGTATATGACAAAGTGCTCAACATCACTAATCATCAGGGAAAGGCAAACTGCAATGTCTTGGATGGACATGGTATCTTTCACTTTGAAACTGGAGTCCTGCAGGCCATTTTGAATATTGTTCATGTTTCCTAACACACCCAAGTTGGCAGAAGACCCCCTATTTAGGTCTAATACCTGCTGTTTATGCTCAAATAGGCCCAGGCAATACAAGTTTTGGCTATGACTCCAGTTATGTATATTTCTGGAAGAAACAATAGATGGGTATAAAATAAAGTATGGTAGAGTGAAATCATCATACCTGTACAGGAATGTAAATTTGGAGGTCATTTTTCTTATCAGGACACATCACACGGGGAATGTGTTTCTTTAGTAAATGTTGTGTACTCCTTTAGATATACTTATAACAAACCAACGATGCATGGCATCAGGATAAGTTTAGAAATAATTACTAAACGAGATTCCATAGGGTAGAGACAAGAAATTAGATTTTGCCTATGTTCAAGTGGGAGAATACCCATTTCAAATACCCAAGATTATAGAAGAAGGAATGAAAAAGTTTCAACTTTAAGCTGCTGAGGGAAGCTTGAAAAGAATTTAGTCTGACATTTGATATTCTTTATAACCATGTGACTAATTACTCAGATGGTACTTAGGAATTAAGAAAAGTCATTAACCTACAAAAAGCCCGAAGTATAAGAAAACACAGTTAAAGGTGTGTTTTTTAATTGTCTTTGCTGGATTCGGTTAGTTCAATAGCCTTGTCTTCAAGCTCTGAACTTGTTTCTTCTACTTGTTTGATTCTATTTCTGAGATTTTCCAGTGTATTTTGCATTTTTCTAGTGTGTTCTTGATTTCCAGCAGTTGTGATTGTTTTTTATTTATGCTATCTGTTTCTCCGGAGATTTTTCCATTCATGTCCTGTAACACATTTTTAAATTTAAGTTGGTATTCACCTTTCTCTGGTACTTTGTTGAGTAGCTTAATAATTGACCTTCTTAATTCTTTTTCTGGCAATTCAGAAATTTCTCCTTTGTTTGAATCCATTGCTGGTGAGCTAGTGTGATCTTTGGGGGTGTCAGAAAACCTTGTTTTGTCATATTTTCAGAATGGTTTTCCTGGATTTTTCTCATTTGGGTAGACTATGTGAGAGGGAAGTTCTGGGGCTAAAGGGCTGCTGTTGAGATTCTTTTGTCCCATGGGGTGCTCCCTTGATGTGGTGCTCTACCCCTTCTTCTAGGGATGGGGGTTCCTGAGAAACAAAGTGCAGAGATTGTTATTTCTCTTCCACATCTAACCACCCAGCGAAGCTACTGTGCTCTGGTACTGGCTGGTACCGGAGAGTGTCTGCAAAGAGTC
The DNA here is from genome assembly GCF_000001405.40 of Homo sapiens. NCBI lineage: Eukaryota > Metazoa > Chordata > Mammalia > Primates > Hominidae > Homo > Homo sapiens. The sequence continues at coordinate 144,443 of NW_025791755.1, forward strand.
TTGTGGTATGATCTGTCTTCAGGTCTCTCAGCCATGGATACCAGCACATGCTGTGGTGGAGGGAGCAGGGGAGTGAAGTGGACTCTGTGAGGGTCCTTGGCTGTATTTTTGATAAGTTTGCTGGTTGGTCTCCAGCCAGCAGTTGATTCTTTCAAGAGTTGCATCAGCTGCAGTAGTGTAGGGAAGATACGAGCTTGCCTTAGGGTTACCTGGATAAGTATCCAGATTTCTCAGGCAATGGGCCGGGCCTCAGAGCTCCCATGAGATTATGTCCTTTGTCTTTGGCTCCCAGGGTGGGTAGAGAAAGGCCAAGAGGTGGGGGCAGTGTTAGGCGTGTCTGAGCTGAGACTCTCCTTGGGCGGGGCTTGCTGTGTGGCTGCTGTGTGGGATTGGGGTGTGGTCCTCAGACTGATGGAGTTATGTTTCCACGGGGATTATGAGTGCCTCTGCTGGGTCATGCAGGTCACCAGAGAAGGGGGGGAACGGGCAGTTACATGCTTCACTCAGCTCCCAGGCAGCCCAAAAGGCCAGTCTCACTCCCACCTTGTGCCCCCAGTAGCACTGAGTTTTTTCCAGGCAGCTGGTGAGCAGGGCTGAGAACTTGCCCCAGGCTACAAGCCCCTCATGAAGAAAGCAAGCAGGGCTTTTAGGTTTCATGCCTCTCTGCCTGCCTCAGCTTCTGAGCTTGTATCTGCACTCCCAGTTTGCCCCCTCCCCCAGGTTCTGTCCAGGAAGCTTCACGTTAGTCAAGATTATTACAAAATTCATCTGAAAGCTTGCTTCTCCTTGTAGTCTTTCCCCAATTCCACTGGCAGCCCTCCCAAAGGACCCCTGCAAGACAAAGTCCGAAATGGTTTCCCACAGGGCTCTTCTTGTTGTTTCCTCTACTCGAATATTTTGCTTGGCTCTCTAAATTCCTCTTAGCTCCGCGTAAGATTAAATCCTTTTCCCACCATGTGGACCGTCAGGTTCCCCAGTGAGGATCTGTGCTTGGGGGTGGAGCATCCCCCTTTTACACTTTCACACATTTTGGCACTCAGTCTTTGGCACGGAGCCTACAGTGGCCGCCACCTCCTTCAAAGGGTCTTTGGATTCTCTTGGCTTTCCTGGTATGTCCTATGGTAGTTCTTGGAGCAAAAGTTCACAGCGTGAATCTCCACATGCTGCTCTGTCCATCCAAGTGGGAGCTGCAAGTTAGTCCTGCCTCCTATCTGCCATCTTCCTCTTCTGGAGTCCACGAAAAGGATTATAAACAAACTATTTTGTTGGGAGTAATAATGTGGTCCTGGCCTAGTGTGAAGTGAAGCTCACTCCAGGCCATTTCTCTCAAGCTGTGTTAATTTGTACCCTTCAGCAGTTTATGAGAGGTTCATTTCCATAGGCCCCCACATCTACAACTAGGGGATTTCATATATCTAATCTGAGCAGGGACATTGGTTCTACATGGAGACAGTGCAGAGATGAGCTGTGCTTGAGGCCTCACCTGTAGGTGGTAGGGTCTAGACCGGGAGACAGGCATTGGCCAACAGAAATAAAGGACACAAAGTGATGTCCTTCTCCACTCACTTCAGCTTTTCTTCAACACTATTTCAGATGCTTCCTTCCTGGCTTAGCTCTTCATTCAAGGTGAGATATTATGGGAACAGGATTGTGGGGGCAGGTGGCCCCAGGTATGGAGACTAAGGGGAGGTGTACATGGCAAGAGAGAAGCCAGAATATGGGGATGAGAAAGGAACAAGCTGTCTGTGGTAGTCATCCATGATTGAGATGATGTGTGGACCCTGAGTCAGACTACCTGGTTCAAATGCAGGCTCTCTACTTTTTACCCATTTGATCTTGGCCTGTGGCTCTCTACTTCTTATCCATTTCATCTTGGACTTGTGGCCTCTCATACCTCATCTTCCTTACAGTCCTCCATATGAAATCCCCCTAAAGTAGGAACAAAGCTTTGGCCAACTGCTCCTCCCATCTTTCCGTGGTCTTTACTTAGGAACTGTGTGTTTAATATACGTGACACAGGGTTTCTCCCACATCCCTGAGCAGAAACAAGCTGTGTCTGTATTTTGCACTGTACTCACCCCCATGCTAAACCCCCTCATCTACATCCTGAGAAACAAGGATGTGGTGGGGCTCTTCAGAAAGTTCTGGGAACACATCAAGTCTCTAAACAGAACACATAAATATCAATGTGGAAAACAACGGTAGAGGGCCAAGATGCAAAGACTTCAGGAGCATCTCATTTTCCAGCATGAGGAATGTTGCTCCATCGTATGAGAAAACCATTTGGTTCAATTTAATTTGAAATATTAATTTGCTCATAAAAAGCTTAAGGGCTGGGTGCGGGGGCTCATGCCTGTAATCCCAGCACTTTGAGAGGTCTAGGCTGGCAGATCATTTAAGGTCAGGAGTTTGAAACCAGCCTGGCCAACATCGTGAAGCCCTTTCTCTACTAAAAATAGAAAACTTAGCCAGGCACGGTGGTAGGTACCTGCAACCCCAGCTACTTGGGAGGCTGATGTGGGAGAATCACTTGAGCCCGGGAGGCGGAGGTTGCAGTGAGCAGAGATCTCACCACTGCACTGCAGCCTGGGACACAGAGCAAGACTCTGTCTCAAAAATAAATAAATAAATAAATAATGAAAAGCTTAAGAACTTTTTATCTAGTTTCTAACCATTGTTTCAAAATGGCTGAACTCAACTGTGTTTCTCCTTGAAGCTAGATGATAAGCATAGACAAAGTTCCAGTCTTCTCTCTTTTTACCTGCTTTAGCCATTTCTCAGTATCCTTTGAAGCTCAACTCTGTCCAGGTATTGCTAATCTCCATTGTTGTAAGCATCAGCTTCCTAGGAAAGACAAAAGTGTGATTTCTCAGGGGCAATAATAACACAATAGATTTTCTTTTCTCTTGATTGCTCTGGAAATCCCAACATGTTGGCTCTATTCTCTTATCCTGTCTCGGGTGGAAACTTCTGGTGATTCTCAGATAAGCAATAACTCAGCTGATATATAATACAAGAAGATTTTCTCTTCTATAATAAATACAGCAAGCCTTGAGTAATAGTACGTAATCTGTGGGTGAGCAAGGAACAATAGGCTTCTCTCTTGACTTTGTAAGTTCCTCCCATTCTCACTAGCTCTAGATGCTTACTCTTCCTCGAGTCAGTGCAGGTGGAACTCAGGGGATAGAGTGGAAGTAGGGGCTAGAAAAGCCCTACCTACCTTCCACCAATACAGAGAAGCTTCCCTTCAATTTTTGGTGGTTTGATTATAATATGTCTTAGGGGTAGTTTTGTTTGGATTGAATCTGATTGGTTACTTTTTACCTCACTGTACCTGGTTATTTATATCTTTTTCCAGGTTTGAAAAGTTTTCTATTATTTCTTCATATAAGCTTTCTACTCCTTTATCATTTCAACTCCCTTATCTCCAATGACTCAAAAATTTGCTGTTTTGTTGCTGTCCAGTAAATCTCATGTTTCCTTTATTATTTTTCATTCTTTTCTCTTCTCTATTTTCATATAACCTGTATTTGAGTTCACAGATTCATTGGCTTGATCCATTCTGCTGTTGATGGTCTCAACTGCAGTTTACATTTTGTTCATTATATTTTGCAGCTTTAGAATTTGTTTGATTTTTAAGTTATTCCAATATTTGCTAAGTTTATCATTGTGGTCATATTATTTTTATCGTTTGTTTGAATAGTTTCTGTGTATTTTCTTGAAGTTTGCTGAGCTTCCCTAAGACTGTTATTTCAAATGCTTTGTCAGGTAGTTTATGCATCTCCATTTGTTTGCTTGGTGATGTATGCTTCCTTGATTTCTCTTGCGTCTGCAGTCATGCATCTAATATAATAGGTACTTATTCCAGTCTTTGCAGACTTGTTTTATCCTGAAACATTCTTCAATAGTAAGCCTGTCTAGAGATTCTGAGCAGGTTGTCTGGTGTGGTCCCTAAGCTCTAGTTTGCTGTGGTGGGGGCAGCCCTAGGTGGTGCCCTAAGCCTGGGACTGCCACGACTGGTGCAGTGCAGTGCTGTAATCCCATGGCCACTGGAACTGGTGTGGGTCCCAGATGATATCCTGTGGCCACTGGGGCTGGTGCAGCACTGATGCAAGTCTGAAGCCCATGTTCACTGAGGCCTGCCTGCCAGTGGATACTTTCCAGAGCTTAAGGCCACTCTGGGTGGGTGGCAGTGATGATGACTGCAAATTAATTCTGCTTTGCATGGTTTCTGCCTAGTGTTGGTGTAGATCTGGAGGCTCGGTCTTTGTGTACTGGCCTGGAGTCAGTGGTTGTGGGGGCTGCCTGGTTTTCAGTTTTTCTGTAGTGGGCCTAGTGTTGGGCACCAAGACCAAGTCCCACACTTACTTCCCTTTTTATTCCCCAAGTGTTTGGTATCTCTCCCTGCACTGTGCTGTCTGAGGTTGGGGATAAGAAATGCAGGTAATCAGAACTCTCCTTCCTGCCCTCTTCAATGTTTATTATTTTATCACAAGAAGAAAATAGTATAACTAGGTACAATGATCTCTCACATGGCTTTACTAGCTTTTGTGAAGGTATGTAGTGTAAGAATAGTTATTAAAATTGATGTTTCTATGGGGATACAATTGTTAAAGAATTCCGTTCTGCCAGCTTTCCCACTCTCCTCTCTTTTCACTTTTTTGATTGAGACCTTTGAAGCACAAAAATTTTGAAGTTAGATGAGGTCCAATTATTTATTTTCTTATTGCTCGTTCTTTCGGTATCATGCTAAAAAAAATGCTAAACTTAAGGTCTTGAATATTTAACTTCATCTTTTCTCATATTTTTATAATTTTACTTCTTATGTTTAGGTCCCTGATCAATTTGAGTTTAAGTATGATTTGTAATGCCACTTCATTCTTTTGTTTGTGGATATCTTCTTGTCTGAGCACAATTTGTTAAAGTGAGTATTCTTTTCCCATTGAATGGACGTGGCACACTTGTCAGATGATTATTGACCATAGACACATGCGTGTATTTCTCATTAGATTCTCAATTGTCTTCTATTTATTTATGCATATATCCTTATTCTGTTATCAGGCTTTTAAAATTAGTGTATCTTTTTGGCAAATTTTGTACTCAGGAAGTGTAAATCTTCCAACTTTGTTTTTCTATTCAAGGTTGTTTTGGATTTTGCAGTCGCTCGTAATTTCATATGATTTTTAGTGTTTTCTACTCTTGCAAAAAAAAAAAAAAGGCATGGAATTTTTATAGGCATTGTATTGAACCTGTGGATATATTTTGGTTGTATTATCTTAACCACAAGTCTCCCAATCCATTAACATGCGATGTTGTTTCATCAGTTTATGTTTTATTTGCTATTAGCAGTGCTTTGTAATTTTCAGTGTGTTGTTTAACACTACTTTAAGTTTCTTCTTGAGTAAGTGTTGGTAGTTTCTGTGTTTCCAGGATTTGGTTTTCATCTCACTGAAGGTATCTAGTTAGTATTCAATTATTTGTAATATTCTCTTATAATTGCTTGTGTTTCTGAAAGGCTAGTTGTTATGTACCCATGTTATATTCATATTTATGTATTCATGATGTAAGACTTCTCTCTTTCTCTCTTTGGTAAGTTTACCTAAAGTTTTCTATATTTTGTTGATCTTTTGAAAGCTCGAAATAGTCAAATTGTTTTTTCTATTCTGCATTTTATTAATCTCTATTCCAATACTTTTTTTTCCTTCTGTTTGCTTTGTATTGAGTCTGCTCTTCTTTTTCTAGTTCCTTAAGGTGTAAAAATATATTATTGTTTTTAGATGTTTCTTCTTTTTTTGAGTATAGGCAATCTAGCTAAAATTTTCCTTCTAAGAGTTGCTTTAGCTGCATCCTATATGTTTTGTTATGTTTTAAGTCATCTGAATATATTTTCTAACTTCATTTCCAATTTCTTTTTTGACCCACCGGTGCTTCACAGTGTGGTGTTTAATCCCCACATATGTGTAACTTTTGTAGTTCTCCCTCTATTTCAGATTTCCAGTTTTATTTCATTGATTGGAAAAGATACTTTGAATTAAATCTTTTAAAATTTAGTCTTATTTGTTTTTGGCAATTTATCCTGGAGAATGTGTTATTAGTACTTGAGAAGCATCTATACTCTGCTATTTCAGTATTCTCCACATATATATTAGGTCATTTGGTTTATAGTGCTGTTCTAGTCACTTACTACTATATTAACATTCTGTCTAAGTGCACTATGCATTATTGAAAATGGACATTTAAGTATTGAACTATAAGTACAGAACTGTTTATTTCTTCCTTTAATTCTGTCCACCTTGGCTTCATATATTTTGGGTCTCTGTTACATTCATTCATGTTTACAATTTTTATATCTAAAGATCTATATTACATTCTCCAAGGAAGATACACAAATGATCCCAAACAGTATACGATTTTTTTTTTACTTATAAAAATTTTTGTCATAAACTCACTTTGTCTCACATTAACATAGCCACTCTGGCTATCTTTCGGTTACCAACTGCACGAAGTATCTGTTTATCTTCATGTATAGTATATGATAAAATGTTATATTCACAGATAAAACAATTTAAAGTATAAAATTATGATTCAATATGCTTTTTAATTTCCTTGAACACTTTCTTTTCTTCTAAATCTATTTTCTTTATTCCTTTATAGTTTATTATTTTCATATGCTTAATAAATTCAGGAATGACAAAGTTGAAATACAACCAACTACATAGAAGTACAAAAAACCCTAAGGGACTATTATGAACACCTCTCTGCAGACAAACTAGAAAACCTAGAAGAAATATATAAATCCCTCGAAACAAGGAATTTATCTATTTCTCCACCCAAGATTATTTAACCTCCTGACATTAAGCCAGGAAGAAATTGAAATCCTGAACAGACCAATAATGGGTTCTGAAATTAAGTCAGTGATTAAAAAAAACCTACCAACCAAAACAAGCCCTGGACCAGACGGATTAACAACCAACTCCTACCAGACATATAAATAAGAGTTGGTACAAAATCTTCTGAAATTATTTTAAAAATTGAGAAGGGAATACTCTCTAAGTCATTCTGTGAAGCCAGCATCATTCTGATACCAAAATTAGGCACAAATACGACAAAAAAAAGTAAAGTTCGGGCCAACATTCCTGAGGAATATAGACACACAATCCTCCACGAAATACCAGCAAACCAAATCCAGCAGCACATCAAAAAGTGAATTCACCACGATCAAGTAGGCTTTATTTCTGGGATGCAAGGTTGGTTCAACAAGTGCAAATCAGTAAATGTGATTCACCACATAAACATAATTAAATACAAAAATCACATGATCATCTCAATAGAAGCAAAATGATTTTTCATAACATTCAGCATCCTTTCTTCTTAAAAACCCTCAATATACTGGGCACCAAATGAACTTATCTCAAAAAAATAAGAGCCATCTATGACACACCCACAGCCACCATCATACTAAACAAGTAAAATCTGGAAGCATTCCTCTTGAGAACTGGAACAATTTGAACAATTCAGTTTTCAATTTCTCATCAAAAATTGTGTTGACATGATTGATTGAAGTATTTTATCCCCCTTTCTCCCAAATACCAGGCCACAGACAGCATGAAATATTTTAAATAAACATTAAAATAAATAAGTCCAGATTGGTCATTAAATCGAGTATTTTTTTTTTATTGTATAAACTCAAGATGTACAACATGTTTTGATGTAGATATCTATAGTGAAATAATTACCACATGCTAGCAAATTAACACATCCATCACTGTCTGCAGTTTACTTTTTTGTGATAAAAACACATATAATCTAGTTATTCTCTTAGCAAATTTGTAATGTATAATAAAATAGAACTATAGTCCTTCTGTTGTACATTAGATCTCTAAATATCTTTATGTTACATAACTGTAATTTTGTCTTCTTTTACCTACATTATCCCAATTTGTCTACTTCCCTGACTCTGGCAACTGCCCTTCAACTCCCTATTTATCTTACTCAATTTCCATTTATTTTACACATAAATGAGCTCATGCTGCATTTTTCTTTCTGTGCCTGACTTGTTTCACTTGGCATATTGTACTCCATACTTTAAAATTTATTAAGCTTAAAGAATTAAACAAGTAAGCTCTAGTTGCCTAAGAAGTTAATGTACCCAGAAATATAAATTTCTCAACAATCATGGAAAATGTGTTACAACTATATCTTCTTTCAAGTAGGTCTTGTAAATATTTTCTGTATTAATACTGACTATGCTCTCGTTTGGTTGTCATTCTATTCTGAGTTTTTAACCCTCTTGTTTAACCCAATCTCTCCTCCTCAAAAATGAATAAATGCATTGACTCAAGAAACATTTATTTTTGAGCGTCTGTTTTGGAATAGGTGCTATATTTTAGGCATTGGAAAGACACTAGTGATAAAAATGGTAAAATGCTTTATCTCCTGGATCTTACATTCTATGGTAGAGAAGAGATAATAATCGCAAAAAAACTATCAGGAATGATAAACATTATAAAGAAGAGTAAAATAGGGTGTGTAGGAGATAATTACTGTTTTATATTCACTGCTCAGAGATGTCTTCTCTGATAATCAAGAGAGCAGAGAAGAGAGACCTAAATCAGTTGAAGAAATGGGTCACAACGTATCGGAAAAGAGACCACCAGGCAGAGAGAATAGTAATCTTTTTTTCTTTATTCAGTGTATTAAATGCATTGTGTTTATTGATATACCCCATTAGTTTAATCATATTCCCTCACACTTTGTTATTACCTTTATTTTAATTGCCATTTTTAAATTTTTGTGATGAACAAATAAAATTGTATATATTTATCATGTACAATGTGATATTTTAAAATATGTATATTGTGTGGAATGGGTAAATTGAGGTAATTAACATATGCATCACCTCACATACTTATAATTCTTTGCAGTAAGAAGACAAAATCAACTCTTTGCCTTTATTTCAAAATTATTTCATTGTGTGGTATTTAATATTTTCTATTTAACAAAATGTGTATATTATGTACAAATACCTATGCATAAAACATATTTTATAAGACTAAAATATCCTTAATTTCCCTCTCTTTACACAGTATCTACTAGTTTCCTAGCATAAGGAAGAACAGAAAATATTTCAGAAGATATGTCTATTCTCCTTTCCTTCATCATTCAATTGTAGCCAATATGTTTACACTAGTGCTTATCACTATTTCTTTACACTTGCTTTTATATTTTCTCCATCATCTTTATTATTTTACAATCACTCACAAGCCACGGAGCAGCCATTCAGCTTCGTCCCCATCACTCCCTTTAAATTCTCTCCTGACTCAGGGTGATTCCCATTTCACATCTTTCTGTTGGCCGATTGTCGTCTCTTTTTAGTGGGTCATCAGTTCTCTGAACCGTCATATTTCTGTTTTAAAATGTTTTCTCATTTATAAAACTGCTTTATTAAGGATTTGGGGTTGTAGAGTATTTGAAGTTTATATCAGTATTTAGCTCCGATTTAAGGCAATAATTTTGGGGTAGATTTATTTTTTTTCTATAGTATTTTTGGAAAGACGTTGCATTTTCTAATTTCATTTTTAAGAATTTGATTTGCCTTTCCAGTTGTTACCAGGTGGATTGCATAGGGCTTGCAGGCATTGGGGAATATTCTTGTTTCTCAAGCCCTACAGCTTCATTGTATGCATTCCTGCTGTCTTCTCCATGTTCATTTCTACCACCTTCCTATTCGTGGTTATGCCTGGGATGGTGACCCCCTTAGTTTAGGCAAGATTGTCCTGTTATCTCCACCACTTCTTTCCCAGGTATACTCCCTGCATCTATCTCTTCAATAATCCTCAGATTGCTACCTGGCTCCGTGTTCATCAGGCTTGGGTATAGCAGTTTACACTTGTGAGAGGACCCTCTCCTTCTTGGGGAATAATATTTCCTGGTATTTTTTATCATTACCACCACCAGTGACCTTGACTGGGTCTCTTCTCTGCCGGACTTCCTGCTTCCAATATGGAGTTTCTGTACCAATTCTGATGAGTGTCCGTGACTTTCTTCCCCTTCCTTACATGTAATTTATAGTTGATGGATTGCCTTTGTCTCCTGATTTCAGTGAAGGAATCATTTGTGCTTTTTTCATTTTTTTTGTCTTGGATGTTTATTATATCATTGGAGAATTAAAGTAGGATAAAAAGATTGGAAGACTATCTAAAAGTTTGTATCAGCAACTAGGACTCCCTTATGTATGTTTGAACAGTTTTGTTCTGTTTGCTTTTGTGAGAAATGAGATGAATTGATGTGCAAAGTGTTATTAGTTAGGGTGCCTCAATATAGGCCCAGGAAACATTGGAACACCAAAATGGATGGAGCAGACATGAGCAGAACACAAAAAAGAAATAAACAGCAATATGATAATAGTAGGGGATTATAATACCCCACTCTCAACACTCATAAACAACAAATGGACCCAAAAATAAAGACAATTTAAAAATATCCTGAGACAAACAAAAATGGACAAATAACATACCAAATCATGGGGTACAGCAAAAGTAGTTCTGATAGCTACTGAGACAGAGAGAGAAATGATCCCAAATAAGCAACCTAACTTGGCACTCTGGGAATTAGAAAAGAAGAAAAAAGCCAAAAGTTAGAAGAAAGAAGAAAGTTATAAAGGTTAGAGCAGAATTAAACAGATAAGAAAGACAAAAGAAAAGATCAGTAACACGAGGAGTTGGTTCTGTAAAAACGTGAGGAAAATTGGCAAACCTTTAGGTAGACAAACCAAGAAAACTAAGAGAGATGACTCAAATAAAACTATAAGTAAAGCAGGAGAAATTAGTCAATACTACCAAAATACAAAGGGTCATAAGAGATTATCATGACCAATTATGTCAATAAATTGAGTAACGTAGAAGAAATGGATAAATTCTTAGACATGTATGTCCTGAAGAAAGAATAAACCTGAACAAATTAATAACTAGTACAGAGATTAAATCACCAATAATAATAATAATAAACTTAAAAGTTCAGGACTTGATGCTTTTACTGGTGATTGCTACCAAATATCTAAAGACAGATTAATGCTATTCTCAAACTTTTCCAAACAATTAAAAAGGGTGCACTTTCCAACACATTTTTTCATGCATTACCCTAACACCAATGTCAGACAAGGACGGTATAAGAAAATTACAGGCCAATTTATTTTATGATCATGGATGTAAAGATTCTCAACACTAGCAAACTGAATTCAATATGTTCAAAAGATCATTTAGTTGAATGTTTTCTTTCTTCTGAAATTCTTCATTTTGCTTCCAAATGTCATTTTTCCTTATATTTTATTTTTTCATTAATCAAATTTAATTTTAAAATTTCCAACTAAAAAAATCTGTGGGTTTAATAAACATATTTTTAATTAACATTTAAAAAAAGCACAAGTTTGTAAATTGTATATTTTCTGTCCATTAGATTTTGGTTTGAGTATTGGGCCAATTGCACGGTAAGCTTTTTAATTTTTTTCCAGAAGTAATCCCAGGACCTTAAATCTCCACTGAAACTCTCGAAGTTTAATTGGTCAGCTGGGATTGTAGTCCCTGGGGTGTTGAAAGCATAAATAAGCCATACCTTAAGTCTGGACCATTTATCCCTGTAGGGAGTCCCTCTTCTCCTCTGTTCTCTTTCAGAACTACTTATTACTTTAGGTTCAGTGTATGTAGCATATGGTGACTCTATGGGTTTCAGTTTTCTGAACCCCAAATATGCAAAAATATAGAAAAAGCAGACCAGGCATCCCACCTTCTGTGTGCCACTAAGGGAGCATCTCTTCCTCTTTCTCCCCTAATAAGTTGTATATTATTTTCTCAGTATTTTAATTTTTTGCTATTTATATTATCTGAGATTTATCATTGGAATCATACAAATATTAAACCAGGAAAGATCACCCAGGAAGAAATTGAGATCACCCACAATATCAGGTATTCTAAAACATGTTATATGAAAATTGTAATAATTAAAACATGAATCACAAATCTTGCAGGTAGAAATGTCAACATATTAATTTTTTTGAGGAAGAGCAACTTGGATGAATATATGGATGTAAACTTGCTGATCAACTACAGCCAAAAATTACATTGTAATTGTAACGTGTCCCTAAACTTGACCCATTACCAATCCTGATAAGTCTGTGCTTAGGATTATGTAGATTTTCAAAGGATTGAAATGTAGTTGCCTTTTCCAAATCTTGACTAGCTTGTCTGACAAGGTAGGATCATGTCAAGTAGATTGGACTGAGGTGATCCCTTTATTTTAAAGAGCAGTCTTTGGCAAACACTGATACTAGAAACTGATATGATTTTGCTCTTGTTGAAGAATTTTACTTATTATAAATGTTTTTTAAAAACAAGGGAAGGAAACATAATCTTAAAACCACTCATTTGTGTCCATCCACATTATACTGTAGAGAAGACTGACTTTTTTTTCCAGGTGATTATTGTAGCAAAACATTTTAAGTTTTATTGAGATCGTTTGTCATGTCTAAATTTGTTCATCATAATATATCCTGAGCTTAGTTCAGTGCCTGGCTCATGATAAATTTTATTTATTTAGTGTGGTGAGAGCACTTAACAGGAAATTTACCCTCTTACACTTTTTCAGTGCACGATTCAGTACTGTGAACTCCAGGCACGGTGCTGCACAGCCAATCTCTAGGACTTCATCTTGTGTCACTGAAACCTTATACCCATTGCACAGTAGATCAAGAGAAGAAATACTTGATACACGGCACAAGACCTATAGAACACGCAGGGAAAACTTCTTCTGGCATCAGAAAACCTGTTCATTGCTGAGTTCATTCATTATATTCACCTCCTTACACCACAATGCTAACCCATGAATCTAACTGGCTGTGACAAAACTGTCTTTCATAAACCTACAGACTTTAAGATTTATGGAAAGAGAAAGACCTGTGGCATCCTAGAATTCTAACATCCACTCTTGGATCATCATGACCACTTAGCAGAGCTTTGCATTGAATTCCAGATAAAGAATATCAAACTCAAGGATATAGCAGCTCTTGAATAATGGGAAAGATAAATGAAGTGTTTGGCAAGTAGAAAGATAATCATGAAGTTCAGTCATTAAAGTCTCGCCCTGAACAAATGCCATGGACTTGACATCATAAAAAACATAAAATAGGTATAAGTCAAAAATGTTTATTTTGGGAAATTATATTTAAATCAAAATCAAAAATATACTCATCTGAAAGACAACAGAAAGTTCTGTCACCAAGGGAAATAAAACTCTAATTACCAAAACAAAATGTAAACAAAATAAAACTTACATAAATATATACATTCATGCATTCAAAAGAAGTTGCATAGAATTTTATTTAGCCATATCTCAGTATTTTGGAATTTTGCAAACACCAAGAGTCGCAATAATAATACATAATCTTCGTCTCTCACTCTGTTATTTTTTCCTCAAGCTTGGGAAAGATAATGTGTGAGTGGATAGAGTGATTCTGGGGATCGGGATGAGACAATTCTGCTTAAGGCAACTTCTCTTAGGATGGCAGGAGGTAGCAAGAGAAGAAAGGGCAGAATAACCATTACAGTTTACACCATATTTATAGCTATAATGCCTTAATATAATATGAAGTAATTACTTTCAATTACTTTTTAATAACAGAGATATATACAATATATATTCTTTAAAATGGTTATCTAAAAGTTTAAGAAATTAAAAAACCTTAATCTTAGAAATTATCTAGAAATTTAAATTTCTGAATTATAGGTAAATGTGTTATGATTTTCTTTTTTCAAATAAGCCTTACAAATATTTTCAATATTGATACTGTTTCATTTTAAATGTGCCACTAACATGATGCTGTCATTTCATTGTCATTCTAGCAGTAAGGATTCTGAGTCCTTAGCACTCTGTTTGACCCAGCCTCTCCTTCCAGGAAATGACTAAATATACTCATTCAGAGCATATTTATTTTTGAGCATCTACTTTGGGGCTACCACTGTGTTAGGCTTTCAGCACACAGCAGTGATAAAAATGAGCAAAATGTCTCATCTTATTAATATGACACTATATTGTGGAAAAGAGAAACAATTGTAAAAAATATGTTCAAGATTGTTAATTTTATGAAGAAAAATAAGACAGCATAAGGGACAGATCAGTCATTTTTATTCATTGGTCATTGAAATCTTTTCTGATAATCGAATAGCACAGAAGAGACCTAAAAGAACTGAAATAATGGGTTCTAGTGTATCTGGGGAAAACGACTCAAGGTAAAGGGAACCATCATCTTTTTCAGATGGCACTCAGAGCCATAAGAGGTTCAGATAGATCCACCCAGCAGTGAGTGCAGTGGGTTTTTCTAGGCAGAAAACACAGAAGAAACATCAAGAAATCACATGATTGGCTTGCCATGTCCAAGTCCTTTTCTAATTTTGTTTTTCTTTTTAAAGCATATTTTTTGCCTGCTACCATGACTTGTAATTTTTGATGATGTTGTTGAAAGCTGATGTATTCATTTGCTATGCGTACCATAGCATTCTGGTAGTTTGATGACAACCTTTGGCATTCCTTGGCTTGAAGTAGCATTACTTCAATCTATTCCTTTATCTTCAAAAGATAATATTCCTGGGTGCATGTCCAACTTTTTTTAAATAAGGACACCAGTTTCAAAGGTAAAGCCCAGACACTGGTTAAGGTAGTGAGGACAGATTTTAATTAGTAACATATTTTGGGGTATTTGTGGGTTTTTCACCTAAAATGTAATCTTACACAGGCTGTAGATTATATCTCTGTTTCCAGGAAGCCCCGTGTGTTGCTTTGTGTGTGCATCAGTCTCTCGAGAACCCCCTGTGAATCAGGAGGCATACGTTCCAGTGACTATAGGGAGTCGAGGGGCTAAAGAGGTAAGTGAAACATCTGGTAGGGGTAAAAGGATGGGTATATATCAAAAGTCAGGGGTGTTTAATGGAAAAGAGGTGCATATCAAAGTGTCAGGGGAGTTCAATGGAAAAAGTTAAGATGGTAAAAGAAAGAAGGAAAAAAGAAGGAAATGGGAAGGGAGCAGTCCTATAAGAGCCACTTTAGGCAGATCTTAAGATTTTCAAATAAACCATTGCAGTTCCGAATTATCCACAGTAAAGTCATTTTGCCTAAAATAGAAGCAGACATGGTTAGTGTCATAGTATATATAGAGAGTAGGAACCCAAAAGGGGTTTAACTGTGGAGTTCCTGTGGGAAGAGTAAGTTCAAATAGAATGAAGAGGTCTCACAAGAAGCCAGAGTGAACATTCCAGCACAGGAGTTAGGAAGTGAATTCCCACTGAAAACAGGGAGCCAGGAAGATAAACAGCCAGCCCAGGAGATGTCTTTCAAAAGCAGCCTGGAATTATAACCCAGCCTTAGAGACTACAGCCAGAAACATAGGAAGAAAATATGTCCTCGCCATGCCTCAGTGCAAATTTCTACACAGTGTTAGGCCAGAAGTTGAACTCGCCACCAAATACCCAAAAAAGTAAGTCAACTGAAGATCAGACAAAGGTTTCTACGCATGCAGAAAGGATTGACTGTTTTGTCCAAGGGCCAGATAAGGGTTCCAATCTGGATTTGAGTTCCAGTGCCAGATAACTGTCAAGACAAACAAAATGGAAAACTGGTTAAAGAGGTAAGAACGTGCTTTAACTAGTCATATACTATTGAAACAGGCAAGAGTTCAGCATGAACTTAACTTTGATGTATCCAGGTTGAGGAAAATGTTAAAGGGAGTTTGAGGAAAGAGAAATGGGAGTTAGTGGGGGCTCAGGAGGGTCAGGGATGTGAGAAATTACAAATCGTGAGAAGGGGGAGTTGGTTCCTGTGAAACCCATTTGCTTTGTTAACTGATACTTGCTGATGTTGGGCTTCTACCCTCCCACAGAGGTCAGGAGACACCAGGCCTATCTTCAAGTCTTGGCTGGGACAAGCATGCTATAGATTGTCTGTGTACTTACATAAGTTATATGTTGAAATCTTAAACCCCAATGTGATGATATTGGGAGAGGAAGTCTTTGGGGGTTGATTAGATCATGAGTGATGAACTCATGAATGGACTTAGTGACCTCATAAAAGAGACTCCAGAGAGCTTTCTTGCCTCTTCTGCCATGTGAGGGCACAGCAAGAAGACCATGCTCTATAAATCAGAAAATGGGTCCTTACAGACCAAACTGGCTGGCACCTTTATTGTGGACTTTCCAATCTGTGGAAATGTGAGAAATAAGTGTTGTGTAAGGCCATGGTATTTTTGTTATAGGAACCATGAAGACAGGCAGGTTTCAGTTTTCTCAGACAGTTCACTTTAAGGGAGACTGGGTCGTTCGTTCTAGAGATGTAGACTTGAACTGTTACCAACTATGTTCCTGTCTTTTTCAAGTTTTTATAGACCAAAGTTAAGGCTGAATTGAGAAGGCTCAGAAGACCCTGGCTAGAGTTTCGTCAAGTTTAAAATGATCGTCAACTCTGTATACATCAAAATTGAGTTCAGTGCGTGCTGGACTGTTTTCTCTGTTTCAATAGTATATGACTCATTAAAATATGTTGTTACTACTTTTTCTTCAATCATATTGGATTAGGGACACTTTCTACTAGAGTATGTTCTCATCTTCAATTAACTAATTACATCTGCAATGGTCCTATTTCCAAATAAGGGTACATTCTGAGATAGTTGGGGGTATGACTTCAATATATGAGTCTGTGGGGATACAATTCTTACCATAATTTACATGATGTGTTAGGTAAAGATAAACAGGCGTTTAGTGTGAAGTTTATGTTTATGTGTTAGGCTATGTTTATCGCTAGTTTTACCTCTGATGTCAGAGGCCATAATTTGCCCTAGTGTTCTTATTTTTGTGTCCTCTGTTATCTTTGGCTTTTCTACAGATTCATTGTTAAACAGGATTTGAGGCTTGTCATCCTTCCATGTGCATCCTCTGTTATCATACATGAGATATTTTAATGTGTTTGTCAGTGTGGAAGGGAGAGAAATCATTCTATAGTCCTACAAATTGGTCTGAATCTATTTGCCAGCATGTGTTCTTGGACTGCAACCTTCAAAGAGCTTCTTAACATCCCCTGCCCACCCCCACATAGGTGTGACACAGGTTAGAAGGACCTGGAGTTGGGTATTTTCCTTCTAGCATATTGGTTAGCCTGTGGTAAAACCCCAGTAATACGGCAGCCTCTGTTAAATAGTTTATTTTTTTTAATTATACTTTAAGTTCTAGGGTACATGTACACAACGTGCAGGTTTGTTACATATGTATACATGTGCCATGTTGGTGTGCTACACCCATTAACTCGTCATTTACATTAGGTATATGTCCTAATGCTATCCCTCCCTCCTCCCCCCACCCCACAACAGGCCCTGGTGTGTGATGTCCCCCTTCCTGTGTCCAGGTGTTCTTATTGTTCAATTCCCACCTATAAGTGAGAACATGCGATGTTTGGTTTTTTGTTTTGCAATAGTTTGCTGAGAATGATGGTTTCCAGCTTCATCCATCTCCCTACAAAGGACAAGAACTCATCATTTTTTAAGGCTGCAGAGTATTCCATGGTGTATATGTGCCACATTTTCTTTTGTGTGTGTGTGTTTTTTTTTGTTTTGTTTAAGTTTTTCTTTTATTATTATACTTTAAGTTTTAGGGTACATGTGCACATTGTGCAGATTAGTTACATACGTATACATGTGCCATGCTGGTGCGCTGCACCCACTAACTCGTCATCTAGCATTAGGTATATCTCCCAATGCTATCCCTCCCCCCACCCCACAACAGTCCCCAGAGTGTGATGTTCCCCTTCCTGTGTCCATGTGATCTCATTGTTCAATTCCCACCTATGAGTGAGATTATGCGGTGTTTGGTTTTTTGTTCTTGCGATAGTTTACTGAGAATGATGATTTCCAATTTCATCCATGTCCCTACAAAGGACATGAACTCATCCTTTTTTATGGCTGCATAGTATTCCATGGTGTATATGTGCCACATTTTCTTAATCCAGTCTATCATTGTTGGACATTTGGGTTGGTTCCAAGTCTTTGCTATTGTGAATAATGCCGCAATAAACATACGTGTGCATGGGTCTTATAGCAGCATGATTTATAGTCCTTTGGGTATATACCCAGTAATGGGATGGCTGAGTCAAATGGTATTTCTAGTTCTAGATCCCTGAGGAATCGCCACACTGACTTCCACAATGGTTGAACTAGTTTACAGTCCCACCAACAGTGTAAAAATGTTTCTATTTCTCCACATCCTCTCCAGCACCTGTTGTTTCCTGACTTTTTAATGATTGCCATTCTAACTGGTGTGAGATGGTATCTCATTGTGGTTTTGATTTGCATTTCTCTGATGGCCGGTGATGATGAGCATTTTTCATGTGTTTTTTGGCTGCATAAATATCTTCTTTTGAGAAGTGTCTGTTCATATCCTTCACCCACTTTTTGATGGGGTTGTTTTTTTCTTGTAAATTTGTTTGAGTTCATTGTAGATTCTGGATATTAGCCCTTTGTCAGATGAGTAGGTTGCGAAAATTTCCTCCCATTTTGTAGGTTGCCTGTTCAGTCTGATGGTAGTTTCTTTTGCTGTGCAGAAGCTCTTTAGTTTAATTAGATCCCATTTGTCAATTTTGGCTTTTGCTGCCATTGCTTTTGGTGTTTTAGACATGAAGTCCTTGCCCATGCCTATGTCCTGAATGGTACTGCCTAGGTTTTCTTCTAGGGCTTTTATGGTTTTAGGTCTAACGTTTAAGTCTTTAATCCATCTTGAATTGATTTTTGTATAAGGTGTAAGGAAGGGATCCAGTTTCAGCTTTCTACATATTGCTAGCCAATTTTCCCAGCACCATTTATTAAATAGGGAATCCTTTCCCCATTGCTTTTCTCAGGTTTGTCAAAGATCAGATAGTTGTAGATATGGGGCGTTATTTCTGAGGGCTCTGTTCTGTTCCATTGATCTATATTTCTGTTTAGGTACCAGTACCATGCTGTTTTGGTTACTGTAGCCTTGTAGTATAGTTTGAATTCAGGTAGTGTGATGCCTCGAGGTTTGTTCTTTTGGCTTAGGATTGACTTGGTGATGTGGGCTCTTTTTTGGTTCCATATGAACTTTAAAGTAGTTTTTTCCAATTCTGTGAAGAAAGGCATTGGTAGCTTGATGGGGATGGCATTGAATCTGTAAATTACCTTGGGCAGTATGGCCATTTTCATGATATTGATTCTTCCTACCCATGAGCATAGAATGTTCTTCCATTTGTTTGTATCCTCTTTTATTTCCTTGAGCAGTGGTTTGTAGTTCTCCTTGAAGATGTCCTTCACATCCCTTGTAAGTTGGATTCCTAGGTATTTTATTCTCTTTGAAGCAATTGTGAATGGGAGTTCACTCATGATTTGGCTCTCTGTCTATTGTTGGTGTATAAGAATGCTTATGATTTTTGTACACTGATTTTGTATCCTGAGATTTTGCTGAAGTTGCTTATCAGCTTAAGGAGATTTTGGGCTGAGACAATGGGGTTTTCTAGATATACAATCATGTCATCTGCAAACAGGGACAATTTGACTTCCTCTTTTCCTAATTGAATACCCTTTATTTCCTTCTCCTGCCTAATTGCCCTGGCCAGAACTTCCAACACTATGTTGAATAGGAGTGGTGAGAGAGGGCATCCTGTCTTGTGCCAGTTTTCAAAGGGAATGCTTCCAGTTTATGCCCATTCAGTATGATATTGGCTGTGGCTTTGTCATAGATAGCTCTTATGATTTTGAAATACATCCCATCAATACCTAATTTATTGAGAGTTTTTAGCATGAAGGGTTGTTGAATTTTGTCAAAGGCCTTTTCTGCATCTATTGAGATAATCATGTGGTTTTTGTCTTTGGCTCTGTTTATATGCTGGATTACATTGATTGATTTGCTTATATTGAACCAGCCTTGCATCCCAGGGATGAAGCCCACTCGATCATGGTGGATAAGCTTTTTGATGTGCTGCTGGATTCGGTTTGCCAGTATTTTATTGAGGATTTTTGCATCAATGTTCGTCAAGGATATTGGTCTAAAATTCTCTTTTTTGGTTGTGTCTCTGCCCAGCTTTGGTATCAGGATGATGCTGGCCTCATAAAATGAGTTAGGGAGGATTCCCTCTTTTTCTATTGATTGGAATAGTTTCAGAAGGAATGGTACCAGTTCCTCCTTGTACCTCTGGCAGAATTCGGCTGTGAATCCGTCTGGTCCTGGACTCTTTTTGGTTGGTAAGCTATTGATTATTGCCACAATTTCAAATCCTGTTATTGGTCTATTCAGAGATTCAACTTCTTCCTGGTTTAGTCTTGGGAGAGTGTATGTGTCGAGGAATTTATCCATTTCTTCTAGATTTTCTAGTTTATTTGCGTAGAGGTGTTTGTAGTATTCTCTGATGGTAGTTTGTATTTCTGTGGGATAGGTGGTGATATCCCCTTTATCATTTTTTATTGCTTCTATTTGATTCTTCTCTCTTTTTTTATTAGTCTTGCTAGTGGTCTATTTTGTTGATCCTTTCAAAAAACCAGCTCCTGGATTCATTAATTTTTTGATGGGTTTTTTGTGTGTCTATTTCCTTCAGTTCTGCTCTGATTTTAGTTATTTCTTGCCTTCTGCTAGCTTTTGAATGTGTTTGCTCTTGCTTTTCTACTTCTTTTAATTGTGATGTTAGGGTGTCAATTTTGGATCTTTCCTGCTTTCTCTTGTGGGCATTTAGTGCTATAAATTTCCCTCTACACACTGCTTTGAATGTGTCCCAGAGATTCTGGTATGTTGTGTCTTTGTTCTCATTGGTTTCAAAGAACATCTTTATTTCTGCCTTCATTTTGTTATATACCCAGTAGTCATTCAGGAGCAGGTTGTTCAGTTTCCATGTAGTTGAGTGGTTTTGAGTGAGATTCTTAATCCTTAGTTCTAGTTTGATTGCACTGTGGTCTGAGAGATAGTTTGTTATAATTTCTGTTCTTTTACATTTGCTGAGGAGAGCTTTACTTCCAAGTATGTGGTCAATTTTGGAATAGGTGTGGTGTGGTGCTGAAAAAAATGTATATTCTGTTGATTTGGGATGGAGAGTTCTGTAGATGTCTATTAGGTCTGCTTGGTGCAGAGCTGAGTTCAATTCCTGGGTATCCTTGTTGACTTTCTGTCTTGTTGATCTGTCTAATGTTGACAGTGGGGTGTTAAAGTCTCCCATTATTAATGTGTGGGAGTCTAAGTCTCTTTGTAGGTCACTCAGGACTTGCTTTATGAATCTGAGTGCTCCTCTGTTGGGTGCATATATATTTAGGATAGTTGGCTCTTCTTGTTGAATTGATCCCTTTACCATTATGTAATGGCCTTCTTTGTCTCTTTTGATCTTTGTTGGTTTAAAGTCTGTTTTATCAGACTAGGATTGCAACCCCTGCCTTTTTTTGTTTTCCATTTGCTTGGTATATTTTCCTCCATCCTTTTATTTTGAGCCTATGTGTGTCTCTGCACGTGAGATGGGTTTCCTGAATACAGCACACTGATGGGTCTTGACTGTTTATCCAATTTGCCAGTCTGTGTCTTTTAATTGGAACATTTAGTCCATTTACATTTAAAGTTAATATTGTTATGTGTGAATCTGATCCTGTCATTATGATGTCAGCTGGTTATTTTGCTCGTTAGTTGATGCAGTTTCTTCCTAGTCTCAATGGTCTTTACATTTTGGCATGATTTTGCAGCGGCTGGTACCGGTTGTTCCTTTCCATGTTTAGTGCTTCCTTCAGGAGCTCTTTTAGGGCAGGCCTGGTGGTGACAAAATCTCTCAGCATTTGCTTGTCTGTAAAGTATTTTATTTCTCCTTCATTTAGGAAGCTTAGTTTGGCTGGATATGAAATTCTGGGTTGAAAATTCTTTTCTTTAGAATGTTGAATATTGGCCCCCACTCTCTTCTGGCTTGTAGGGTTTCTGCCAAGAGATCCGCTGTTAGTCTGATGGGCTTCCCTTTGAGGGTAACCTGACCTTTCTCTCTGGCTGCCCTTAACATTTTTTCCTTCATTTCAACTTTGGTGAATCTGACAATTATGTTTCTTGGAGTTGCTCTTCTCGAGGAGTATCTTTGTGGCATTCTCTGTATTTCCTGAACCTGAATTTTGGCCTGCCTTGCTAGATTGGGGAAGTTCTCCTGGATAATATCCTGCAGAGTGTTTTCCAACTTGGTTCCATTCTCACCATCACTTTCAGGTACACCAATCAGATGTAGATTTGGTCTTTTCACATAGTCCCATATTTCTTGGAGGCTTTGCTCTTTTTATTCTTTTTTCTCTAAACTTCCCTTCTCACTTCATTTGATTCATTTCATCTTCCATCACTGATAGCCTTTCTCCAGTTGATTGCATCGCCTCCTGAGGCTTCTGCATTCTTCATGTAGTTCTCAAGCCTTGGTTTTCAGCTCCATCAGCTCCTTTAAGCATTTCTCTGTATTGGTTATTCTAGTTATACATTCTTCTAAATTTTTTTCAAAGTTTTCAACTTCTTTGCCTTTAGTTTGAATGTCCTCCCGTAGCTCAGAGTAATTTGATCGTCTGAAGCCTTCTTCTCTCAGCTCGTCAAAGTCATTCTCCATCCAGCTTTGTTCCGTTGCTGGTGAGGAACTGCGTTCCTTTGGAAGAGGAGAGGCGCTCTGCTTTTTAGAGTTTCCAGTTTTTCTGTTCTGTTTTTTCCCCATCTTTGTGGTTTTATCTACTTTTGGTCTTCGATGATGGTGATGTACAGAAGGGTTTTTGGTGTGGATGTCCTTTCTGTTTGTCAGTTTTCCTTCTAACAGACAGGACCCTCAGCTGCAGGTCTGTTGGAGTACCCTGCCGTGTGAGGTGTCAGTCTGCCCCTGCTGGGGGGTGCCTCCCAGTTAGGCTGCTCAGGGGTCAGGGGTCAGGGACCCACTTGAGGAGGCAGTCTGCCCCTTCTCAGATCTCCAGCTGCGTACTGGGAGAACCACTGCTCTCTTCAAAGCTGTCAGACAGGGACATTTAAGTCTGCAGAGGTTACTGCTGTCTTTGTCTGTGCCCTGCCCTCAGAGGTGGAGCCTACAGAGGCAGGCAGGCCTCCTTGAGCTGTGGTGGGCTCCACCCAGTTCGAGCTTCCTGGCTGCTTTGTTTACCTAAGCAAGCCTGGGCAATGGCGGGCGCCCCTCCCCCAGCCTTGCTGCCGCCTTGCAGTTTGATCTCAGACTGCTGTGCTAGCAATCAGCGAGACTCCGACTCCGTGGGAGTACGACCCTCCGAGCCAGGTGCGGGATATAATCTCGTGGTGCGCTGTTTTTTAAGCACGTCGGAAAAGTGCAGTATTTGGGTGGGAGTGACCCAATTTTCCACGTGCCCTCCGTCACCCCTTTCTTTGACTAGGAAAGGGAACTCCCTGACCCCTTGCACTTCCCGAGTGAGGCAGTGCCTCGCCCTGCTTTGGCTTGCACATGGTGCGCGCACCCACTGACCTGCACCCACTGTCTGGCACTCCCTAGTGAGACGAACCCGGTACCTCAGATGGAAAAGCAGAAATCACCTGTCTTCTGCGTCGCTCACGCTGGGAGCTGTAGACCGGAGCTGTTCCTATTCGGCCATCTTCGCCACATTTTCTTAATCCACTTTATCATTGTTGGACATTTGGGTTGGTTCCAGGTCTTTGCTATTGTGAATACTGCTGCAATAAACATACATGTGCATGTGTCTTTATAGCAGCATGATTTATAATCCTTTGGGTATATACCCAGTAATGGGATGGCTGGGTCAAATGGTATTTCTAGTTCTAGATACCTGAGGAATCACCACACTGTTTTCCACAATGGTTGAACCAGTTTACAGTCCCACCAACAGTGTAAAAGTGTTCCTATTTCTCCACATCCTCTCCAGCACCTGTTTGCTCAATGAAATAAAAGAGGATACAAACAAATGGAAGAACATTCCATGCTCATGGATAGGAAGAAGAAATACCATGAAAATGGCCATACTGCCCAAGGTAATTTATAGATTCAATGCCATCCCCATCAAGCTACCAATGACTTTCTTCACAGAATTGGAAAAAACTAAAGTTCATATGGAACCAAAAAAGAGCCTGCATCGCCAAGTCAATCCTAAGCCAAAAGAACAAAGCTGGAGGCATCATGCTACCTAACTTTAAACTATACTACAAGGCTACAGTAACCAAAATAGCATGGCACTGGTACCAAAACAGAGAGATAGACCAATGGAACAGAACAGAACCCTCCGAAATAATACCACACATCTTCAACTATCTGATCTTTGACAAACCTGACAAAACAAGAAATAGGGAAAGGATTCCCTATTTAACAAATGGTGCTGGGAAAACTGACTAGCCATATGTAGAAAGCTGAAACTGGATCCCTTCCTTACACCTTATACAAAAATTAATTCAAGATGGATTAAAGACGTAAATGTTAGACCTAAAACCATAAAAACCCTAGAAGAAAACCTAGGCAATTCCATTCAGGACATAGGCATGGATAAGGACTTCATGTCTAAAACACCAAAAGCAATGGCAACAAAAGCCAAAATTGACAAATGGGATCTAATTAAACTAAAGAGCTTCTGCACAGCAAAAGAAACTACCATCAGAGTGTACAGGCAACCTAGAGAATGGGAGAAAATTTTTGCAGTCTACTCATCTGACAAAGGGATAATATCCAGAATCTACAAAGAACTCAAACAAATTTATAAGAAAAAAAAAACCCATCAAAAAGTGGGCGAAAGATATGAACAGACACTTCTCAAAAGATATTTATGCAGCCCACAGCCACATGAAAAAATGCTCATTATCACTGGCCATCAGAGAAATGCAAATCAAAACCACAATAGATATCATCTCACACCAGTTAGAATGGCAATCATTAAATAGTTACTACTGAGATCAGGTTATGGTGAACAGAGAGCTCTGGGCATATTTCAAATGTTTATTTTCTCCTCTCTCTGCCAAAGCAAAAGGGAATTTCTCTCTACTTTGCACAGTGAGAAGCTGTTGAGACTCCTGAAGGTAAAAATCATGAGTATAGGGAGGATTTCCTAAGACTGGGGCTCAACATTGTTTTTATTTGTCAAGTTAGTTCACATGAGCTTCCAGCAATTGATAAATTCAACTTTAAGTATCCCTATGGTACCAGCCCCAGCTGCTGATTACTGTTCCAGGACATTTATTGAAGAAACTCTCCTTTCCCCAGTGTATGTTCTTGGCACCTTTGTCAAAAATCAGTTGGCTGTAAATACATGAATCTATTTCTAGGTTCTCCATTCTGTTCTATTGGCCCATGTGTCTGTTTTTATGCCAATACCAGGCTGTTTTGGTAACTATAACTTGGTAGTATATTTTGAAGTCTAGTAATGTGATGGCTCCAGCTTTTTTCCTCTTTTTGCTCAGGATAGCTTTGGCCATTCTGTGTTGCTTTTATTATAAGACCCTTGTTTATTTTTCTTGGTACTTTTATTTTCCCTGTCTGATCATTCATACTCAAATGAGACCAAAGTGATAACATATACATTTTTTTCTTTTTTTTTTTGAGATGGAGTCTTGCTCTGTTGCCCAGGCTGGAGTACAGTGGCACGATCTTGGCTCACTGCAACCTCTGCCTCCTAGGTTCAAGCAATTCTTCTGCCTCAGCCTCCTGAGTAACTGGGATTATAGGCATGCACCACTGTGCCTGGCTAATTTTTTGTATTTTTTTTAGGAGACATGGGGTTTCACCATGCTGGCCAGGCTGAGCTTGAACTCCTGACCTCATGATCCACCTGACTCAGCCTCCCAAAGTGCTATGATTACAAGTGTGAGCCACTGTGCCCTGCCTAAGATTAATATTTTTATGTGTGAATTTGATCTTGTCATCGTGATGCTAGCTGGTTATTTTGCACATTAGGTAATGCAGTTTCTTCACAGTATCATTGGTCTTTATATTTTGGTGTTTTTTTGTAGTAGCTGGTACTTGTCTTTTTACTGACCATTTGGGTTAGGGTTTAAATAGTAAGTGCCTCCCATTTTTCTTCTCTGAGCTGTGGTCCTATATGGTTTTTGTTTTTCATGAATTCATTAATATTTGTTATGTAAAATCATTTTATTTTTTCTTAAAAATATCTTTTAAAAAAAATTCATGGTGTTTGGAGTGGTGGAACCATATACTTATTACAGCATTCTCATTGTATAGTTTTTAAATAATTGCAATACTGAATGGTCATTTAACTAAGTGATAGTTTTTTTCTTGGCGCATCCTTTGAAAACGTGTTCTGCAGATCAAGCTAGTAATGTGTGCAAATTGACTGATGTGTACCTGTTTTAGATTTACTAATTGTATTTATAAAATACATTATAAGTACATAATTATAAGCATTCACAAACAAAAGTATGCTCAATGTAGGTATTTAAAAAAGAGAAACTACTCATGTTATTCAATTATAGGGAAGATTTTTAATAAATGGTGGATATTTTTTAGATTAATCAGAAAAATGCTCACATTATAAATAAAAATAGTATGAAATTATACATGTATGATGATTATAAAAGCAGTATAAACATATCCATATCATAGGAAAGCTCTAAATTCAAGAAAGTAGTAACAGGATTTTATTTTCAAATGTGTTCCCATTTTCATCTGCAGTTAAGTAGTTTTTTTAGGTTGCTTTGCCTATGTTATATCTATTATTTTCTGGTTTCCTTTTGGGTGCAAATAACTTACAG
This sequence comes from Homo sapiens, assembly GCF_000001405.40. Lineage (NCBI taxonomy): Eukaryota > Metazoa > Chordata > Mammalia > Primates > Hominidae > Homo > Homo sapiens. Next base: position 171,187 of record NW_025791755.1, read on the forward strand.
CTAAAGATGCTAATTTCAGCAATAAGCAGATATTCTATTTTTTTCTGAATTATGTTTGAATTTATTGTATACAGTAATAATTTGATTTTATTTTCAGTGGGATTTGTATTCCATATTACCTTAAATGGATGTGAGTTTGTCTTTGAAAATGGTTGCTTCACAATTCATATGTAGGTTTTTCTACATATTGTGTTCATATCATTGCTTTACACATGGTTGTCTTTTCACCTGGAGCTATTTCTTTCCTTTAAATGCCACATCTTTTGCCCTGGGGCCATATTCCATGTAAATTGATTGAGACTCTGACACAGGTACATTCTTTCCTATGCTGTGTTGCTCGGGTTATCAGGAATAATGCATTTGTACATGTGACGCTTCCTGTAGAACTACTTCTCTACTTGCATATTGTAAATAAAAACATGTGCTCCTCAGCATGTTCTGCTCAGTTCCAAACTCTCCTCTCCATTACTGGAGGAGGAAAATCACATAAGAATATCCTAGAAGACAAATTTAACCAGGCTTCTTTTCCCTCGTTTTTGTTAAATTGGATATTCATCATTTTGTTTGCTAAAAGTATATTGAAGAGGTGCCAGCTGGACAGGGTATTTGTGAAGAGGCAGCCTGAGTCATTAGTGAATTCTCCTGATGCCTTTTTGTTCTTGTGTGCGCAGCCATTTTGCCTTCAGTCCAGGCTTTGGTAGGAGAGGCAGGTCCAAACGTTATCCTTAACATTCGTAGACAGGCTACAATATTCTCACACCAGGATGAATTATTATAAATCTGAATGTTGGAAGGCTGAGGCAGAGGGATCACTTAAACCCAGGAGGTCAAGGCTGCAGTGAGCCATGATTGAGCCACTGCACTCCAGCCTGGGCAACAGAGCAAGACCCTGTCCAAAAAAGAAAAGTCTAAATCACTTGAAAATTCCACTTCCACCCCAGATTCTGCCTGCATTTTACTCTTCATTTGCATTGATGTTTTCATGCTTTTTTCATGTGTATCATAATGAGAATATGAAGTAAAATTACAACCACAGATTAAATCACTTTTTTCTATAATTGCACAGTTCTCTTAAAATACTTGAGGTTGACGAATTGATGAAGTTCAATCGTTTTGGGAAAAGAAAGCAAGAAAGAGGCTGAGACACACAAAGATACACAGAGAGATAGAGACAGAGAATTAAATCAGAAAGTAAAAGTTTGGTCAAATATAAGAATACATTTATTAAAATGCTTCTAAATATTTCATTTTTTTTGCTGTTTTGGAAACCAAACATATAACTATGATCGTTAACGTGAGACAGTGTGTGGGATTCATATTTCAAATTTTTGAAGTATAAAATTACATAAGTAACTGTTTTCCAGAGTTTAAGGCCAAAAACAATAACTTATTTTATGAATTTTGTATAAATGTTAAAACACATTTTAGTATATGGCAATTTTACTCAACTTTTAATCAATCTCCTTAATTCAAGTTTGCTTATTTGATTCCTTTAATAAAATATTAGTCATTATTTGCATCCCACAATTCTGTGGAACCAAAGCATCACAACTCTTAATATTTGTGTTTCTCGTGTTGTAAATAAGCCAATAGAGTGGGATGGTTCCATTCTCCAGTTAAAAGTGACATATTCTGGGAAAATGGTCATGTATTTTTTCAGTCTGTTATATACATTGCTTTGCCTAGTTAGAGATATATGTATACATATATCTCAAATGTGAAATGTAGAAATGGTAGTGTGGATCAAGTGCTATGGAAACATATTATGAAACAGTTAATTCTGCACAAGGATGAGAAGGATGGTGTTTCAGGACAGCTAGTGAGTGCAGGTGACATTTCAGCTGAGTTTTGAAGCATTAGTAGAAGTCTATCAGATGGGCTGGCACATTAGAAGGAAATAATGGATACATGAACCTTGATGGCAGGTGGACGAAGGACAAACATTTTTTTCCAGATAGAACACAGGGTCTTGGATTGACAAGAGGAATGTCTGGGAGGATGAACCCTCATGCTGCTTTGGTGTGTTTCTCTTCTTTAGAATTCCAATGCTTCCTAGTCCCTGTGGCTTTGGGATTGACAAGAGGAATGTCTGGGGAGGATGAATCCTCACGCTGCCTTGAGGTGTTTCCCTTCTTTAGAATTCCAATGCTTCCTAGTCCCTGTGGCTTTGGGATTGACAAGAGGAATGTCTGGGGAGGATGAACCCTCACTCTGCCTTGAGGTGTTTCCCTTGTTTAGAATTCCAGGTGTTTCCTAGTCCTTGTGGCTTTGTCCAGCAGCACTACCCAGTATCAGGGTCCTCAAGGCCCCTTTCACATCTTTGTTTCTCAGAGTGTAGATAATGGGGTTTAAAAGTGGGGTGACTATGGTATAGAAAAGAGAAACAAACTTTCCCTGGTTTTTGGATCTCCTATTGGCCGGTTGAAGGTACATGAATATGATGGTCCCATAGAAAATGATGACCACAACCAGGTGAGACGAACAGGTCCCAAAGGCCTTTTGGCGGCCCGCAGCTGATTTTATCCTTAACACAGCTTGAGTGATAAAGCCATAGGAGACTAAGATGAGTAACACCGGGACAATTAGAAAGACTACACTGGCCACAAAGAGTTCTGCCTCGTTGAAAGTCGTATCCACACAGGCCAGTTTGATGAGCACTGGCACCTCACAGAAAATATGATCCAGTGTGCGATGACCACAGAGGGGCAGCTGCACAGTGAGGGAGCACTGAATTAGGGAGGTGATGAGGCCGCTGAGCCATGCTCCACCGGCCAGAGACGCACAGAACCTGGGGTGCATAATGGCTATGTAGCGCAGTGGCCGGCAGACAGCAGCATAGCGGTCATAAGCCATGACGGCCAAGAGAATACACTCAGACGAGCCCAACCCCATGGCCACGTAGAGCTGGGCCACACAGCCACCGTAGCTCATGGTTTTGTCTTTCTTATTCATGGTAACCAGCAACTGTGGGGCAACACTGGTGGTAAAGCAGATGTCCACACACGAGAGGTTGCTGAGGAAGAAGTACATTGGAGTGTGGAGTCTGGAGTCCAGACAACATACTAGTATGAGGGCAGTGTTCCCCAGAAGGCTCAAGACGTAGAAGTACAAAATGATGGCAAAAAGAAACCTCTCTAGCTGAGGCTGATCTGAAAATCCCAGGAGAAGAAATCCCTTTTCAGAGCTGTTGTTGGTTTCCTCCATTTTTCCTGCAGCTTCAGGACTCTTCAGCTTCAAATACTAAGTGATTAATATTTGGGGATAGAAAGTAATGAGGTCAAGAATGGTAATCCACAGTCGTTTACAGTATAATTATCTTCCTTATATATCACCTAAAACATGTTGTGAAGACCTATAGAACTTTCCTCAACATAAATCCATGGGCGGGAAATGCCACTTCCTTCTATTTTTATTGAATAAAGTTTTACTCAAACAACAAAAGTATTGTATTAACATTTGTTTTATTTGATATTTGTATTTATTCACTCTTTGCTTATTCTTGTACTTTGCCCATTTTTACACCGATATATTTATATGTTCAAATGATGTATTTATGCAGGTAAAGCAACTGACCCAATGTCCTTTTGATGCAAATATTTTGTTATATGTATACAAATATATATATTTTTTGAGATGGAGTCGTTCTGTCGCCTGGACTAGAGTACAGTGCCGTGATCTCTGTTCCCTTCAACCTCTGCTTCCTGGGTTCAAGTAATTCTCTTGCCTCAGCCTCAAGAGTAGCTGAGACTACAGGCGTGTGCCACCACTCCCAGCTAATTGTTGTATTTTTTTTTTTTTTTTTTTTTTTTTTAGATGGAATCTCACTCTGTCTCCCAGGGTGGAGTGCAGTGGCACAATCTCTGCTCACTGCAAACCACCTCCCACGTTCAAGCAATTCTCCTGCCTTAGCCTCCCAAGTAGCTGGGATTACAGGCACAGGCCCCATGCCCGCTAATTTTTGTGTGTATATATATATATTTTTATATATATATATATTTTTTTTTAGTAGAGATGGGGGTTTCACCATGTTGGCCAGGCTGGTCTGGAACTCCTGACCTCAGGTGACCTAACTACCTCAGCCTCCCAAAGTGCTGGGATTATAGGCGTGAGCCACTGTGCCTGGCCTAATTTTTGTAATTTTAGTACAAATGGTGTTTCACCATGTTGGCTAGGGTGCTCTTGAACAACTGACCTCAAGTGATCCACCTGACTCAGCCTCCCAAAGTGCTGGGGTTACAGGCATGAGTCACTGTGCCCGACCTCTATACAAATCTTGACTAATATTCACAAGCTACTATCAAAGTGATATTGTCAAATGCCAAGTCAAAATAAAAGGGAGAATTTGTAAAATGAAATGTGTGTACATGTTACTCTATATGTATAAGAGTTGTCTAAGTAGAATTACATCGAAAGCCAAAGCAAACTTTTTTTTAAACTATAAGTTCTAGGGTACATGTGCAGAACGTGCACGTTACATAAGTATACACATGCCATGGTGGTTTCCTGCAGCCATCAAATTGTCATCTATGTTAGGTATTTCTCCTAATGCTATCCCTCCTTCCTAGCCCCCCAACCCACCAACAGGCCCTGGTGTGTGATGTTCCCCTCCCTGTGTCCATGTGTTCTTATTGTTCAACTCCCATTTATGAATGAGAACATGCGATGTTTGCTTTTCTGTTCTTGTGTTAGTTTGCTGAAAATGATGGTTTCCACCTTCATCCATGTCCCTGCAAAGGACATGAATGCATCCTTTTCTATGGCTGCATAGTATTCCATGGTGTATATGTGCCACACTTTCTTTATCCAGTCTATCATTGATGGGCATTTAGGTTGATTCCAAGTCTTTGCTGTTGTGAATAGTGCCACAATAAACATATGTGTCCATGTGACTTTATAGAATGATTTATAATCCTTTGGATATATATGCCACACTGCCCAAAGTAAGTTATAGATTCAATGCTATCCCCATCAAGCTAGCTTGACCTTCTTCACAGAATTAGAAAAAACTACTTTAAATTTCATATGGAACCAAAAAAAGGCCATATAGCCAAGACAATCCTAAGCAAAAAGGACAAAGCTGGAGGCATCACACTACCTGACTTCGAACTATACTACAAGGCTACAGTAACCAAAACAGCATGGTAGTGGTACCAAAACAGATATATAGACCAATGGAACAGAACAGAGGCCTCGGAAATAACACCGCACATCTACAACCATCTGATCTTTGACAAAACTGACAAAAACAAGCAATGGGAAAAAAAATTCCCTGTTTAATAAATGGTGCTGGGAAAACTGGCTAGCCATATGCAGAAAACTGAAACTGGACTTCTTCCTTACATCTTATAAAAAATTAACTCAAGATAGATTAAAGACTTAAATGTTATACCTAAAACAATAAAAACCCTAGAAGAAAACCTAGGCAATACCATTCAGGACATAGACGTGGGTAAAGACTTCATGACTAAAACACCAAAAGCAATGGCAACAAAAGCCAAAGTTGACAAATGGGATCTAATTAAAGAGCTTCTGTGCAGCAAAGGAAACTATCATCATAGTGAACAGGCAAGCTGTAGAATGGGAGAAAAATTTTGCAATCTGTCTGTCTGACAAAGGTCTGATATCCAGAATCTACAAAGAACTTAAATTTACAAGAAAAAAACAACCCCCTTAAAAATTGGGTGAAGGATATGAACAGACACTTCTCAAAAGAAGACATCCATGCAGCTAACAAACATGAAGAAAGGCACATCATCACTGGTCATCATCAGAGAAATGCAAATGAAAACCACAATGAGATACCATCTCACACCAGTTAGAACGGCGATCATTAAAAAGTCAGGAAACAACAGATGCTGGAGAGGATGTGGAGAAACAGGAACGCTTTTGCAAAATTAGTGTTTAAAAGTAAGTGAAAAAGAAGACTAAGGAAAATCACACATAGCTGTGTGTGGAGCACAAAGTGCTTCCCTACCTTCTGATCACAAAAGAAGATGCCAAGTCAGGTGTTTAGTTGTGTGTAAGTTTAGTAGCAGGGGAGAAAGAGAAACTGAACAAATATTAAGCTAATAGGTAACTTACACTCTAATTATGACTTTTGGTAACTTTCCAATATATGTTTATGTGTGTGTGTTTGTGTACATGATGTAATTAGCAGGCAATTAGGAGATTGCCTTATTTCTGTAACTACATATAGATTTCTCTGAGGTCAGAAGTTGTGGAATTTAAGACTTTCTTTTCCTTAAGAGAATGAAACTATACAAAAACCCTCTGATCAGGAATTGTGTAAAACCATCATTATTTGAGCTAGAATTATTTCAGGGAAAGACAAAAAATAAATTTGATTCTCAAAGCACTTTGTTCATTCCCTATGTTACTATTGTTGCTAATAAGGTTAAGAATAGACAACAGTTACAATGCACAGGCTAAATAATGGATGCACCAGCTAACTAATCATGTACTGAGAAAATAGTATGATTTTAACCAATTTCCTGTCAACTGTATGCAGTTACATGCATATGCATGTGTGTGTGTTTGCTGGTGTCTCTCCTTGCCTCTTCCACTACCTCTTTATCTTAGCACACCGTTTTCTGCCTGGACCTCTGTGAGAGACTTCTAACCAATAACCCCTTGCAACCTTTGCCTTCCTCAAACCATTATTCACAGGCAAACAGAACAAAACTCATCAAATATAAAAAGTAAGCTTCTGATGCTGGTATATATCTTTAGCTATACTATTGATCTTAATCTTTCTACTTTTATTCTTAAAATGTATACTAAGCTTTCAAGACATTGAATAATAAAAGAATGTACAAGTGACTATTTCAATGAAATCAGGGAAAGAAAACCCGCCAACTACAGATTACATGTAAGGCAGAAAGAGACACATCAGAATTGGTGCAGAAAACCAAGATCTGAACCAGGAGACCCTGCAGGGAAGAAAAACGGGATTCAAAGTTACTGCTGGTGGCAGTGCTCAAAAATATCAGGAAACATCTTTTCCTAGATGAGGAATGTCGTCACATCAGCGTGAACTGCTGTGCACAATTATGACAGACAAGGAGGCAGGAAGCAATCAAAAGAGCAAATGGAAAGACAGACCACATGGGGAGGAGGTGCTGGAGCTCACAGGGCAGCATAATCTACACTGATCACCATGCCAGGCCCGCCCATGGTGAGGGGGTAGGATACAGAAGAGGACAGGGAGAAGACGGCAGGAATGAGTCTGACAAGGCCTGAGAAACCTGCCAAGACTCCCCAGTGCCTGTAAATTCATGGAATTCACCCAGTAATAACTGAAAAAGCAAATTAAATCTTAAAAATAAGATATGGAAATTCGGTTTCCTTCCAACAATATTCACAAAAAAATAAGTAACTAACTTCTTAGAATAAATATATCCACCCAAAAATTATTGACATGTAGCAGAATTCATGATACAGTATCATACTTAATTTACAAAAAAAAATCCTTGATAAGCAATTTTAGCAATGAGAGACCATCATGAGACAGAGATACTAGAAAGCAGAAACTTGATAATTGACATAATTTGTCAGATAACACAAATATGTGAAATGGAAATTAGCTTGACCCAGGAAAGAATTTGAAGAAAATGATGAAAAATAAGCCAAATGGTTGCTTCATAGTTTGTGTAGCAATAAAATAATACTTAAAGTTGATAAGTAGTGAGGCACGAAGCATAAAGATATAGTAATAAACTAAAAAATATTGACTAAATTTGGATGTTAAAGGAAAAAAAGGAGAGAAAGCTATTGTATTCTTACGTATGCTAGGGAATCAATAGACATTGTATAAATGGAAAGATGACAGTTTAGTCTTCATAAAAATATTTCTATACTTTATAAAAGTATTGGCACAAAGGTAATAGAAAAAATATAAAAATTTTATTAAATGGAAAAAATAATAGACCACTTAACAAAAGACCTTTTTTTAAAAAAAAGAGGGAATATAACATAAAACAAAATGTGAGAAAATGCAATTAAACTTAATGGACATATCAATAAACATCAATGGGATTAACACACTTACTAAAGGAAAAAGAAGACTGTTCCCTCTGCCTTGAGTCTTTTTCCCCAGATACACTAGAACCCATTTTTTCACTTCTTTCAGGTCTCTTCTTTGCTATTTATCAGAAAATATTTCAATGACCAATTAATAAAAAAAGGACTGATCTGTCCCTTATGCTGTCTTATTTTTCCTCATAAAATTAACAATCTTGAACATATTTTTTACAATTGTTTCTCTTTTCCACAATATAGTGTCATATTAATAAGATGAGACATTTTGCTCATTTTTATCACTGCTGTGTGCTGAAAGCCTAACACAGTGGTAGCCCCAAAGTAGATGCTCAAAAATAAATATGCTCTGAATGAGTATATTTAGTCATTTCCTGGAAGGAGAGGCTGGGTCAAACAGAGTGCTAAGGACTCAGAATCCTTACTGCTAGAATGACAATGAAATGACAGCATCATGTTAGTGGCACATTTAAAATGAAACAATATCAATATTGAAAATATTTGTAAGGTTTATTTGAAAAAAGAAAATCATAACACATTTACCTATAATTCAGAAATTTAAATTTCTAGATGATTTCTCAGAAGATTAAAGATTTCTAATTTCTTAAACTTTTAGATAACCATTTTAAGGAACATATATTGTATATATCTCTGTTATTAAAAAGTAATTGAAAGTAATTACTTCATATTATATTAAGGCATTATAGCTATAAATATGGTGTAAACTGTAATGGTTATTCTGCCTTTTCTTCTCTTGCTACCTCCTGCCATCCTAAGAGAAGTTGCCTTAAGCAGAACTGTCTCATCCCGATCCCCAAAATCACTCTCTATCCACTCACACATTATCTTTCCCAAGTTTGAGGAAAAAATAACAGAGTGAGAGACAAAGATTATGTATTATTATTGCGACTCTTGGTGTTTGCAAAATTCCAAAATACTGAGATATGGCTAAATAAAATTCTATGCAACTTCTTTTGAATGCATGAATGTGTATGTTTATGTAAGTTTTATTTTGTTTACATTTTGTTTTGGTAATTAGAGTTTTATTTCCCTTGGTGACAGAATTTTCTGTTGTCTTTCAGATGAGTATATTTTTGATTTTGATTTAAATATAATTTCCCAAAATAAACATTTTTGACTTATACCTATTTTATGTTTTTTATGATGTCAAGTCCATGGCATTTGTTCAGGGCGAGACGTTAATGACTGAACTTCATGATTATCTTTCTACTTGCCAAACACTTCATTTATCTTTCCCATTATTCAAGAGCTGCTATATCCTTGAGTTTGATATTCTTTATCTGGAATTCAATGCAAAGCTCTGCTAAGTGGTCATGATGATCCAAGAGTGGATGTTAGAATTCTAGGATGCCACAGGTCTTTCTCTTTCCATAAATCTTAAAGTCTGTAGGTTTATGAAAGACAGTTTTGTCACAGCCAGTTAGATTCATGGGTTAGCATTGTGGTGTAAGGAGGTGAATATAATGAATGAACTCAGCAATTGAACAGGTTTTCTGATGCCAGAAGAAGTTTTCCCTGCGTGTTCTATAGGTCTTGTGCCGTGTATCAAGTATTTCTTCTCTTGATCTACTGTGCAATGGGTATAAGGTTTCAGTGACACAAGATGAAGTCCTAGAGATTGGCTGTGCAGCACCGTGCCTGGAGTTCACAATACTGAATCGTGCACTGAAAAAGTGTAAGAGGGTAAATTTCCTGTTAAGTGCTCTCACCACACTAAATAAATAAAATTTATCATGAGCCAGACACTGAACTAAGCTCAGGATATATTATGATGAACAAATTTAGACATGACAAACGATCTCAATAAAACTTAAAATGTTTTGCTACAATAATCACCTGAAAAAAAAGTCAGTCTTCTCTACAGTATAATGTGGATGGACACAAATGAGTGGTTTTAAGATTATGTTTCCTTCCCTGGTTTTTTAAAAAACATATTTATAATAAGTAAAATTCATCAACAAGAGCAAAATCATATCAGTTTCTAGTATCAGTGTTTGCCAAAGACTGCTCTTTAAAATAAAGGGATCACCTCAGTCCAATCTACTTGACATGATCCTACCTTGTCAGACAAGCTAGTCAAGATTTGGAAAAGGCAACTACATTTCAATCCTTTGAAAATCTACATAATCCTAAGCACAGACTTATCAGGATTGGTAATGGGTCAAGTTTAGGGACACGTTACAATTACAATGTAATTTTTGGCTGTAGTTGATCAGCAAGTTTACATCCATATATTCATCCAAGTTGCTCTTCCTCAAAAAAATTAATATGTTGACATTTCTACCTGCAAGATTTGTGATTCATGTTTTAATTATTACAATTTTCATATAACATGTTTTAGAATACCTGATATTGTGGGTGATCTCAATTTCTTCCTGGGTGATCTTTCCTGGTTTAATATTTGTGTGATTCCAATGATAAATCTCAGATAATATAAATAGCAAAAAATTAAAATACTGAGAAAATAATATACAACTTATTAGGGGAGAAAGAGGAAGAGATGCTCCCTTAGTGACACACAGAAGGTGGGATGCCTGGTCTGCTTTTTCTATATTTTTGCATATTTGGGGTTCAGAAAACTGAAACCCATAAAGTCACCATATGCTACATACACTGAACCTAAAGTAATAAGTAGTTCTGAAAGAGAATAGAGGGGAAGAGGGACTCCCTACAGGGATAAATGGTCCAGACTTAAGGTATGGCTTATTTATGCTTTCAACACCCCAGGGACTACAATCCCAGCTGACCAATTAAACTTTGAGAGTTTCAGTGGAGATTTAAGGTCCTGGGATTACTTCTGGAAAAAAATTAAAAAGCTTACCGTGCAATTGGCCCAATACTCAAACCAAAATCTAATGGACAGAAAATATACAATTTACAAACTTGTGCTTTTTTTAAGTGTTAATTAAAAATATGTTTATTAAACCCACAGATTTTTTTAGTTGGAAATTTTAAAATTAAATTTGATTAATGAAAAAATAAAATATAAGGAAAAATGACATTTGGAAGCAAAATGAAGAATTTCAGAAGAAAGAAAACATTCAACTAAATGATCTTTTGAACGTATTGAATTCAGTTTGCTAGTGTTGAGAATCTTTACATCCATGATCATAAAATAAATTGGCCTGTAATTTTCTTATACCGTCCTTGTCTGACATTGGTGTTAGGGTAATGCATGAAAAAATGTGTTGGAAAGTGCACCCTTTTTAATTGTTTGGAAAAGTTTGAGAATCGCATTAATCTGTCTTTAGATATTTGGTAGCAATCACCAGTAAAAGCATCAAGTCCTGAACTTTTAAGTTTATTATTATTATTATTGGTGATTTAATCTCTGTACTAGTTATTAATTTGTTCAGGTTTATTCTTTCTTCAGGACATACATGTCTAAGAATTTATCCATTTCTTCTACGTTACTCAATTTATTGACATAATTGGTCATGATAATCTCTTATGACCCTTTGTATTTTGGTAGTATTGACTAATTTCTCCTGTTTTACTTATAGTTTTATTTGAGTCATCTCTCTTAGTTTTCTTGGTTTGTCTACCTAAAGGTTTGCCAATTTTCCTCACGTTTTTACAGAACCAACTCCTCGTGTTACTGATCTTTTCTTTTGTCTTTCTTATCTGTTTAATTCTGCTCTAACCTTTATAACTTTCTTCTTTCTTCTAACTTTTGGCTTTTTTCTTCTTTTCTAATTCCCAGAGTGCCAAGTTAGGTTGCTTATTTGGGATCATTTCTCTGTCTCGGTAGCTATCAGAACTACTTTTGCTGCACCCCGTAATTTGGTATGTTATTTGTCCATTTTTGTTTGTCTCAGGATATTTTTAAATTGTCTTTATTTTTCGGTCCATTTGTTGTTTATGAGTGTTGAGAGTGGGGTATTATAATCCCCTACTATTATCATATTGCTGTTTATTTCTTTTTTGTGTTCTGCTCATGTCTGCTCCATCCATTTTGGTGTTCCAATGTTTCCTGGGCCTATATTGAGGCACCCTAACTAATAACACTTTGCACATCAATTCATCTCATTTCTCACAAAAGCAAACAGAACAAAACTGTTCAAACATACATAAGGGAGTCCTAGTTGCTGATACAAACTTTTAGATAGTCTTCCAATCTTTTTATCCTACTTTAATTCTCCAATGATATAATAAACATCCAAGACAAAAAAAATGAAAAAAGCACAAATGATTCCTTCACTGAAATCAGGAGACAAAGGCAATCCATCAACTATAAATTACACGTAAGGAAGGGGAAGAAAGTCACGGACACTCATCAGAATTGGTACAGAAACTCCATATTGGAAGCAGGAAGTCCGGCAGAGAAGAGACCCAGTCAAGGTCACTGGTGGTGGTAATGATAAAAAATACCAGGAAATATTATTCCCCAAGAAGGAGAGGGTCCTCTCACAAGTGTAAACTGCTATACCCAAGCCTGATGAACACGGAGCCAGGTAGCAATCTGAGGATTATTGAAGAGATAGATGCAGGGAGTATACCTGGGAAAGAAGTGGTGGAGATAACAGGACAATCTTGCCTAAACTAAGGGGGTCACCATCCCAGGCATAACCACGAATAGGAAGGTGGTAGAAATGAACATGGAGAAGACAGCAGGAATGCATACAATGAAGCTGTAGGGCTTGAGAAACAAGAATATTCCCCAATGCCTGCAGTCCCTATGCAATCCACCTGGTAACAACTGGAAAGGCAAATCAAATTCTTAAAAATGAAATTAGAAAATGCAACGTCTTTCCAAAAATACTATAGAAAAAAAATAAATCTACCCCAAAATTATTGCCTTAAATCGGAGCTAAATACTGATATAAACTTCAAATACTCTACAACCCCAAATCCTTAATAAAGCAGTTTTATAAATGAGAAAACATTTTAAAACAGAAATATGATGATTCAGAGAACTGATGACCCATTAAAAAGAGACGACAATCGGCCAACAGAAAGATGTGAAATGGGAATCACCCTGAGTCAGGAGAGAATTTAAAGGGAGTGATGGGGACGAAGCTGAATGCCTGCTCCGTGGCTTGTGAGTGATTGTAAAATAATAAAGATGATGGAGAAAATATAAAAGCAAGTGTAAAGAAATAGTGATAAGCACTAGTGTAAACATATTGGCTACAATTGAATGATAAAGGAAAGGAGAATAGACATATCTTCTGAAATATTTTCTGTTCTTCCTTATGCTAGGAAACTAGTAGATACTGTGTAAAGAGAGGGAAATTAAGGATATTTTAGTCTTATAAAATATGTTTTATGCATAGGTATTTGTACATAATATACAAATCTTGTTAAATAGAAAATATTAAATACCACACAATGAAATAATTTTGAAATAAAGGCAAAGAGTTGATTTTGTCTTCTTACTGCAAAGAATTATAAGTATGTGAGGTGATGCATGTTAATTACCTCAATTTACCCATTCCACACAATATACATATTTTAAAATATCACATTGTACATGATAAATATATACAATTTTATTTGTTCATCACAAAAATTTAAAAATGGAAATTAAAATAAAGGTAATAACAAAGTGTGAGGGAATATGATTAAACTAATGGGGTATATCAATAAACACAATGCATTTAATACACTGAATAAAGAAAAATTACTATTCTCTCTGCCTGGTGGTCTCTTTTCCGATACATTGTGACCCATTTCTTCAACTGATTTAGGTCTCTTCTCTGCTCTCTTGATTATCAGAGAAGACATCTCTGAGCAGTGAATATAAAACAGTAATTATCTCCTACACACCCTGTTTTACTCTTCTTTATAATGTTTATCATTCCTGATAGTTTTTTTGCGATTATTATCTCTTCTCTACCATAGAATGTAAGATCCAGGAGATAAAGCATTTTACCATTTTTATCACTAGTGTCTTTCCAATGCCTAAAATATAGCACCTATTCCAAAACAGACGCTCAAAAATAAATGTTTCTTGAGTCAATGCATTTATTCATTTTTGAGGAGGAGAGATTGGGTTAAACAAGAGGGTTAAAAACTCAGAATAGAATGACAACCAAACGAGAGCATAGTCAGTATTAATACAGAAAATATTTACAAGACCTACTTGAAAGAAGATATAGTTGTAACACATTTTCCATGATTGTTGAGAAATTTATATTTCTGGGTACATTAACTTCTTAGGCAACTAGAGCTTACTTGTTTAATTCTTTAAGCTTAATAAATTTTAAAGTATGGAGTACAATATGCCAAGTGAAACAAGTCAGGCACAGAAAGAAAAATGCAGCATGAGCTCATTTATGTGTAAAATAAATGGAAATTGAGTAAGATAAATAGGGAGTTGAAGGGCAGTTGCCAGAGTCAGGGAAGTAGACAAATTGGGATAATGTAGGTAAAAGAAGACAAAATTACAGTTATGTAACATAAAGATATTTAGAGATCTAATGTACAACAGAAGGACTATAGTTCTATTTTATTATACATTACAAATTTGCTAAGAGAATAACTAGATTATATGTGTTTTTATCACAAAAAAGTAAACTGCAGACAGTGATGGATGTGTTAATTTGCTAGCATGTGGTAATTATTTCACTATAGATATCTACATCAAAACATGTTGTACATCTTGAGTTTATACAATAAAAAATAAAATACTCGATTTAATGACCAATCTGGACTTATTTATTTTAATGTTTATTTAAAATATTTCATGCTGTCTGTGGCCTGGTATTTGGGAGAAAGGGGGATAAAATACTTCAATCAATCATGTCAACACAATTTTTGATGAGAAATTGAAAACTGAATTGTTCAAATTGTTCCAGTTCTCAAGAGGAATGCTTCCAGATTTTACTTGTTTAGTATGATGGTGGCTGTGGGTGTGTCATAGATGGCTCTTATTTTTTTGAGTTAAGTTCATTTGATGCCCAGTATATTGAGGGTTTTTAAGAAGAAAGGATGCTGAATGTTATGAAAAATCATTTTGCTTCTATTGAGATGATCATGTGGTTTTTGTATTTAATTATGTTTATGTGGTGAATCACATTTACTGATTTGCACTTGTTGAACCAACCTTGCATCCCAGAAATAAAGCCTACTTGATCGTGGTGAATTCACTTTTTGATGTGCTGCTGGATTTGGTTTGCTGGTATTTCGTGGAGGATTGTGTGTCTATATTCCTCAGGAATGTTGGCCCGAACTTTACTTTTTTTGTCGTATTTGTGCCTAATTTTGGTATCAGAATGATGCTGGCTTCACAGAATGACTTAGAGAGTATTCCCTTCTCAATTTTTAAAATAATTTCAGAAGATTTTGTACCAACTCTTATTTATATGTCTGGTAGGAGTTGGTTGTTAATCCATCTGGTCCAGGGCTTGTTTTGGTTGGTAGGTTTTTTTTAATCACTGACTTAATTTCAGAACCCATTATTGGTCTGTTCAGGATTTCAATTTCTTCCTGGCTTAATGTCAGGAGGTTAAATAATCTTGGGTGGAGAAATAGATAAATTCCTTGTTTCGAGGGATTTATATATTTCTTCTAGGTTTTCTAGTTTGTCTGCAGAGAGGTGATCATTTGTACTTCTATGTAGTTGGTTGTATTTCAACTTTGTCATTCCTGAATTTATTAAGCATATGAAAATAATTAAAGGAATAAAGAAAATAGATTTAGAAGAAAAGAAAGTGTTCAAGGAAATTAAAAAGCATATTGAATCATAATTTTATACTTTAAATTGTTTTATCTGTGAATATAACATTTTATCATATACTATACATGAAGATAAACAGATACTTCGTGCAGTTGGTAACCGAAAGATAGCCAGAGTGGCTATGTTAATGTGAGACAAAGTGAGTTTGTGACAAAAATTTTTATAAGTAAAAAAAAAATCGTATACTGTTTGGGATCATTTGTGTATCTTCCTTGGAGAATGTAATATAGATCTTTAGATATAAAAATTGTAAACATGAATGAATGTAACAGAGACCCAAAATATATGAAGCCAAGGTGGACAGAATTAAAGGAAGAAATAAACAGTTCTATACTTATAGTTCAATACTTAAATGTCCATTTTCAATAATGCATAGTGCACTCAGACAGAATGTTAACATAGTAGTAAGTGACTAGAACAGCACTATAAACCAAATGACCTAATATATATGTGGAGAATACTGAAATAGCAGAGTATAGATGCTTCTCAAGTACTAATAACACATTCTCCAGGATAAATTGCCACAAAACAAATGAGACTAAATTTTAAAAGATTTAATTCAAAGTATCTTTTCCAATCAATGAAATAAAACTGGAAATCTGAAATAGAGGGAGAACTACAAAAGTTACACATATGTGGGGATTAAACACCACACTGTGAAGCACCGGTGGGTCAAAAAAGAAATTGGAAATGAAGTTAGAAAATATATTCAGATGACTTAAAACATAACAAAACATGTAGGATGCAGCTAAAGCAATTCTTAGAAGGAAAATTTTAGCTAGATTGCCTATACTCAAAAAAAGAAGAAACATCTAAAAACAATAATATATTTTTATACCTTAAGGAACTAGAAAAAGAAGAGCAGACTCAATACAAAGCAAACAGAAGGAAAAAAAGTATTGGAATAGAGATTAATAAAATGCAGAATAGAAAAAACAATTTGACTATTTCGAGCTTTCAAAAGATCAACAAAATATAGAAAACTTTAGGTAAACTTACCAAAGAGAGAAAGAGAGAAGTCTTACATCATGAATACATAAATATGAATATAACATGGGTACATAACAACTAGCCTTTCAGAAACACAAGCAATTATAAGAGAATATTACAAATAATTGAATACTAACTAGATACCTTCAGTGAGATGAAAACCAAATCCTGGAAACACAGAAACTACCAACACTTACTCAAGAAGAAACTTAAAGTAGTGTTAAACAACTAACACACTGAAAATTACAAAGTACTGCTAATAGCAAATAAAACATAAACCGATGAAACAACATCGCATGTTAATGGATTGGGAGACTTGTGGTTAAGATAATACAACCAAAATATATCCACAGGTTCAATACAATGCCTATAAAAATTCCATGCCTTTTTTTTTTTGCAAGAGTAGAAAACACTAAAAATCATATGAAATTACGAGCGACTGCAAAATCCAAAACAACCTTGAATAGAAAAACAAAGTTGGAAGATTTACACTTCCTGAGTACAAAATTTGCCAAAAAGATACACTAATTTTAAAAGCCTGATAACAGAATAAGGATATATGCATAAATAAATAGAAGACAATTGAGAATCTAATGAGAAATACACGCATGTGTCTATGGTCAATAATCATCTGACAAGCGTGCCACGTCCATTCAATGGGAAAAGAATACTCACTTTAACAAATTGTGCTCAGACAAGAAGATATCCACAAACAAAAGAATGAAGTGGCATTACAAATCATACTTAAACTCAAATTGATCAGGGACCTAAACATAAGAAGTAAAATTATAAAAATATGAGAAAAGATAAGGTTAAATATTCAAGACCTTAAGTTTAGCATTTTTTTTAGCATGATACCGAAAGAACGAGCAATAAGAAAATAAATAATTGGACCTCATCTAACTTCAAAATTTTTGTGCTTCAAAGGTCTCAATCAAAAAAGTGAAAAGAGAGGAGAGTGGGAAAGCTGGCAGAACGGAATTCTTTAACAATTGTATCCCCATAGAAACATCAATTTTAATAACTATTCTTACACAACATACCTTCACAAAAGCTAGTAAAGGCATGTGAGAGATCATAGAACCTGGTGATACAATTTTCATCTTGTTATAAAATAATAAGATTAGAAGCATTGAAGAGGGCAGGAAGGAGAGTTTTGATTACCTGCATTTTTTATCCCCAACCTCAGACAGCACAGTGCAGGGAGAGATACCAAACACTTGGAGAATAAAAACGGAAGTAAGTGTGGGACTTGGTCTTGGTGCCCAACACTAGGCCCACCACAGAAGAACTGAAAACCAGGCAGCCCCCACAACCACTGACTCCAGGCCAGTACACAAAGACCGAGCCTCCAGATCTACACCAACACTAGGCAGAAACCTGCAGCCCATGCAAAGCAGAATTAATTTGCAGTCATCATCACTGCCACCCACCCAGAGTGGCCTTAAGCTCTGGAAAGTATCCACTGGCAGGCAGGCCTCAGTGAACATGGGCTTCAGACTTGCATCAGTGCTGCACCAGCCCCAGTGGCCACAGGATATCATCTGGGACCCACACCAGTTCCAGTGGCCATGGGATTACAGCACTGCACTGCACCAGTCGTGGCAGTCCCAGGCTTAGGGCACCACCTAGGGCTGCCCCCACCACAGCAAACTAGAGCTTAGGGACCACACCAGACAACCTGCTCAGAATCTCTAGACAGGCTTACTATTGAAGAATGTTTCAGGATAAAACAAGTCTGCAAAGACTGGAATAAGTACCTATTATATTAGATGCATGACTGCAGACGCAAGAGAAATCAAGGAAGCATACATCACCAAGCAAACAAATGGAGATGCATAAACTACCTGACAAAGCATTTGAAATAACAGTCTTAGGGAAGCTTAGCAAACTTCAAGAAAATACACAGAAACTATTCAAACAAACGATAAAAATAATATGACCACAATGATAAACTTAGCAAATATTGGAATAACTTAAAAATCAAACAAATTCTAAAGCTGCAAAATATAATGAACAAAATGTAAAGTGCAGTTGAGACCATCAACAGCAGAATGGATCAAGCCAATGAATCTGTGAACTCAAATACAGGTTATATGAAAATAGAGAAGAGAAAAGAATGAAAAATAATAAAGGAAACATGAGATTTACTGGACAGCAACAAAACAGCAAATTTTTGAGTCATTGGAGATAAGGGAGTTGAAATGATAAAGGAGTAGAAAGCTTATATGAAGAAATAATAGAAAACTTTTCAAACCTGGAAAAAGATATAAATAACCAGGTACAGTGAGGTAAAAAGTAACCAATCAGATTCAATCCAAACAAAACTACCCCTAAGACATATTATAATCAAACCACCAAAAATTGAAGGGAAGCTTCTCTGTATTGGTGGAAGGTAGGTAGGGCTTTTCTAGCCCCTACTTCCACTCTATCCCCTGAGTTCCACCTGCACTGACTCAAGGAAGAGTAAGCATCTAGAGCTAGTGAGAATGGGAGGAACTTACAAAGTCAAGAGAGAAGCCTATTGTTCCTTGCTCACCCACAGATTACGTACTATTACTCAAGGCTTGCTGTATTTATTATAGAAGAGAAAATCTTCTTGTATTATATATCAGCTGAGTTATTGCTTATCTGAGAATCACCAGAAGTTTCCACCCGAGACAGGATAAGAGAATAGAGCCAACATGTTGGGATTTCCAGAGCAATCAAGAGAAAAGAAAATCTATTGTGTTATTATTGCCCCTGAGAAATCACACTTTTGTCTTTCCTAGGAAGCTGATGCTTACAACAATGGAGATTAGCAATACCTGGACAGAGTTGAGCTTCAAAGGATACTGAGAAATGGCTAAAGCAGGTAAAAAGAGAGAAGACTGGAACTTTGTCTATGCTTATCATCTAGCTTCAAGGAGAAACACAGTTGAGTTCAGCCATTTTGAAACAATGGTTAGAAACTAGATAAAAAGTTCTTAAGCTTTTCATTATTTATTTATTTATTTATTTATTTTTGAGACAGAGTCTTGCTCTGTGTCCCAGGCTGCAGTGCAGTGGTGAGATCTCTGCTCACTGCAACCTCCGCCTCCCGGGCTCAAGTGATTCTCCCACATCAGCCTCCCAAGTAGCTGGGGTTGCAGGTACCTACCACCGTGCCTGGCTAAGTTTTCTATTTTTAGTAGAGAAAGGGCTTCACGATGTTGGCCAGGCTGGTTTCAAACTCCTGACCTTAAATGATCTGCCAGCCTAGACCTCTCAAAGTGCTGGGATTACAGGCATGAGCCCCCGCACCCAGCCCTTAAGCTTTTTATGAGCAAATTAATATTTCAAATTAAATTGAACCAAATGGTTTTCTCATACGATGGAGCAACATTCCTCATGCTGGAAAATGAGATGCTCCTGAAGTCTTTGCATCTTGGCCCTCTACCGTTGTTTTCCACATTGATATTTATGTGTTCTGTTTAGAGACTTGATGTGTTCCCAGAACTTTCTGAAGAGCCCCACCACATCCTTGTTTCTCAGGATGTAGATGAGGGGGTTTAGCATGGGGGTGAGTACAGTGCAAAATACAGACACAGCTTGTTTCTGCTCAGGGATGTGGGAGAAACCCTGTGTCACGTATATTAAACACACAGTTCCTAAGTAAAGACCACGGAAAGATGGGAGGAGCAGTTGGCCAAAGCTTTGTTCCTACTTTAGGGGGATTTCATATGGAGGACTGTAAGGAAGATGAGGTATGAGAGGCCACAAGTCCAAGATGAAATGGATAAGAAGTAGAGAGCCACAGGCCAAGATCAAATGGGTAAAAAGTAGAGAGCCTGCATTTGAACCAGGTAGTCTGACTCAGGGTCCACACATCATCTCAATCATGGATGACTACCACAGACAGCTTGTTCCTTTCTCATCCCCATATTCTGGCTTCTCTCTTGCCATGTACACCTCCCCTTAGTCTCCATACCTGGGGCCACCTGCCCCCACAATCCTGTTCCCATAATATCTCACCTTGAATGAAGAGCTAAGCCAGGAAGGAAGCATCTGAAATAGTGTTGAAGAAAAGCTGAAGTGAGTGGAGAAGGACATCACTTTGTGTCCTTTACTTTCTGTTGGCCAATGCCTGTCTCCCGGTCTAGACCCTACCACCTACAGGTGAGGCCTCAAGCACAGCTCATCTCTGCACTGTCTCCATGTAGAACCAATGTCCCTGCTCAGATTAGATATATGAAATCCCCTAGTTGTAGATGTGGGGGCCTATGGAAATGAACCTCTCATAAACTGCTGAAGGGTACAAATTAACACAGCTTGAGAGAAGTGGCCTGGAGTGAGCTTCACTTCACACTAGGCCAGGACCACATTATTACTCCCAACAAAATAGTTTGTTTATAATCCTTTTCGTGGACTCCAGAAGAGGAAGATGGCAGATAGGAGGCAGGACTAACGTGCAGCTCCCACTTGGATGGACAGAGCAGCATGTGGAGATTCACGCTGTGAACTTTTGCTCCAAGAACTACCATAGGACATACCAGGAAAGCCAAGAGAATCCAAAGACCCTTTGAAGGAGGTGGCGGCCACTGTAGGCTCCGTGCCAAAAACTGAGTGCCAAAATGTGTGAAAGTGTAAAAGGGGGATGCTCCACCCCCAAACACAGATCCTCACTGGGGAACCTGACGGTCCACATGGTGGGAAAAGGATTTAATCTTACGCGGAGCTAAGAGGAATTTAGAGAGCCAAGCAAAATATTCGAGTAGAGGAAACAACAAGAAGAGCCCTGTGGGAAACCATTTCGGACTTTGTCTTGCAGGGGTCCTTTGGGAGGGCTGCCAGTGGAATTGGGGAAAGACTACAAGGAGAAGCAAGCTTTCAGATGAATTTTGTAATAATCTTGACTAACGTGAAGCTTCCTGGACAGAACCTGGGGGAGGGGGCAAACTGGGAGTGCAGATACAAGCTCAGAAGCTGAGGCAGGCAGAGAGGCATGAAACCTAAAAGCCCTGCTTGCTTTCTTCATGAGGGGCTTGTAGCCTGGGGCAAGTTCTCAGCCCTGCTCACCAGCTGCCTGGAAAAAACTCAGTGCTACTGGGGGCACAAGGTGGGAGTGAGACTGGCCTTTTGGGCTGCCTGGGAGCTGAGTGAAGCATGTAACTGCCCGTTCCCCCCCTTCTCTGGTGACCTGCATGACCCAGCAGAGGCACTCATAATCCCCGTGGAAACATAACTCCATCAGTCTGAGGACCACACCCCAATCCCACACAGCAGCCACACAGCAAGCCCCGCCCAAGGAGAGTCTCAGCTCAGACACGCCTAACACTGCCCCCACCTCTTGGCCTTTCTCTACCCACCCTGGGAGCCAAAGACAAAGGACATAATCTCATGGGAGCTCTGAGGCCCGGCCCATTGCCTGAGAAATCTGGATACTTATCCAGGTAACCCTAAGGCAAGCTCGTATCTTCCCTACACTACTGCAGCTGATGCAACTCTTGAAAGAATCAACTGCTGGCTGGAGACCAACCAGCAAACTTATCAAAAATACAGCCAAGGACCCTCACAGAGTCCACTTCACTCCCCTGCTCCCTCCACCACAGCATGTGCTGGTATCCATGGCTGAGAGACCTGAAGACAGATCATACCACAAGACTCTTTGCAGACACTCTCCGGTACCAGCCAGTACCAGAGCACAGTAGCTTTGCTGGGTGGTTAGATGTGGAAGAGAAATAACAATCTCTGCACTTTGTTTCTCAGGAACCCCCATCCCTAGAAGAAGGGGTAGAGCACCACATCAAGGGAGCACCCCATGGGACAAAAGAATCTCAACAGCAGCCCTTTAGCCCCAGAACTTCCCTCTCACATAGTCTACCCAAATGAGAAAAATCCAGGAAAACCATTCTGAAAATATGACAAAACAAGATTTTCTGACACCCCCAAAAGATCACACTAGCTCACCAGCAATGGATTCAAACAAAGGAGAAATTTCTGAATTGCCAGAAAAAGAATTAAGAAGGTCAATTATTAAGCTACTCAACAAAGTACCAGAGAAAGGTGAATACCAACTTAAATTTAAAAATGTGTTACAGGACATGAATGGAAAAATCTCCGGAGAAACAGATAGCATAAATAAAAAACAATCACAACTGCTGGAAATCAAGAACACACTAGAAAAATGCAAAATACACTGGAAAATCTCAGAAATAGAATCAAACAAGTAGAAGAAACAAGTTCAGAGCTTGAAGACAAGGCTATTGAACTAACCGAATCCAGCAAAGACAATTAAAAAACACACCTTTAACTGTGTTTTCTTATACTTCGGGCTTTTTGTAGGTTAATGACTTTTCTTAATTCCTAAGTACCATCTGAGTAATTAGTCACATGGTTATAAAGAATATCAAATGTCAGACTAAATTCTTTTCAAGCTTCCCTCAGCAGCTTAAAGTTGAAACCTTTTCATTCCTTCTTCTATAATCTTGGGTATTTGAAATGGGTATTCTCCCACTTGAACATAGGCAAAATCTAATTTCTTGTCTCTACCCTATGGAATCTCATTTAGTAATTATTTCTAAACTTATCCTGATGCCATGCATCATTGGTTTGTTATAAATATATCTAAAGGAGTACACAACATTTACTAAAGAAACACATTCCCCGTGTGATGTGTCCTGATAAGAAAAATGACCTCCAAATTTACATTCCTGTACAGGTATGATGATTTCACTCTACCATACTTTATTTTATACCCATCTATTGTTTCTTCCACAAATATACATAACTGGAGTCATAGCCAAAACTTGTATTGCCTGGGCCTATTTGAGCATAAACAGCAGGTATTAGCCCTAAATAGGGGGTCTTCTGCCAACTTGGGTGTGTTAGGAAACATGGACAATATTCAAAATGGCCTGCAGGACTCCAGTTTCAAAGTGAAAGATACCATGCCCATCCAAGACATTGCAGTTTGCCTTTCCCTGATGATTAGTGATGTTGAGCACTTTGTCATATACGTGCTAGCCATTTGTATGTCTTCTTTTGAAATATGTTTTTCGATGTCTTTTGCCCATTTTTAAAATCAAATTATTTGTGAGATAATTTTGGTACTCAGTTACTTGAGTTCTTTATATATTCTGGATATGAACCCCTTGTCAAATGCATTGTTGGCAAATCTTTTCTCCCACTCGTATGTTATCTATTCACTCTGTGAATTGTTTTCGTTATTGTGCAGAACCTTTCAGTATGATGTAATCTCATTTTTTAATTTTTTATTTTTTCCCTGTGATTTTGAGGTTCTACTTTAAAAATTCTTGCCCAGATCAATGTAGTGATGATGCATTCTGCCTGTGTTTTCTACCAGAAGTTTTACAGTTTAAGATCTGATATTAAAGTCTTTAATCCAATTTGAGTTTAAAATAGTGAAATAAGTGTCTAGTTTCATTCTGTATTTGGATATGCATTTTTTGCATCACCATTTATTGAGGAAGTAGTGCTTTTCTTGGTGTATGTTCTTTTCAACTTGGTCAAACATCAGTTGACTATAAATGAGTGAATTTATATCTGGGCTCTCAGGGGTTCTCTTCTGTTTGTGTGTCTGCTTTTATGCCAGTACCATTCTCTTTTGATGTTTAATAGCTTGTAGTATATCGGGTAGTATGATGCCTACATATTCATTCATTTTGCTCAGAATTGCATTGGCTATTTGGAGTCTTTTTTGCTTCCATATGAACTTTAGGATTGTTTTTTTCTATCTCTGAAGAATATCTTTTGTATTCGGATAGTGATTGCTTTAATTCTGTAGCTCTCTTTTGGTAGATGGACATTTTAATGATATCAATTCTTCTAATCCACGAACATGGGGAATCTTTCCATTTATTTGTGATCTCTTCAATTTCTTTCATTAGAGTTGTATAGTTTTTCTTGAAGAGATCTTTTACTTTGGCTAAATTTATTCCTAGTTATTTTGTATTTACTTTAGTTTTTGTAAATGGGATTGCCTTATTTCTCTTTCAGATTGCTCACTGTTGGCCTATATAAATGCTAATTTTGTATGTTGATTTTGTATCTTGCAAATTTACTGAATTCATTTATCAGTTCTCACAGTTTTTGCTGGTGTCGTTAGGATTTTTTTAATATATGACCATGTCATCTGTAAACAGGGAAAATTTCAGTTCCTTCTTTCCAATTTGGAGGCCTTTGTTTCCTTCTTTTACCTAATTGCTCTAAGACCAGACACAGCTTCTCTTTTTTCTCTCCTGAATTCATGGGAATTCAGGATGTTATTGTTTTTGAATAGTTTCCAGTTCTATTTTTGTGGGTGTGGATGAATGATGCTGGAGGATCTTCTATTCATCTATCTTGTTGCTATAACTCCTCTCTATGAGTCTTTCTTAACTTTTTAAAGATACAGTTTGCTGTTAGAGTATAGAAACTCCAATTTCTGTCTGTTGATTTCCTGAAACTTTCCTGAATTTGTTAGGGAATAGTTTTTGTTGAAGGCTTTATGTTTTTTTATATGTAATATTACTTTATTAACAAACAGAAACATGTCACTTCTTCCTTTCCTATTTACATTTCTATTTATTTTTCTTCCCTAATTGCTTTAGCTGGGACTTTCAGTGCTATGTTACATAAAAGTGGCAAGAGTGACCGTTCTGGTCTTTTGCTGGATCTTAGAGAAAAAGCTTTCAACATTTCATCATTAAGTATTATGTCAGCTGTAGGCTTATCATATATGGCCTTTGTTATGGTGAGATACATTCCTTGTATACCTAATTTGTTGAGAGTTTTGGAATTTTGTCAAATGCTTCTCTCCACCTAAATAATCATAAAATTGTATCATTCATTCTGTTAATGTGCTATGTGATGTTTATTAATTGGCATCTGTTGAAGCATCCTTGCATCCCTGGGATGAATCCCATTTTATCATGATGAATGCTTTTTGAAATGTGCTTTTAAATTCAGTTTGCTAGCATTTTTTGAGGAATTTTACATCCATGTTCCCAAATGATATTGACCTGTAGTTCCTTTTTCATTCCCATGTCCTTCTCTGGCTTTGGTATTAGGATAATTCTGGCCTTGTATAATGAATTTGGAAGTATTCCCACTTCTTCAATTTTTTGGAAGTGTTTGAGAATAATTGGTATTAGTTCTTTAAATTTTTGATAGAATTTTGCAATGAGTCCATATTGTCCTGGGCTTTTTTTTTTTTTCTGGTGGGAGACTTTTATTACTACTTCACTGCATTATTCATTATTGGTTTGCTAAGATTTACTATCGTAGGATTTATGTATCAGTCAATTCATGTCTTCCAGCTTATCTAATTTTTGACATGCAATTATTCATTATACTTTCATAATCTTTTGTATTTCTGTGGCCTCAGTTGTAATATTTCCTTTGTAAATTTCTGATTTGAACCTTCTTAGTCTAGTTTATTTTGTTTTTTCACAAAACAACTCATCTGATGTTTTGCATTGTTTTTATCATTTTTTTATTTCTCCTCTAATCAATATTAATGTATCTACTAATTTTGAGTTTAGCTTATTCTTGTTTTTCTAGTTAATTAAGGTACAATATTACCTTTCCTTATTTGAAGTCTTTCTTCTTTATTGATGTAGCCATTCATTGCTATAAACTATAAACTTCCTCTTTGAACTGCTTTTGCTGTGTCCTGTAGGTTTTGGTATGTTGAGTTTTCCATTTTTATTTGTCTCAAACAACCTTTTATTTTCCCTTTTAATTTTTTCATTGACCCATCTATTGTTTAGGAGCATATTATTTAATCACCATTTATTTGTAAACTTTCTGAGAATTCTTGCATTCGTTTATAAACTGCTGTGATCAGAAAAGATGATTGATATTATTTTGAACTTCTTATCTTTAAGACTTTTTTGTGGTCAAACATGTGATCTAACCTAGAAAATGTTTCATGTGCAATCGAGTATAATGTGTATTCTGCAGCTACTGAATAAAATGTTTTGCATATGCTTTTTAGGTCCATTGCCCTAGAGTGCAACTTGAAGCTGTTATTTCATTGTTTACCTCCTGTCTGGATAGTCTTTCCATGGCTGAAAGAGGGGTGTTGAAGTTTCTTAGTATTATTTTATTGCTATCTATCCCCTTAGATCTATTAATACTTTATGTATTTAGGTTAATGTTTCATACATAGTCACAATTATTATATACTTTTTGTTGAATTGACTTTTTAATCATTATATATGATCTTCTTTGTCTCTTTCTACAGTTCTGGACTTCAGTCTATTTTATCTGATATAAGCATAGCTACTCCTGCTCTTTTCTGGTTACGACTTGCATGGGATATCCTTTTCAACCACTTCACTTCGTCTGCATATGTCCTTGCAGGTTAAAGTAACCTGTTGTAGTTGGCATTTTTTATACATTCTGCCACCAGATATCTTTTGATTGGATAATTTAATACATTTACATTTAAGATAATTTTTGATACATAGGGACTTAATGCTACAATTTTGTTAGTTTTCCAGTTGTTTTCTAGAGACTTTGTTCTTTTCTTCCATTCTTACTATCTTCTTTTAAGGTTAAATGATGTTTTTTCTAGTGGTATGCATTGATTCCTTGTTTTTTAAAAATTTTTGTATGTCTACTACAGGTTTTTGCTTTGTAGTTACCACGAGACTTACCAACATATTATAACAGGTTATTTTAGGCAGCTAACAATTTTTAGCACAATAAAGCTCTACAAAAATCATTTTTCATGAAATTTTGCTACATTTCCTTTCACAAGGATGTTTTAAAGATAACCATCAAATGTGTCTATAATTATAATCCAGCAAATTGAGAGTTGACAAATGCTCTTTAATTCATACAAAGTTAGAGTATGCATTTTATATTGTCTGAGTTCAGGAAAAATATTAAAAACTAGTTCTCTCATATTTTTCCAAAGCACTACAGAATCTTTATATTATAGTCATAAAATAATTGAGTGTGGTGAGAGAAAAGAAGAATGTGTACTGTTGAAAACACCTGATTATTCGCAAGTTGTACATAGCCAATTAGGAAGTTATAGCATGCAGCTACCACATGTATGCTTTTAGGTAACAGGTTCAGCAGGCCCCACCTCAAATGCCCTCCTATCAGCCTATTCTCGGGTAAAGGCATGGTCGACTCCACTTAGATCAACATCATTTAGATCACCATTCTCATGTACCTGGTCTCTATGTTTTTGGTCTTGCACATCTCCAATTGATCACCACACAAATAACATTTCTAAAATACAAATCTGATCATTTCACTATTGTTTGTAAAACCCTGGGCCACACAAGGGCAAGAAATAAGCCTAACATGAAATAAGAAAGATCTACTGGGCATTGATCTCTCTCGCTTGCTCAGCCCTGTCTTTGCTCATGCTGTGCCTTTTCCCTTGCAGCGTGTCTCAGCAAGTTCCCCTGGCTCCAACATCACACACTCATCTGAGGGTAACTTTTCGTCACTATTCAGCACTGAGCCCCGGAGTCTCCTCTCAGCTCCTTGTTTGAACTCAGATGTCACAGATAGAATTAGTGTGTCCTTATGAGCTGCACCCTTCACACGAGTATCAAAACAGCTTATTTATTTTCTTACATTTGTTTGCATAAACAACTACATGTATTTTTCAAACTCCTTGGTAAAAGCCATGTGCTATTCAAAATTTAATCTTATTTAACTATTTTTAATTATAAAATAGTACAAAATGCTTGTTAAATAAATGAAGGATTGAATGTTGATGCCATCCCTCTGCTTGTTTGTATAACAAGTTACATGTTTGAAATCTCAGCTCAGGAATCACCCTGGGCAGGTAACCTTCCTTAAAACTCCTTCCACTCAGGTGTCATATTTTTTCTGCAGTCACTTATGTGGTCCTACATCCTCAATACACCACATGGCAGTAATTATTTCGGAGAGATAAATCCACTAGACGCCATCAGAATTGGACCATGCAGAAAAATGTAGCCCTCAATAAAGAAGGGGCGATGACTGGATTTTCTCGGTAATGATTAGATATAATGAAATGAGCATGATTTCTAAGATGTCACACTGCCACCAAGCAGAAAGGAGAATATTTTCAAAAAGGGAGAAAAGCCTGGTATTTAATTATTTGTAAATGATTTCAACTTCACAAAAATCATTAAAAAACAATAGTACAATTAATACCTATATACCCTTTACCCATACTCATGTGTGGCAGCAACATTGAACTCAGTTTGTTTCATTGCCCCTCTCTATCTCCCTCCCTCTTTCCCTCTCATCATTTGAACACCTCATGACCTTTTTGTCTCTAAATATTAAGTATTTCCTGAGGTTAAGAATATTTTTTCACAAAATTAGAGAACAGTTATCAACTTCCAAAAATGTTACATTAGTATAACACAATTGTAAAAGAATTTTGGATGGACAAAGACTATAAAATAGAGTTTCCACACAGTGAAAGAATTCCTCAAAATGAGATGAATATGAGATGAGGCATCATTGTATGAGAGTCTAAGGAATAACAGGGATAAAATCCTAAGTATCTGATGGGTAGAGAAAAGGAAAATAAATCTTTATATCCAAATTTCCTACTTTATAATTTCCTAAAGGACGAATCTCACAGTTAACATTTTCTTCAGAGCCCCCATGACATCCTTATTCCTAAGACTATAGATTAAAGGGTTCAGCACCGGAGTGAGGATGGTATAGAAGACAGATACCATCATGTCCTTCTCAGGGGTGTGGTAGGAGCTGGGGAGCATGTAGGTGTAGACGGCAGCCCCATAGAAGAGGATGACCACAGTCAGGTGGGAGGAGCAGGTGGCAAAGGCCTTTTTCCGGCCCTCTGCTGAGTTCATCCTGTGGACGGTGAGGAGGATGAGTAAATAGGAGCTTGAAATGATCGTCACAGGGATGAGGAGCATGAGGACACAGCATAGGTACATGAGGGTCTCATAGAGTGAGGTGTCTGAGCAGGACAGGATCGTTACAGCAGGGACTTCACAGAAGAAATGATGAATCTCCCAGGATCTGCAGAAGGGGAAGCTCATGGTGATGGGAGTGAGCATGAAGCCATCCACTGAGCCCAGGAACCAGCAGCCCGATGCCAGGAAAAGACAGACCCTATGGTTCATGAGGACAGGGTAACGGAGAGGATGGCAGATGGCCACGTAGCGGTCATAGGCCATGGTGGCTAGAAGGAAAAATTCCGAACCTGCTAGTGTCAGATAGAGGAACATCTGCATCCCACACTCAGGGGCTGAGACCTTATTCACACCCATGACCTGGTCCAGGAGCATCTTGGGCACAGTGACAGAAATGTACGCCATGTCCATGAGAGACAATTGACTGATGAAAAAGTACATGGGGCTGTGGAGGTGGGCGTCACAGTGTATCAGAAGGATCAGGACAGCATTTCCAGACAACGCCTTCAGGAAAACCACAAAGATGACCACACTAAGTAGAGCTGGATGTTTGGATCGTCTGAAGAGTCCCATGAGGATGAAATCCAACCTTCCAGTGTGGTTGGCCATCCTGGTGATGTTGGCCATGAGGTTTCACCTAGGCCACCAAGGAGAGTTTTGGAGTCAGTGTAACGCGTCCCTTTGTAATGAGTGTTTAGTGAGTACTCACATTTGTGTATGCTCATTGTGCTAACCTGAGTCCCGTGGGTCTGGGGATTTGAGTATATAAATGACATATAACAAATTCACAAAACAAACTAAGAATTCACAACTATAGGCCAGAAGAATTGGTAACTGATAGTAAGGTTGTCACGGTTCAAATTCATAAACTTTCCTGATGATAATGCCATTTATCAACAAGTACTGAAAATTTGCAGAACCTCCCTCCTCTGCTAACACAAACAGTGACTCATTGAAAGAAAGATAAAGCAAACTCCTTATTGTAGAGTTTTTGTCATAGACAGCTGAATTGAATCAACATCGCTGGTTTAAGAAACAATAGGCATCTTCAAAATACTCAGAGGTATATATGATATAAGAAAGATTTAGCAAGTAACTAAAGCGTAACTTGGAAAAAAAATTATGCCAGATGTTTGAACCTCCTCCTCCCATAGGATCAGGCCATGCTGTGAGGCTCTGTGATTGCGTGGAGCGAGCCTCACATTCTCATGAGCAGGGAAGGGTCCTCACACACAGCTGACCCTTTAGACATCGAGAGACGTGAAGTGAGGAGCCCACACACAGTAGACTCCAGCTATGGGTCCACCTTTTTCTCTGTCTGCCATTCCTTTCTCCAATCTACATCAAAAAGGATAAAAATCATGTTTGAGCTCAGGTGTGGTGAGGGTAAAATGAGGAAATGTAATGAAAGTGCTTAGAATAGTACAGTTTCCGATGAATAAACACATATACTCTTAGTGTAGATGTTAACTCTTTAAGCTAACTATTCTGCACAACCTAAGAGATTGTTGCTACTATTATTATATAAGATATATTACTTCCATTCTCCAGATTCAGTACCTATTCATACATTTAAGAAGCTGACTTTCAAAATAAAAATGGCAGAAGTTCTGCAAAATAAAGCATATGACCCACTTTAAAAAAAAACAATTTGGATTTTATATTTGTGTGTTTATGTGTAAATACTCTGGTTTTATATAAATATATATAATATATTTATGTAAACATACACAGGTGAATATATAACTATAACATTTCTTATTTTAACCCTGGTTATGCAGAGCTTTTTGGAGACTCCTATGTCCTTCCTGCCTAGTATGTGGTCCTCCAACCTCATCTCCTTAAAGCTCCTCTCATTTTAAAGCTCATTAAATCTCAGCGAGGAAGAACTAGAATTTGGAGGGTCACTGCTGTTTATCAGACAAGGCTTTAGTTGTTTTTGCAAACCTCATGTGCTTTATTACTTGCCACAATCAATCTTTCATACAAACTGAGAAGCAGGGAGGAAAATCAAACAACACTGAGGCATCTGACTTCAACTCACTGTTTCTCCCTCTACCGTGACACTCACAGCCTGTGTTATACTGACGATGAATCGCCTCTGACTTCAACTCACTGTTTCCTTCTCTATCATGATACTCACAGCCTCTGTGTTATATGCAGAAGATGAATCAAAGAAAAATTGAACTTGAGTGCACTTAAGGAGGTCACAGTCAGTCTATTCAGGGAACAACTATTATGTAAATGTGATTTGAAGTTGAATTTTTAAATAGTTACAAAATAAATAAGGGCAATAGACACAAAATATATCTGGCCGTTCTGAAATAATCCATAATAGCTGTTTCCACATTTTCTCTGAAAGAAATTAAAACTTTCCAACTTTTCAACTTCTGACATATTAAATGTTAAATTTTGAGAGCCCTTGCCAAGAATAAGGACATAATAACTCCTCTTTCTGGGAAGACTTTAGCTGTGATTATGATGCAGGGACATTTTGGAATGAATTTACAAGTTTCAAATATATTTTGTATTCTTGTAGTAATTACAAAAAGTATTTAAGACATTCAACTCACCAAAACTTCCAACATTCTGGGATGCTTCGGTGCTTTAATATAAATATCCAACAAATCTGAGACACATTTTATGTACATATGTATATATATGAATAGATGATGATGATAGATAGATAGATAGATAATGTGTATCAAACACTACCCCTACTGGCAAATGGTGGCTGAGATCTGTGTACAATTTAAAAACATTCCAATAAACTGCAAAACACACCTGCTGACCTCGTCCATTATTTGTGGCCAAAGTGAAGCAAGGACCAGAGGAGCGACCAGCACATGTGAAGACCTAAAAGGTGTTTGCTCAGTAAATTGAGGGGGAGCAGGAGGGCAGGGAGATGCGGGGTTTCCTAAGAAATCTCTGCTGCTCTTTAGGAAATGGCCATCACTATCATTAAGCCACTATCATTAAGCCACTATCAACAGCTCAACCAGGACACGGGACAGATAAGGGAACACTATCCACACACAGTGAACTGGCCCCCTGTTCATTCTTCTTCTGTACCCGCTTGTTTGACTTTCATGTAAATTGCTTAATGCATGTTTAACTTGGGGATTTATTATAAGTATAAATGGAGTCAAACCTTTATTTGAAGCATACAGCATCCCAGGAATTGTTCTAATACTAATACTAAAATTAATACTTTACATTTCTTCTTTCCCAAGAGCCTATGAGTTACTTCCTATTATTTTCTCTCTTTACATATTAAAAAATGCAGGTTCTCAGGGTACCTGCCTAATATCACACACCTAACCTGAGATAGAACGCACGTCTCAGCCCGAGAGTGAGAGCCAGCGCACGTAACTCTGCCTGATTCCTCTCAGGGACACCATCCTCCCTCTGCAGTCTACACTTTGGATTTAGGCCACTGTCTGTGGGTTTCATCAAGGAAACATAAAATGATTGAGACATTGTTTCTAGTGTTTTGTAACCCTCAGAAATAATCCCCTCTCAAAAGAAAATCAGTCACTTTTCCTCTATAAAACTTCAGTGACAGGAAAATAAATACATCATTGTATGAAAATCTAAAACTATAGAATATATATTATTATGTCCATAAATAATTGGAAATTAAAAATCCATTTACCATTATGTCACAGTAAATAAGTGTTGTATAGAAGTTATAAGAAAGAATAACATTTGCTTTTCTCCATTAAAAACAGATGATAAAGAAAAAATGAGGAAATGCTGTGAAGAACTAATAGAACGTTTCAGAAGCAGAACAAGTCGAGAGCAGTGATGACCCTTTTGTTCCTGCTAGTACCTCCTGTCTGTCTGGCCGAACTCACCATCAGATGATGTCTTGAACCTCACCTAGATGGGCTGGTGGTGTGTGGCCAGGTTAAGAGCACCAACAGGAGTAAGAAAGTGACCTGCCTGGTTTTACCGTGTGTACTAGGGGAGGGGTTGAAAGCTTTCGGTTGATACATCACCTCTGGGAGTTGAAGAAGAATGCAATTAAGAGAGCTAAAGAAGTCAGTAGGTATCTCTCCTGAACAATTCTGGTTTTCTTCTAATAGCTTTTACAATTTTTACCTCTGTTATGAAATGCAAACTTTTAACCAATATTAGTAATAGTAATCTCAAATCTCATCATCATCAAAATCTTATTTATGAAATATAGGAGTTAGTTCATATACAGCCTTAGCCTTTTCCACATTATAAAATATATTCCATATATATGTGTGATCTTCATTTAATATTCAAGTAAATGTTGTAAGATATTGTTATTTTTATTCTAACATTTCACAGGTATAGAATCTGAAACTCAGAGGTCAACTGATGTGTCAAAGATACCTCCACAAATCAGTACCTTGATTAAAACTAAAATTGGAGTCATCTTCATATCTCCATCTTTCTCCCTCTTCATTAGGACCGATTGTAGTCTGTTTCCCTCTCACTCACTTGCAATCTTTATTGCTTTAGTGTTGCATTTGATTTTTATCTTTGTTTTTGTTTTAAATACTGTCATTAAAGTCATAGAAAAATCTAAAATAAAACTGGTTGAATAAAAATTTTAAAATCGACTCTAATGTAATAAACCAGACAAAAATGATACTTTAAATGTTATATCTTCCCTTTAAACTACAAATATTCATTGAGTGTATACCCTGTATTAGGCTGTTGGAATAAAACAGGGAAGAAGACAGAAGAAACTGCACCGCCATCTTAGATCTTGCAGCCAAATTCCTCTGAACTTTTCTCTAAAGACGTGCTCTGGAAAAATGTTGATCAGTTTCCTACATCATGGAGGTCTTTTCATGACCACCTTTGTCTAGACAATGTCCTGTTTTTAGGTGCACGTTTGAGGGCTGGAGTCTCTGACCCACAGTGCTGCAGCCTGCACGTGGTTTGTCCTGACTTCTTTGCTACTTCACTTTTCGTAAGGCTCTGAGAGTGCAGGCCCTTGTGGGTGGACACTGCAGGGTGAGAGGAAGAAGTAAACTACTTTTTTCCGTTTCTGATGGGGGTGTGGGTCAGCAGCTATAAGCAACAGGGACCATGGGGGGCCTCAGACTTCAGCACCTGAGAGGCAGTTTCAGTCGTATTGGGGAGATGCAGGCATCTGGGTTGCTGCACATCACCAGGGCAGGGTTCTCTCAGCAGCCCTGGAGTGCAGAGTTCCCATCAGCTCAGCAGTGAGGGGCACATGGGGCTCCAGTGGTGAGGACTCTTGGTCCTTGGATGACAACACTCCCCTGCCCACTTCTCCAGCCTTCCCTGTAACCCTTTGCCACCTCTAACCAATCTTCTGTGTTACATCTCTTCGGTTTGCAATATGTAGTGTTCGTATATGACTGGACAGTATCTACTGGAGTTAATATCTATCAGAGTAATTATATCACAATTGCAATCTTCTCCTAAGAGTGAATAGTGACATTAAAAATTTCAACATTATAAATTATGCAGAAATAAAACTAATTATACAAAAAATACACTCTGAATGTCAGTTTTTCCCTGAGACAATCTACCATTTGATATACGGTGATTCACACTTCTTAATATACAACATTGAATTACTTTTCCAAAAGCCTCTTCAAATTTTGCTGCAGAATTAAACTTCACTTGCACCAGCTCTGAATTATGTGTGCTTTTCCTTCTTGGTCAATTTCATAGGTGTATCATTATTTGTCTTTTTTAATTAATATGTTTATATAACTTTTCATGTTTATCCATGTAACTACTGCTTTTGTGAAACGTGTGTTTTTATCCTTTTCACATTTTTTTCTATTGAAATGTTTTCTTTATAAATATAAATGTGTTTTTGGTATGAAAATAATAACTGGCCAGATGCGGTGGCTCACACCTGTAATCCCAGCACTTTGAGAGGCCGAGGTGGGTGGATCACCTGGCCTCAGGAGTTCGGGACCAGCCTGGCCAGCATAGTGAAACCCCATCTCTACTAAAACTACAAAATTAGCTGGCGTGGTAGCACGTGCCCTGTAATCCAAGCTACTTGGGAGGCTGAGACAGGAGACTCAGTCGAACCTAGGAGGCAGAAGTTGCAGCAAGCCAAGATCACGCTATTGCACTCCAGCCTGGGCAAAAAGAGCGAAACTCTGTCTCAAAAAGAAGAAAAAAAATAGTAACTCTTTGTGAATAGTATCAACTAAAATATTTATATTTCAGTTTTCATTCTGATATTTTGTTTCATCAGAATTTTTTAAAGTATTTTGTTTAATATATTAACTTTAATAATTTCATTAACTGTCTCGTGCTTACAAAGTCTTTATGCATTTGGGGATTATGTAAAGCATCTACCTTTACACTTTTAATGAGTTTCAGAGGTTTTTTGGTACCTTTGAGTTATAATACAAAAATAATTTATTTGGGTGTGATATGCAGTGAATTGCTAACATTATTGCTTTTAATTAAAGATTAAATTCCAATGTTGAATGATATTTTCTTTAATTTCAAAAATAATTAGTAACTGTTCCAGGCACTATCTAGGTTTATGATGTTTGAAACAAAGATTCTTCCCACACAGCATTTATATACTAGTGGTAAATACAGGCAATAAACTAATAAATATGTAATGAAATATCAAGTATTAATAATCACAGTGAATAAAAAATAAAGGCAGAGAGATGAGATAGGAATGATTAGCGAATCTATTTAACACAGGCTAGTTAGGAGCCCTTTATTTAGAAGGTGAAATTTCATCAGATCCGTAAATGAAGCAATGGAGTCACTCGTAAACAACGGGGCAGAGATGTTTAAGCAGAGGAAACAGAGAAAGTTAAAAGCTGTGAGACTGAAAGTAACTTGCAACGTTTGAACAGCAGCAAGAAGATCTGTGGCCCCAGATTGAGGTGAGAAAGTTGGCAAAACAGAAAATGGGGTTAGAAATGGAGCCAAGAACAGGTCGTATAATATCATGATGGTCCTGGGAAGGACCAGGGACAGGCAGAGGTGTGTTTAAGAAAGGGAAGACAAAAGTATACACGGCACTCAAGAGAGTGCATGTGCACTTAGAAAAAGAAAGGAAGTCTCAGCCAATGTTTGGCCCCTGTCTTCTAAGAACTCTTCAGGAAGTTTACCAGGCATGCTCACAGTCTGTTCTGACTGTAGCCTGGCTTCCCCTCCCCACCCCACCCCACCATACAACTCCCAGCAACAGACAGCACTCAGAGAATCTCCAGAGAGTGAAGGGCCCCAAAGCTTTGACTCTCCTTGCTTCTTGGTTAATCCCACTCTGAGATATCACTGGAGGACGGACAGAGAGGAAAGACATTTGGAACAGGTATATGATTATCACTGAGAAGGCTTGAGCGAGAATGCAGGAAAGGGTTTGAGCTAGTCCTGATGAGACATATGGTGTCTGGGCAAGGGGTGTGGTGGAGGAGGAGAAGTTGGATTGCCGTTTATACACACAGGAATATTGGGGCTGGGCAGGTTGGCATGGAACGCTGAAACTGAAATTTGGGACTCCAGTTGCCCAGTACACATCTACATGAAGATGATGCAAGGCTAGTGTATACACGAATCCAGAGTTCATAAGAGAAGGCAGTCCTAAAATCATGGTTTTGAGAACCAGTGTGTGTGGAGGAAACAACGGGATCACACAAGGAAGGAGGGTCAACATCTTATACCAGAAGCCAGTGCAGGGGAGGCTAAGTTTCCACATTATCTCTTCTTTTCCATTGGTCTTTCACTGAATTCCTTTAAAATATCTTGTTTTATTG
The DNA here is from genome assembly GCF_000001405.40 of Homo sapiens. Classification (NCBI taxonomy): domain Eukaryota; kingdom Metazoa; phylum Chordata; class Mammalia; order Primates; family Hominidae; genus Homo; species Homo sapiens. The sequence continues at coordinate 208,539 of NW_025791755.1, forward strand.
GGTGTCCCCTCATGATAATTTTAAACAACTAGTGAAACAATTCTTGTCTTCATGTATGTTCATGTTCAAAATAAGCAAGTTTTTGTTTTTCCTTTCAGTTGATCTATTTGGCTAGGTTCAAAAGATCTAACTAATTGTATTGATTAGAATACAATGAAATACATTTGGGAAGAATTGATATTGTTAAAATGTTGCAGATTTTTATAAACAAGCACAATAGGTCTCACAGAGATATCCAAATACTTAGAGGTCGGGTCTGGATTTTGAAGTAATTTTAATAAAATTCTTCCACAATAATTGAGATTCTGAGATATTTTTATAATTTAATTTTTTGGAGAATATTTTTCATTTAAAAATACTTAAAAAGCATTAACAGTGACAGAAAAGCTATTGATATATATTTTTTCAACATTAATATTTATGGTGGAAACCCTGCTTAAAGTTCTACTTTTTTTTTACATTTTAAATGTAAACTGAGAAAATATTTATAAAAACAAAAATAACATTTTAAGAATTAAACTATAAATATATAAAACATGTCAAACATTTTGTAAATGATCCTGAAGGCACCATCAGAGATATAAAGAAATGCAAGATACATGCACAGAACAAAGGAAGAGGGGCCACCACCTTTATGGACTGGAGGTCAGGATATCAAGCCAAAGAGGACCTCAAGTCCTGAAATCTAACGAAACTTGCCCTGCCAGGCTTCAAGTTTGCTTTGGCTCTAAGACTTCTATTTAACTTCCAATTTCTCTTTTTCAGAATAGGAATGTCTATCCTATATGTGAGTGTCACTGTTGCATTTTGACAGCAGATAACTTGCTGTCTGGTTTCACAGGTTTTAAATTAACTTATTGAGTAAAATCTAAGTTGAATAATGTGCTAGAGAAATATTCTTAATACAAAGAGATTAAAAACATTAGCAAGATGTTTGAAGAGGAGCTCCTATAATCGTATCCCCTCAAAGCAGCAATAATATAGCAGCCTGTCTGGCACAAAAGTCCCTTGGTGGGAACTTCTGGATCTTGACAGGAAGTGTCAAAACTGGTGAATCCCAACACTGAAGAGAGCTATTTTGAGAAGGCAGGGCCACACCCAGGTGGCAGGCTCACTGACTGTGGTCCTGGCTACAGACACAGAATTAACATCCCTCTGGACTCAGCTAGTGCCCTGTTTGGCATTGGTCCTGCCACCTGAACCATCTGCCAAGGGGCCCAGGGGCACTCACATTGACCAGTACCCTCAAGTAACAGGCCTGCTAACCTTAGTTCTAGCTCTGAACCCTGAAGCAGTCCATGACCCAGCTCCAGTCCCCCTCAGCCATGGTCTGGGAATAGACCTTCCTGCACAGAGACCTGCCAGGAGGCAACCCTGTTCATGTGCCTAGAGGCAGGCTCTCAAAACTACGTCCGACTGCCAATCTTGAAGCAGCTCTGTTACTTGGCACCCTTTTCCATTGTTCAAAAGCAGTCCTGCCCACTCAGTGACCTCCTGGGTGACACATTGATCGATGCCCCTGTAAACAAGACTGCTGACATCAGTCAGCTGGAGATCCTGAATCAGCCCTCTTATCCAGCTCCAGCTTCCATTCAACCACAGCTTGGGGATATCTTATATCTTATATTTACAGGGACTATGCAGGAGGTACACCCATCCATGCAGGACAGAAGACCTCAGACTCAGCTGTGGTCCATGACACAGCCCTGAGACTCAGTTCCAGGTCCTCTCAACTGTGGTCTGGGGACAATCCTTCTTGCCCAGAGACTTTCCCACCAATATAATGGGAGTCCTTCAAGGGACTCAATAGAATCCACACCCATTTCTGTACCTCGTAAGAGGCATGCCATCTACAGAACCAAATGTGAACCCTGAAGCAGAGTGTCCTAGCGATAGCCCTATTGACCAAGGTACTAGAGGCAGTCTTCTCTACCAAGAGACCAGACAGGATTTATACTCAACTCGACTTCTGGTAACAAGCTTGCCAACTAAAAATTCTGCTGTAGACTCAGGAGTAGCCACATGACATGGCTCTAACCCTGCTCAACTGCAGTCCTGGAGGTAATTCTTATTAGCCTAGAGAAATGACAGGAGAATGTCTTTACCTACCGAAACCAGTCTATGCAGACCAGAAGAGCTGTTTGCAACTTCAAATGTGCACACATCAATGCATAGCTACTTGAGTCACAAAAAATCAGGCAAATGTGACACCAAAGTAATAAATAAATACCACCAAAGTAATAAAGCTTCATTAAGCAACCCCAAGGAAATGGAAATCTATGAATTGCCTAAGAATTTTAAAATCATATTAAATAGGATCAAAGAGCTTCAAAATAGCAGAGATCTAAAACTAATAAAAAAATGCATAAACAAAATGAGAAATATAATAAAGACATTGACATCATAAAAGGAAAGAATTCTTGTGCTGAGAAGATTTGTAGTCAAATTTGGAACACTCTAGTACTGTAATGGAGGTGTGTAAATCTCGTTAACTTTAGTGTAAAGCTTGTAAAATATTCTGAATACAATTATGGAAGTGAGAAGGTCAACAGAGTACTTTAATAACATATTTCATCATACAGCAAAAGGAAGCAATGAACTTGAGTTTAGATCATACAGTTAGAGGAACAAAAAAAATAAAATGCAGAAGCATCTGGGAACTATAAGACAACATCAAGCAAATATATATGTGTATTATGACATTCACAGAAGGAGAAGAGAGAAAAACAGAAAGCTAAAATGACAACATTTCCTAAATTTGTGAGGGATAGGGACATGCAGATTCATAAAGTTCAAAGGAACCCAAGCAAGAACAAACCAAAACATTATACCTGAGACATATTATGATCAGTTTGTCAAAAGTCAAAGACAATTCTATAATTTGGAAAAATATGGATGAGCCCAGAGGACAATATTTTAAATAAAATAAGCCTGGTATAGGACAAATATTGCACAATTTCATTTATATGTGAAGTGTCCAATAGTCAAACACATAGAAACAAAGAATAAAATGGTGGTTACCAGAGTTTGGAGTGAGGAAGGAAAAGAGAAGATGTGGGTCAAAGGATACAAAATTTTATTTAAGCAGGAGAAATAAGTTCAGGAGGTTTATGGTACATCATGCTGACTACAGTTTCAACAATTATGTACTTGAAAATTGCTAAGAAAGTAGGTATAAGAGTACTCAGCACATGAAATGATTACTTGAACCCAGGAGGCGGAGGTTGCAGTGAGCCGAGGTCATGCCACTGCACTCCAGCCTGGGCAACAGAGTAAGACTTTGTCTTAAAAAAAAAAAAAAAAAAAAAAAAAAAAAAACTCCCAAGAAAAGCCTAGGACTAGAAGACTTCATGATGAATTCATCCAAGCACTTAAAGAACTAACACATATCCTCCTCTGATTTTTTCAAAACATTGAAGGGCAAAAACACTTCCAAATTCATTTACTGAAGCCAACATTACCTTTAAACCAAAGCCAGATAAGAACACTAACTCCCAAAATATTATAGGTCAATATTCCTGACAAACAGCTTTCATAATTTTTGGTAAAAATTAACAAAATACTAACAAACCAAAGCAGTGCATTAAAAGGATACTTCACCATAATCAAGTGGGATTATTCCTAGGATGTATAAACCAAAAGTATGTCAGACAGGTCTCAATCAGATTGAAAGTTTATTTCACCAAGGTAAAGGACATGCTTGGAAAAAAGAACACAATTACAGAAACAGTCTGTGGTCTGTGCTTTTCTTTAAAGATAATTTTGAGGACTTTAATATTTAAAGGGGAAAGCAGGCTAGAGGGGAAAGAGGGAGAGTATGATAATCCACAGGTTGCAAGAAGAAAAGAAGCAAAGAAGCAGGTAGGTGAATAGTCATTTATGTATTCCTTTCACACTCAGTAGAAGGATCATCGCTTTACGTCAGGTAAGGAGAATGTGGAGTTACTGCCTGTTACTCTAACATTTTATCAGTAGTTAACTGATTAGGAACAAAAAACAAAAACCAAAGGAAATGCAGTTTCTTGCATAACTCAGCTTTCAGCTTAGTATCTTTTTTCCTTTTGGCATAGTAAATTGGGGTCCCAAGTTTTTTTCCCACAGATGCAAAGATGGTTCAACATACACCAATCAATAAATATGATATGCCACATTAACAGAATAAATGACAAAAACAATTGTGCATCTCAATAGACATAGAAAAAGCATTGGATAAAATTCAACATCTTTTCATGATAAAAACTCAGCAGATTTGTTATAGAAGGAATGTGCCTTTACATAATAAATCTCACAGCTAAATCATACTCGATGGAGAGAAACAGATTTTCCGCTAAGATCAGGAAGAAGACAAGAGTGCTCACTCTCACTGCTTCTATTCAACATAATACCGGAAACTAGCCAGAGCAATTAGGCAATAAAAAGAAAGAAAAGGCTTTCAAATCAGAGGAAGTTAAATTATCTTGCCATCTGTTTGCAGATGACATGATTTTACATATAAAAAACTCTAAAGACTCCACCAAAATCCCATCAGAGTTAAAGAATTCAAGAAACTTGCAGGATACAAAATAAACATATATAAATGAGTTGTATTTCTATACACCAAAAAGGAACCATCCAAATATGTAATTAAGAAAAGAATACCATTCCCAATACCATCCAATAGAATAAAATACATAGGAATAAATACAGCTGAGGGAGTGAAAGATCTGTTCACTAAAGAGGAGATAAATAAGTGGGAGGATATCTCATGTTAATGGGTTAGAATAACTAATATTCTTTAAATGTCCATATTACTCCAGAAAATGTCTGATTCAGTATAACCCCAACTAAAATTCCACAGGCATTTTTTACATAAATAGAATAAAACAACTCTAGAAATTTTGTGAATGCACAAAAATATCAAATAGCCAAAGCAATATTGATAAAAAGAACAAAGCTGGAGGCTTGACTCCGATTTCAAACTATATTACAAATTATAGAAATAAAGCCATGCTTATATGGTCAATTAGTCTTTGATGAGGGTGCCAAAAATGCAGCATGAAGAAAGGATAGTCTGTTCAATAAATGGCATTGGGAAAACCAGATACATACATGCAGAGGAACGAAATTGGACTCTTATCCTACACTATTCCCCCAAAACCAAATCTAAATGGATCGAAGACTTAAATGGAAGACCTGGACTTGTAAAAGTCCTAGATGATGACATAGGGAAACAGCTCTTTGACATTGATCTTGGCCGTGATATTTTTGATATGACACAAAAATTAAGGCAACAAAAGCAAAATAAGCAAGTAGGACTGCATCAACATGCAAAAACTTTTGCACAGAAAAGGAAACAATAAAATGAAAAGGTAATCTCTGCAATGGGAGAACATATCTGCAAACCATATTTTGGATAAGGAGTTAGCATCCAAAATATAAAAGAAACTGACAAAATCATTAGCAAATATCAAATTACCCAACTTAAAAATGGTAAAGACAGTGTGAATAGGCATTTTTCCAAAGAGGCAATACAAATAGCCAACAGGTGAATGAAAAGATGTTCAACATCACTAATCATCAGGGCCACACAAATCAAAACCACAATGAGATATCAGCTCACACCTGCTAGGATGGCTATTACCAGGCAATACATAGCAAGTGCTGTCAAGTGTGTGTAGGAAATGGAACACTTGTACATGTGCATTGCTGGTAGAAACGTAAGTTGCAACAGCCTGTGTTGAAAGCTGTATGACAGTTCTATAAAGATTAAAAATAGAGCTACTCTATAATTCAGCAATCCCACTCTGTACACCTTCCTGAGGTAAATAATTATATAAATAATATAATGACAACATAAGAACATTGTTAAATTAGTCATCTGTGGTGTCCATTTGAGCAGTTTTGCCCATTTATTTAATTACAGCAATTTCTGAAACCAAATTTTACCTACCTCTAACAACCCCCTCTTACAAGTGATATTTCTGCACCACTTGGTGGAATTTACTTCCAAATTCAGATCTCTGTACACAAACTCAGACAAACTCCTTTCATGCACTGCAGGAATAATTTTCAGTGAGAAGCAAAAGTGTTCGGTCGATGTGTCATGTAAAGCAAGTACTTGTCATTTCTCTCGAAGATGCGATAGGCATGGGAACACCTGGCTTCCATTCATTGTCGGTAAATCAGGCAAGGTCAGGGCTGTGCCAAGGGGAAGTAAATTAACAGCTTCACGATACAGCTCGAGATTCAGCTTCTTGCATATTAATTAGAACAAATGTATTTCTTTCCTAATTTCTCACGTTCCAGAAATACTACACCCATGAATTATTTTGTTAATGAAAATGATAGTGATCTGATGCTCATAGATTTACAGAAGTTACGTTTGTAGCATGATATACATCTGGCAAACTAAAGGTTAGTGACAAGTTTATAACCATTTTGCTGGTTTTCCCAGTTTCAGAAGAAACATGCCGAGGGGGTTAAGCTTTCCTAAGTCTCCATTATCGCACGCGACTGTTATGATATTTATTGTAAACATAGTAGACCATTGTCTGGAATAGACTAAATCCTAAAGAAACTAAATCTGGAACTACTTTTATTTACATACTATGAAATAGATGAACCTATTCTTTGAATTTTGAAATGGATTCATTTTTGGTTTAGGTGGTTCCAATGGCCAATGCTAAAACTACTGGTGTTTACACTACAAAGTTCACTTCAGCCTTTGGAGAAAATGCGTTTCTTTGTACTTACTGAGATACAATAGCAGAAACACTGACCCCAGTGGCTGCCAATGTGAACCGAGGTTTACAATGTATTGCAAAGGGAGGGAGCAGCCAATACTCCTCCTCTAGGGCTCTGCTAGGATTCTAAGTCTTTACAATGAGTCTCTTCGAGGGGTAAAGTGTTTAAGACCAAGTCTCATACTAAAATGCTCAATGAACCTGGGATGGGAGATAAGATAAAAGGCACTCTATAAGGTCTTTCATAGGTCAGCTACTGCAGTGCAGTTAAAAACACTCTAAAGATATTAAATCTAATGAGATAAATGGGAGCAATAAGCAGTATGGAGGGAAAACGCCACGTATAAGAAAGAAGGAAAATATGAGTGGGCTTTGTGCTGGGGACCCGGAGACCTGAGGGCAAAAGAGAGGAGAGATAGGGAGTAACGGAATTATAGAAAGAGGAGGGGACAATGCTTGCCCTTTACTACTTTTCTTGGTTCATTCTTGACTGCATCATGCTCCTCAGAGCCCTGGTGACATCTTTGTTGCGGAGACTGTAAATGAGGGGGTTCAGCACAGGAGTGAAGATGGTGTAAAAGGCAGACACCATCATGTCCTGCTCAGCTGTGTGGTAGGAACTCGGGAGCATGTAGGTGTAGAAGGAAGCACCGAAGAGCAGCAGCACTATGATCATGTGGGAGGAGCAGGTGGCCAAGGCCTTCCTGCGGCCGGCGGCAGAATTCATCCTGTGGATGAGATGCAGGATGAGGGTGTATGAGCTGGAGATGACCATGATGGGGGTGAGAAGCATGAGGATGCAGCACAGGTACGTGAGCATCTTATAGAGGGAGACGTCAGAGCAGGAGAGCTTCAGCAGGGCAGGAGTCTCACAGAAAAAACTCAGGATTTTCCTAGACTGGCAAAAGGGGAAGCTCATGGTAATGGGGGTGAGCAACAAACCATCAACCATTCCCAAAACCCAGCAGGCTGACACCAGGAGCTGGCACACCCTCTGGTTCATCAGCAGTGGGTAATGGAGAGGTCTGCAAACAGCAGCATATCGGTCATAGGCCATGGCAGCCAGGAGGAAAACCTCAGCTCCAGCCAGGGTCAGGTGGAAGAACATCTGGATCCCACAGCCTGACGGGGAAATGGTATCATCTCCAGTGACCTGGCCCACAAGCATCTTGGGCACAGTCACGCATAGGTACATGAGATCCATGAGCGCGAGCTGGCTGATGAAGAAGTACATGGGGGTGTGGAGGCGGGGCTCTGAGTGGATGAGGAGGATGAGGAGGGCATTCCCAGTGAGGGCCATCAAGAAAAGAAGGAAGGTCACGGTGTAGAGGAGGGCAGCATGCTTGCTCTCAGCAAAGAGTCCCGTGAGGGTGAAATCAGTGCTTGCTGTTTGATTCTGAGAAGTCTGATTCCCTGAGCACATGACTGGCTCACAGTTTCCCCCTGAGGAAAAAAAAGTCATTAATTTTAAATCTTTCCTATGTACATGGCTTTCCTAACCTTTTTCTGGTAAGACATGTGCTTTGAATTATTTTTCTAAATATTGAGTTAAACTGACATAAAATCATAAGTTCAAATCTTAGGTCAAGTCGCATGTTGGCCACAAGCTAAAGTGAACTACGAAACAGATCTGGGGAGGTGACTATTCCTGAGCTAAGTCAAGAGTGAAGACAGGTACACTCTATGTCTTATTTCCCCCCAGAATTAAGAACACAAGTATACTGGCCTTGTGGGATGGTTAGAGACTGAAGTAGGGAATGCACGTTAGGTCTGTAACACAGTGTTAGTGTTGGGTTGAGATTTTCACTACTTTTTGGATACAGTAGCTCATCCAGGACTCAGTGATGGAAATCATGGCTGATAAGGTTAATATTAATATTGTTAATGGTACAAATATCATAACTAATACCATGAAATAATCTGAAAACTGGAAATCTCCTTAAATTTCTTCTACCATTATATATCTCCATTTAAGTCCACTTTCCTCATGAAAACTTTTCAATTTATTCTGCTATTCCTCACAAGGTTGCATTCCATAAGTAGTGCTGACTGGGGCAGAGGAGCAGAGGGAGAGTCCCGCCTGCCTGAGGAGAGTAGCTTGGAGTGCAGAACGAGTGCCGAGCAGGAGAGCAGCAGTAGGCACAGTGAGCCCTCTTCCCAGTCCCCAGTGAAATCTAAGGCATTTAATTTATTAACTGTCAGGCAGAGAAATATTTTTACAAGAAATCACAGCAATAAATGCTGCAGATGCCCTAAATATCAAGTATTTATTTGAAATATAAACAAAATATTTATTTTCAAAATGCCATATTTATCCCCCAAAATCATGCCTAAAATGTCCAAAATTCCGTGCATGGTGATTGAAAAATGAAGTTAAAGCACATGAGGCAGTTGTGTTGAATCTTTCATAAAACCGCAGCCCTGCAACCAAGCCTAGGGATCCTCTTGTCCTGCATCTCCTTTGCATAACAAACTAATCACCACCCCCTCCCATAAATTCATAGCTTTGCTCAGTGACTGCTTTGTCTGAATATTTCAGTTTTAATTTTCCAGTTGAATTGTTTCAATCATGCTTGATACAATTGTCTCAAAGTTAAAAAGCCCACTAACTTCTAGACTAATGAAGAGTCAGGAGCTCCATGACTGAGGTTTGGTCATCCTCAGGGTTGCTGTACTGCAGGTTAGAGAAATAATGCTGAGGAAAAAACTAACAGTGACTGAGGCACGTGGAAATGCAAAGTGAAATACAACGCACTGTTCCTAGGGCAAAAAAAAAAAAAAAAAAAAAAAACAACAACAAAAACAAAACCATACACACAAAACAAGAGACCAAAAAAAAAAAACAAAACCTGGGACTTCAGGAAACCTAAAGTCAGAATTACAAAGAGCTAGCAACAAGAGTCAGGTATCTTTGTTCCTTACTTATCCCCTTTATAAAGCACTGAAGAAACGGGTTATCAAGACACCTTTCCACAAAGAGACGAACATTGCACATAGAGCACAAACCATTTGCTCCACCTCTTCTGCTCCATCAGAGAATAAATCTAAGCCACGCCAGCTCAGTGAAGCTGCTTTCACCATTCTAAGGCCAAAGCAAAGGGGTTTAAATTCAGAATGAAAATGAGAAAATTACATCATCAGTTTCTTCACATTAGGGAATTGAGATGAGTGTTTATTGCTTAATTCTTTGCACCGTTTTCCCTTTTTTTTTTCTGCTTATTCATCTTCCCTGTACTTGGCATTGTCTCTTCCCTGGAGCTTCTACTTTCTTTAAGACCATCTCAGAATCCATTATTTTGGTATTTTTGTTTTGTTTTGCTATTTGTTTTTGATAGTTATATTCTAACTTTCCAGTTACAGTCCACGTGGTAATTAAACATGTTTTTCATTTATGCGATGCGTCTATCCAAAAGCAAATCCATCTTTTTCATGACATTGCACATTTTTAAACAACTTCATTTTTCTAGTTTAAAATTATATTTTCGTATCGGACATTTAAAGTAAGCTCTTTGTAAAAGCAAATCTGAATTTCACAAAGGGAGGATCATGGAAAACCAGTGTCAGAAATCTGTAAACTAAATATAAAATCCTAAGACCCCTAATCAACTGAACAGACCCCCTTCTAGGACAAGAGAATCTCAGGAAAGCTGAAAAGCTTAATTGCAGGACATAACAAGAAGGGAGACACACTTCATTATACCCCTGTCTGTTGGAATTTAGGCACAACTGACCAGCAATAACATTGAAATAGAGTTCCTAAGACTGACAAAACAGACTCTGAGTGGCAATAAGATACCAAATTCCAACCTGACTCTAGTATAGCATCACATGACAGATAGCAGACCCTGAGGAAAATCAAAATATTCCACCCCAAAGTATGTCTTTGACATATTTTGAAATGGCCCTACAAAGCCATCTTTCGTGGGGAAAAGTTGCATCTATAGAGACTTTCCATTAACACAGCAGGGGCTTTCCCAGATTCAGGAGAAAATATCGGAGTCTGACAACATTTAAGGTTCTAAAAGAAACATTTACCATTTATTATATTTGCTTCCAATTAATTGTGTAATCTTAGTCAAGACCCTAAAAGCTCTGAGTGTCACTTCCTCAATCAAATAAAAGGAGGAGTGTTATGTACTTGCTATGCTTCTGTGACTCTTAAGACATCTATGAATCTGATGACCGAATGTGGTCTAAGATTTCTCCATGACAGGGTGACCTTCTCCCACATCGCCCCTCTCCTTAAAGGCTCAGAGACTTCCCTTGAAATATTAGTCTCATCGAATTTAGATTATATAATTTGGGAATGAAAAAGAATGGAAAAAGGGAGCCACTTTTCTCAGTGCCTGCAAGGTTCCGAGACTTTGCTGAGTCTTTCTAGCATGACAAACGTACAAATACTGAGTAGTGTATTCATCCCTGTGTACAGTCATCCCTCACTATCTGTCCTCAGTACCAGGACATCGTGAAAATACCAAAATCCATGATGCTAAAGACCCTAATATGAAATGGCAGAGTATTTCTATATAACCTACACCAATCTTCTCGTATGCTTGAAATCATGTCTAGATTACTTATAACAACTAATGCAATATGAATGCTATGTAAATAGCCGTTATACTATTTTTTTTTTACGAAATAATGACAAGGAAAAAAAGTCTGGAGGATGGAACAAGATGACAGAATAGAAGTTTCCACTGATCATCCCCCTGCAAGAACACCAATTTAAAAACTACCTACACAAAAAACACCTTTACAAGAACCAAAAATCGGGTGAGCACTCACAGTACATGGAGTTAAATTCATATTTCTGAATGAGGCATTGAAGAAGTTAGAAAAACAGTATTGCATCACTGACACTACCACTCCTTCATCCCCCAGCAGTGGAGGTGTGGTATGGAGAGCTTCTCTGTGCACTGGGGAGAGGGAGAGCCAGCAATTCTAAGACACTGAACTCAGCAATGCCCTTGTTATAGCAGAAAGAAGACCCAGACCAAATTCAGCTGACACCCACCATGAAGGGTGCATTTAAATCAGCCATTGCTGGAAGGGAATTGCGAATCCCAGTGTTTGGAACTTGAGTTACCCAAGCCTCACCATGAAGGGCTAAAGTGGCTCTGGAGCCACAGACAAACCTGAAGGGCAGTCTAGGCCACAAGAGCTGCAAATCCTAATGCTAATCTGGGCCCAGAGCCAGTGGACTCAGGGGACACATGACCTGTTAAAACACCAGCCAGGGCAGCTAAACTCATCCCCTAACCTCAGCCTCCACGGCTTGTGGCTCCAAAAGAGGCCTCTTTCCTCTGCTTTAGGAGAGGAGAGGGAAGAGTGAGGAGGACTTTGTCTTGCATCTTGGATACCAGCTCAGCCACATCAGGGTTGGATACCAGCCAGAGTCATGAGGGCCTTGGGTGAGACTCTGAGACATGCTGGCTTCAGGTGAGACTCAGCATATTACCAGCTATGGTGGCTATGGGGCAAGACTCCTTCTGCTTGAGGAAAGTGGACAGAAAATTAAAGGAGATTTTGTCTTGCACTTTAGTGCAACTATTGTTACCATTGTTATTCAACATATTACTGGAAGTTCTAGCTAGAGCAATCAGACAAGAGAAACAAACATATATATATATATATATATATATATATATATATATATATACACACACACACACACACACACACACACACACACACACACACACATGCATACGGCATCAAACGTCAAAGAAAAGTAAAATTATCTTTGTTCACAGATGATAGGACCTTATGCTTGGAAAAACCTAAAGTCTCCCCAAAAACCTATTAGAACTAATAAACAAATTCAGGAAAGTTGCAGGATACAAAATCAACATACAAAAGGCAGATTTCTATAAGTCAATAGCAAATAGATTAAAACAAATTTAAAAAGTAATGACATTTATGATAGCCACAAATAAAATTAAAGAGGAATTAACCAAAGAAGTGAAAGAGTTCTATAATGATAACTATAAAACAGTAATAATTGAAGAGGACACTAAAAAATGAAAAGATATTCCAGGTTCATGAACCAAAAGAATCAATATTGTTAAAATATCCATAGTACTCAAAGCAATCTATAGATTCAATGTTATCCTTATCAAAATACCAATGACATTTCTTACAGATATAGAAGACACTATCCTATCATTTGTATGAAGGCACAAAACACCCAGAGGAGCCAAAATTATTCTAAGCAAAACCGCCAACCAACCAACCCACCAAAACTGGAGGAATCCCATTGCCTGACTTCAAATTATACTACAGAGCTACCATAACCAAAACAGCATGGTGCTGGCATAAATGCAGATACATAGACCAATGAAACAGAATAGAGAACTCAGAAACAAATCCACACACCTACAGTGAACTCATTTTCTACAAAGGTGCAAGGAACATACACCAGGGAAAAGATCATCTCTTCAATAAGCAGCACTGGGAAAAGTGGATATCTATATGAAGAAAAATGAAACTAGTCCCGTCTCTCGCCATATACAAAGATATAGTCAAAATGGACTAAAGACTTTAAGACCTCAAACTATGAAACTACCAGAAGAAAACATTGGAGAAAATCTCCAGGATATTTGTCTGGGCAAATATTTCTTGAGTAATACTCCATAACACAGACAACCAAAGCAAACATGGACAAATGAGAGCACATTTTGTTAAAAAGCTTCTGCACAGTGAAGGAAATAAATCAACAAAGAGACATCCCACAAAATGGAAGAAAATGTTTTCAAACTACCCACCTGACAAGGAATTAATAACCGCAATACATAGGGAGCTCAAACAAATCTATAGGAAAAAATATAATAATCTGATTTATATACTGATAAAAGATTGAATACACATTTCTCAAAAGACAACATACAAATCAAAAACAGGCACATAAAAAGTGCTCAACATTGATCAGAGAAATGCAGATCAAAGCTACAATGAGATACCATCTCATCCCAATTAAAATGGCTCTTATACAAAAGACATGCAAAAATAAATGCTGGTGAGGACATGGAGAAAAGGGAACCCTCATAAACTCTGTGGGAATGTGAAGTTGCATTTAAAGTTGTATTTAAAGGTGCAACAGAGAACAGTTTGGAGGTTCCTCAAAAAACTAAGAATAGAGCTAACGTATTATCCAGCAATCCCACTGCTGGGTATATAGCCAAAAGAAAAGAAATCAATATACTGAAGAGACATCTACACTTCCATGTTTGTTGCAGCTCTGTTCACAATAGCTACAATTTGGAAGCAACCTATGTGTTCGTCAACAGATGAATGGGTAAAGAAAATGTGGTACTTATACATGATAGTGTACTATATAGCCACAAAACAATGAAATCCTGTCATTTGCAACAACATAGATGGAATTGGAGGTCATTATGCTAAGTCAAATAAGCCAGGCACAGAAAGACAAACATTGCATGTTCTCAGTTATTTGTGGCACCTTAAAATCAAAACAATTGGACTTATGGAGATATAAATTAGAAATATGCTTAGCAGATACTGGGAAGGGTACTGGGGGGGGTGAAGGGGTAGGTGGGGATGGTTAATGGATACAACAAAGTTGTTAGAATGAATAAGTACTAGCATAATAGACTGACATTGTCAATAACAATCGTACATTTAAAAATAACTAAAAGGATATAGTAATATTGTAACACAAAAGATAAATGCTTGAGAGGATACTCCATTTTTCATCATGCATTTATTATGCATTGCATTCCTGTATCAAAACATCTCATGTACCCCGTAAATGTATACACCTATGTCACAACAAAAATAAAATTTAGAAAAGTCTGTACCAATGTGACCATGATAAGCCTAATTATATTTTCAATCCATGATTGGTTAAGTCCATGATTGGTTGAATCTTCAGATGCAGAATCCAACTCATAAGCCCAACTGCAGAAGCAGATACTGACACCAGGAGACAGAATGAGCATATTCTGTCCTTGGCTGGTACCCACCCTATCTTCCAACATTGCTTCTTCCAATATCTCAGAGTATCCTTAAACCACACACTTTCATATTCCTTCATAACTTCTTGTATCCTGCTTCCTTGCTGTGAATTTACCAAATGCATTTCTGTATAAACTCTACCAGTCATAAACGCTTAGATAATATGACAATTTCTTTATGAAGGCGTGCTCTACTCAATCAGTGAGAACTCTCACACCTCAGACATAACAATCCTTCTTTTATACCCTTCACACAAGCCTCAACTCACTCTTGTATTTTAATTATTTCTAAGTTTCAATGAAAATTCCACATGAATATGTATAATTAGAAATTACTTTAATGAGCTGTATAGGTATGAAAGTTAAAAAACTAAATAAGTGTTTAAAAATCGCAGGTGGAGGGTTGATAATACGTAAAATTGCAAAATTCTAGATACATTTTAGGTACTGCTATGAAATCCTTAATGAGCTGTACACTTATTTTTTTTATGGATATACTTCAATAGTTGTACAAGCTTCATGTATAGCCACAAATATAAACATATTCAAGAACATAAAATGACAAAATGGTCAACAAATTTATCATCTTAGGTCCTTGAGGGACTTTTGATGAGTGGACCCTGAGTACCATCTGACAGATTTACAATGTGAACATCACATAAACAATGTTTTTGTGCAGCTTGAGATGTTACTATGGCATTACCTTGTGCATTCTGACTGATCCATAATTATATTTAAAATTTGCAACAGTGCTCCCTATTTTATGTTCATAACATATATCATCATCTGGCATGACCACATCATATGTTTTACCTATTCACTGTTTGGGTTTTTGTTATTGCACAAGGAGACCAAAATATATTCATTTTCTTCTCTGTTGCTTTCTAACATTAGCACTATGCCTGGCATATATCACTTTCGCACCAACATAATAGTAAAAATTGATTATTTGTTAAATAAATGAAGAAGGGAAAATGATGGTTAGAGAGATTAGTGCAACTCCTTTAGAGATGAATTTAGTAATATCTCATAACATTGAAGATGTTCTTTCTTCACTACCTAAGACTTCCAAGGAGATTATACGAGGATAGACACTCTGTTACACTATAAAGCATGAAAAAAGTGGTAAACCTAAATATTCATATAAAGAAAATGCACACATGACCAATATTAATACCAATTTATTGTGAACATTTCAATAAGTAAAGTTGAAGGAAAATATATGTGGCAGAATGATCAGTGTGTTACCATTTAACAAATACATCCTGCTAAAATATTACATTTGGACACATATCTGCAATAAAAACATTAAAAATTGATAGGGAAGATACACACCTACTGTTTAAAAAAATTGGTCTGAGGACACTAAGAGAGGGAATTCAGGAGAGCACAGATAAGACTTTGATGTACCTGTAAAATATATACCCCCATTTTTGAGTCAGGGTCTTGCTCTGTCACCCAGGCTGGAGTGCAGTGTCACAGTTGTGGCTCACTGCAGCTTCAATCTCCCAGGCTCAAGTGATCCTCTCACCTCAGCCTCCTGAGTAGCTAGGACTATAGACACGTGCCACTATGCCTCCCTAATTTTTTTAAATTTAATTTTTGGAGAGATGAGGTCTCACTATGTTACCCAGGCTGGTCTCAAATACTTAGGCTCAAGCAATCTTCCCACCTCAGCCTTCCAAAGTGTTGGGATTATAGGGCATAAGCCACTGCCCCTGGATGATGTACCTATGATATATATATATTTTTTTATTTCAATAGGTTTTTGGGGAACAGTTGGTGTTTGGTTACATTAAGTTCTTTAGTGGCAATTTGAGAATTTGGTGCACTCATCACCCAAGTAGTGTACACTGTACCCGATGTGTAGTCTTTTATCCCTCACCTGCTCCCACCCTTTCCCCCAAGTCCCCAAAGTCTATTGTATCATTATTATCCCTTTGTATCCTCATAGCTTAGCTCCCAGGTGTGAGTGAGAACAATGTTTGGTTTTTCATTCCTGAGTTGCTTCACTTGGAATAATGGTCTCTAATTACATCTAGTTTGCTGCAAATACCATTATTTCATTCCTTTTCATGGCTAAGTAATATTCATATATATATATATATGCATATATAGGAATATATGTATATATGTGTATATATGTATATATAAATATATGTATATGAATATATGTATGTGAATATATGAATATATATGAATATATGAATATATACGAATATGAGAATATATGAATATATATGATTTTCTTTATCCACTCATTGATTGATGATCATTTGGGCTGCTTCCATATTTTTGCAATTGTGAAGTGTGGTGCTGTAAACATGTGTAAGTATCTTTTGAATACAATGACTTATTTTCCTCTGGGTACACACCAAGTAGTGGGATTGCTGGATCAAATGGTAGATATACTTTTAGATCTTTAAGGAATCTCCAGACTTTTCCATAGTGGTTGTACAAGTTTACATTTGCACCAGCAGTGTAAAAGAGTTCCCTTTTCAGCACATCCACACCAATGTCTATTTTTAAAAAATTTTTTGATTATGGCCATTCTTGCAGGAGTGAGATGGTATTGCATTGCGGTTTTGAATTTCATTTCCCTGATAATTAGTGATGTTGAGCATTTTTTTCATGTTTGTTGGCCATTTGTATATTTTCTCTTGAGAATTGTCTATTTGTGTCCTTAGCCCACTTTTTAATGGCTTTGTTTTGTTCTTGCTGATTTGAGTTTCTTGTAGATTCTAGATATTAGTCCTTTGTTGGATGTAGAGACTGAAGATTTTCTCCCACTCCATGGGTTGTCTGTTTACTCTGATGATTATGTCTTTTGCTGTGCACAAGCTTTTTAGTTTAATTAAGTCCCATTTATTTTTGTTTTTATTGCATTTGCTTTTGGGTTCTTGGTCATGAAGTCTTTGCCTAAGCCAATGTCTACAAGTTAACATTTTCTGACGTTATTTTCCAGATTTTTAATAATTTCAGGTCTTAGGTTTAAGTCTTTGATCTATCCTGAGTTGTTTTTTCTATAAGGTTAGAGATGAGGTTCCAGTTTCATTCTTTACATGTGGCTTGCCAATTTTCTCAGCACCATTTGTTGAATAGGGTGTCCTTTCCCCACTTTTATGTTTTTGTTTGCTTTGTTGAAGATCAGTTGGCTGTAGTATTTGGTTTTATTTCTGGGTTCTCTATACTGTTCCATTGGTCTATATACTGATTTTTATGCCAGTACCAAGCTATTTTGGTGACTATGGCCTTATAGTATAGTTTGAAGTCGAGTAATGTGATGCCTCTGGTTTCGTTCTCTTTTCCTAGTCTTGCTTTGGCTATGTGGGCTTTTTGGTTCCATATGAATTTTAGGATTGTTTAGGATTGTTTTTCTGTGAAGAATGATGGTGGTGTTTTGATGGGAAGTGCATTGAATTTGTCCATTGCTTTGGCAATATGGTCATTTTCAATTATTGATTCTACTCACCCATAAGCATGGGATGTGTTTCAATTTATTTGTGTCATCTATGATCTCTTTCAGCAGTGATTTGTAGTTTTCCTCATAGAGGTCTTTTACCTCCTTGGTTAGGTATTCCTAAGTATTTTATTTTGCAGCTATTGTAAATTGGGTTGAGCTCTTGATTTGCATCTCAGCTTGGTGGCTATTGCTGTATTAACAGAGCTACTGAGTCGTGTACATTAATTTTGTATTCTGAAACTTTGCTGACTTCATTTACCAGTTCCAGGAGCTTTTTGGATGAGTCTTTAGGGTTTTCTTGGTATACGATCATATTATCAGCAAACCGACAGCATAACTTCCTCTTTACTGATTTAGATGCCCTTTACTTCTTTCTCTTGTCTGATTGCTCTGGCTAGGACTTCCAGAACTATATTGAATATAAGTGGCAAAAATGGGCATCCTTGCCTTGTTCCAGTTCTCAGAGGGAATGCCTTCAACTTTTCCCCATTCAGAATAATGTTTGCTGTGGATTTGTCATAGGTGACTTTTATTACCTTACAGTGTGTCCCTTGTATGCTGATTTTGCTGAGGGTTTTAATCATAAAGGGATGGATTTTGTCAAATGCTTTTTCTGCAACTATTGAGATACACAGAATTAAAAACAAAAGTCACATGGTTATGCGATGTATCACGAGTTGACTCATATATGTTAAATCAACCCTGCATCCCTGTTACGAAACCCACTTGATCATGATGATTTATCTTTTTGATATGTTGTTGGATTCTGTTAGACAGTATTTTGTTGAGAATTTTTGCATGTATGTTCATCAGGGATATTGGTCTATAGTTTTGTTATGTCCTTTCCTGGGTTTGGTATTAGGGTGATACTGGCTTCATAGAATGATGTAGGAAGTTTTCCCTCTATCTTGTGGAATAGTGTCAGTAGGATTGATGCCAATTAATTCAGCTGTGAATCCATCTGGTCCCAGACTTTTTTTGCTGGCATTTTTTAATTACCATTCCAATCTTGCTGCTTGTTACTGGTCTCTTCAGAGTTTCTATTTCTTCTTTGTTTAATCTAGGAGCATTGTATATTTCCAGAAATTAATTCATCTCCTGTAGGTTTTCTACTTTACACGCATAAAGCTGTTCATAGTAGCCACGAATAAGCTTTTGTATTTCTGTGATATTGGTTGTCATATCACCTGTTTCATTTCTAATTGAGCTTATTTGGCTATTCTCTTGATTAATCTTGCTAACAGTATCAATTTTACTTATTTTTTCAAAGAACCTACGTTGTTTCATATAGCTTTTGTATTTTTTATTTCAATTTCATTTAGTTCTGCTCTGATGTTTGTTATTTCTTTTCTTCTGCTGGGTTTGGGTTTGGTTTGTTCTTGTTTCTCTAGTTCCTTGAGGTGTGACCTTAGATTGCCTATTTGTGCTCTTTCAGACTTTTTGATGTGGGCATTAATAGTATGAACCCCATGTGATTCAGGAATTCCATTACTAAGGATGTATCCAATTTAATTGGGCATGTCAAAGAGATATCTGCACTCCCATGTTCATTGCAACATTATTCACAATAGTCAAGATATGGAATCAACCTAAGTATCCATCAATGGATGAATAGATATAGAAAACAAGACATATATCCACAGTGAAATGTAATTCAGCCTTTAAATAGAAGAAAATCTTGTTCATGTGTCAATGTTCTATATTGTGTTGTATATATCAAAACATTATAATTGTATATATAATACATATGTGTATATAATGTATATTATATATAATACATAATTACAATTATATGTGTAATATATATGTGTTGTATATATCAAAATTGCTAAGTGGGTACATTTTAAATGTCTCACCATGAAAATTGGTGATAATATGTTCATTAGGTTAATTTCATCATTACAAATAATATTCGTATATTAAAATATCACATTCTACCCCATAAAAATCTATATTTTAATATTTCAATTAAAAATATTTTTAAAAATAATGCAATAAGAACATGAAAGTAGAAAAATGATTATAGACCTTTGGTGTGGAACTGAAATCAGAAACACAAATATTAACCTATGATTTCTACATACATTTATAAATAATTGATGGTGTCTACTTCATTCTTTACTCGTTTTCTTTCCACATTTTGTAGATATAATTTGAGATTTTTTTATTCTATCTTCTTGAAATAGGAGATTAGTCAATATTTAACCTTTCTTCTTAATGATCTACAGGGATAAATTTTTCTGTAACCACTGCGTTAGCTGCATCCTACACGTTTTATGTCATGTTTATATTATTGTTCTGTCAAAGGCCCACCTGTGTTTGATTTTGGTGAGAATCCCACGTGAACTAGAAAAGAACTTGACTTTTCTTATTGTTGTGAGCATTGTTCCATATGTACAAAGTTTTGTTACCATTAAGTATGTTGTATAAATCTTCTATAACTTTAGTAATTTGGAGGTTTATGTGCTCTATCACATATTGGCATGTTAACATATATACTATTAAATTGAGCAATGACTGGGCAAAAGGAAAAATCAAAAGAGAATTAAAATCTCAAGACAGACAAAAAATACACTATACTAAAACTTATGAGATGCACCAAACCCAGTACTAAGAGAAAAGTTGATTGCAATGAATAGCTACATGAAAAAAAGAATTCAAATTAACCAACTAACTTTATATATCAAGAAACTAGAAATAGAGAGCCTAAGTCCAAAGTTATAATACAGAAGAAAACATTAAAGTAGAAATGAGACTAGAAAAACTAAAGAAAAATCAGCAAATCTAAATTGTTTTTTAAAAATTTAAAGGTGATAAACCTTAGCTAGACTAAGAAAAAGAGTATCCTCAACTAAAATGAGAAATAGGAGGAGTCATTAGAACAAATGCCTCAAAATGAAAAGGATCATAAAAGACTATTATGAAAACTATGCACTTATAAATTAGATAATCTATAAGAAATCAAACTTGATTTATGCAACCTACCAAAACTAAATCAAGAGGAAATAGGAAGCCTGAACAGAGGAAGAAGAAGATCAAATTAGTAAACAAAAACTTCCCAAAGAAAAGACCGAACCAAATGGCTTCGTGGATGAATTCTAAACATTCAAAGAACTAATAGCAATCCTTCTTAAACTCTTTCAAAAACCAGGAGAATGCCCCAAACTCATTTTATGAGGCCATCAAACACTTATATCAAAGCCAGACAAAGATAATCAAAAGAAAATAAAACTACAGGTCAATATCACTGATAAACATAGGTGTAAAAATCTTCAACAAAATACTAACAAACCAAATTCAACAGCCCATTAAAAAGAGAATAAACCATAGCCAACTGAAATGTATCTCTGGGATGCAAGAATGCTTCAACATAGGCAAATCACTCAGTGTGATATAACACATTAAGAGAATAAAAAAAAATTGCAGCAAAAGCATTTGACAGTTCATGTCAAAACTCTGAAAAACAGGTATAGAAGGAACTTATTTCAACACAACATATCATATATGAAAAGCCCACAGTTAACATAATAAAAAATGAAAATGTTTCTCCTATGGTCTGGTACAAAGCAAGGATGTTCATTGTCACCACTTTTATTTAACATGGTACTGAAAGTCCTATCCAAAGCAATTAGACAAAAAAGCATCAAAATTAGAAAAATATTAAAATAATCTCTGTGCAGGTGACATGGCCATATATATAAAAACCCTAAGACTACACCAAAAAACTATTCGAATAAACAAATTCAGTAAAGTTGCAGAACATAAAATAGCACACAAAAATCAGTGACATTTCTGCACACAAACGATGAGCTATTTGAAGGAAAATAAGAAAGCAATCCCATTTAAAATAGCAAAAAATAATATATTTAGGAATACTTATCCAATAGGGCAGAAGACTCCTACACTAAAAATCATAATACCTTAGTCAAAGATATTGAAGGAGACACAAATAAATGGAAAGACACTGTATTCATTCATTTGAATAATTAACAAATCTTCAAATTTGTAGATTTGAATAATTAACATTGTTTAAAATGTCCTTATTAAGCAAAACAATCTATAAATTGCAATTTCTATAAAATATCACCGGTATTTCTTTACAGAAATAAAAAAACAATAAGTAACTACATCTAGAACCATAAAAGATCTCAAATAGCCAAATCAACCTTGAACAAAACTAGAGGCATCACATTGATTTCAAAATATATTACAAAGGTATGGGAATTATCACTGTAAAGAACTGTCATAAAAAAGAAAAATGGACATATAGACTAATGAAACACAATACGGAGAACAGAAAGCAACCCGAGCATATTTGGCCAACTGATCAACAAAGTGAGAAGGCAACCTACAGAATGGGAGAAAATATCTGCAAACCATATATCTGTAAAGAGGGTAATATCCAGAACTTATAAGGAGCTCAAACAACTCAATAGCAAAAACCAATTACCTTGATTAAAAATAAGCAAAGGGCCTGGGTAGGCATTTCTCAAAAGACGACATAAAAATGGCCACCAGGTAAATAAAAAGAGCTGAACATCACTAAGCATCAGGCAAATGCAAACTAAAACCACAACGAGGTATCACCTCCCACCGGTTAGAATAGCCATCATTACAGATCAAACAAAAGAGAGGGAAAGTGGAGAAAAAGAAACCTTTGAATATTGTTGGTGAGAATGAAAATTGGCACAGCAATTATAAGCAAACAGTACAGAGTTTCTTCAAAAAGTTAAAAATAGTACTATCATATGGTCTAGCAGTCATGCTTCTAGGTAATGGTTCACCCAAAGAAGTGAAAGCGGGATTTCAAAGAGGTATCAGCACACCAGTGTTTATTGCAGCATTATTCACAATAGCAAAAATAGAAAAATAACTGTAAATGAATGAAAATGTAATGAAAATATAAATACACATACTTGCACAATGAAATATTCTTTATTTTTTAGCCCAAAGTAAATCCTGCCATTTGGCACAACATGAATGAACCTGAACTATATTATGCTAAGTGAAAAATACACAGAAAGACAAATACCATATATTCTCACTTATCTAAAATAGTAGACTAGCTCATAGAAACAGTAGCATGTTGGTCCCCCGTGAGGAGTTTAGGGAAACGAATAAAGACTGGTCAAATGCTACAAAGTTCAGTCATGCAAAAGTGAATAATTTCTAGAGGGCTAATATACAGCATGGTGACTATAGTTAGCAATATTGTCTTGTATACTTGACATCTGTTAAGAGAATAAATCTTGTATACTTGACATTTGTTAAGAGGATATCTTAAGTGTTCTAACCACACCAAAAAAAAAATAACTGTGAGGTGATGGAAATGTTAACGAGCTTGATGGTGGTCATGATTTCATAATGTATGAAATATATGTACATAATGTATGAAATAATGTCGGAAGACACCGACACGCCGCGCCGCCGGAGCCCCAGTGCATGCTGGTTGCGCTGAAGGCGACCCCGCCCCAGAATGCACGGAGCCTCCGCCCAGGCCCCGGAAGGACAATGTGCCCGACAACTGGCGATGGCTGTAGGAAGCCATGGTGAGGCGGGGGATGGATGGAACCACCCTGGGCCCAGCAGCTGTGATTGGCAGGAGGAGCCACATCTTTCATTCTTACAGCCTCAGTCTCTCTGCATCCTTATACTTAAGGTGTCTGTAATCATAATATTGTATAATCTGATAATCTCAGTATTTTACTTGGAACATTTAGTATATTACATATTTTATTGATACATAATATTTCTACATACTTATGGGGCACATGTGATATTTTGATACATGCATGCAATGTGTAATAATTACTGATATAATTGGGGTTCTATGTGAGCTATAACTTCTAACCATATTCTATTTGGCCCATCTGTTTCACGTCTCTTTTTCATTCTTTCGTTGCTTCTTTTAGAAATATAAAAATCTATCATTTTTTCATTTTATAAACTTGTTTTGGCGTTTACTATAAACATTACAGCATGTACTCTTGATTTACTAAAGTTTAACACAAATTACTACCTCTACTACATCAATATTGATATATCTTCAACATGATTTTTCATACATTTAAGTTTTGCACAAATCTAAACTGTATATTACATTAAAATTATTGCTAAGTCAATATTGATTATGACTCATTTACATATTACTCTTTGGGGTTGATGTTTGTCATTTTTGCTTATATTTCTGAGTTTACTTTTGAGATAATTTTTCTATGGCTGAAGAATTTTATCCACTTTTGTTTGTTGGAAAAATTTATTTTACTATCATTTTTTATAATTGGAGTTAGACTCAATCTACATCTAGTTCATCCCTATTACTGAGACATGGTCCTACTGGACTCTTGATTGACAGGCTGGTAGATGTCCCTATGCTCTGTCTTGAAAGCATTTCTCCCAATATCAATGTGGCTCATTAACTTGTAAACTCCACATCTTTGCTCAACTATAACCAGTGAGGATTAGCCTAAATCCCTACATAAAACGTGACCCCTACACACTCCAAGACCCCTCTCCTGCTCAAGATTTTCCAACACTTTTCTTCTGATAATACTCCATGTCTTCTTCTCAATTACCAAATTTATTTTCTGTATACACCCTTTAAGTGCTAAAAAAGATGAAGATTTTTATTTGTTTTGCTCACTGATGTATCCTCAGTTTGTAGAACGGGGCCTGGCAAACTATAGGGGCTCAGTAGTTATTTGTTGAATGAATGAATGACTTGGGGCCTAAAGGAAGATTATGTAGTCATGGAAAGTTATCTTCGTATCCTTGTACTTACAGATAAAAAAACATTCCGAAGAGAGGGAAAGCCACGTGAAAACATTGGGTATGGAAAGAACTATAGTGTTTCCAAGGTTGGAGTATGGCCCTCCCAGAGGGAGAGGCAATGCAGTGTGGAAAAGGCCACAGACTCCACAAGACGTGGCACATGCAGTGGTCAGGGGCAGGGACTCCGGCCTGCCTGCCTGGGCTTAAATCCCTGTTGAGCACTTTATAAGCTGCACACCCTTTTGTTCATGTTACTCAAACCCATGGGTTTCAGTTAAATCAACTGTAGAATAAGGCTAATAATAGGCTGTGAAAATAAAAGTGTTCCATACATGTCACGCACTAAAAATGGTGCCAGATCATAATAATCACACAAGACGTTATAATTATGTTATTTGTTAAATACAAATACAACCATGCACATACGTAAAACTGTGATTTGAAATTATATTCTAAGTATGTGTCACCATTGGCTTGAACAGGGAGAAGTGTGCGAAACTTCCATATTTCTCTGGTTAAGTCTATGAATAAACCAATTATACTCCAAACATGTTGTAGCCCATGTCTACTGGATAGCCCATGTCTCTGCTCTAATTTTGGGAGGTTTGACTTCTTATATGCTCACAGAAAATAAGAATTTGATTGAGAACACATTCTAGAAATTCTGATGGAAGAAAAATCTCAACTGTACATTTAGCATCTCTGAGGTCTTGAATGTGTTTATCTCCAAATGCCTATGGATGAATGAACCCCCTTGTCCCTGAGGATCCCCTGCTTGGGGCAAGTCAGGGGAAGCCTCAAAGGCTGTTTTGTCATTTGTGAAATGTGGGTGACCTTAGCCTCAGCCACAGAGGGTGAAGGTCGAATGAGGTGGTGAACGAAAAGCGTTTAGCACAGAGTGGATGCTGAGGAACACTCTGAATATGGTGTTATTTCATACTCATCAATGGGCCCATGATAGCAAAACAAATTTTCTCTGTGGTGGAAGGTGCTCAAGGGTCATAAACACATTTATTTTCATATTTCTCCACTGTAATCTAAAAAAAGGACCATTGGCCCCGAAGGACTGGACTAGAGATCAATGCTACGAGGGAAGGGGGGGATAAGTGAACATCATCTCAAGTGTGATTATAGGAGGGAAGAACACTGGGCTGAATCCCCCTGAAGGACAACTCAGGGAGTCAGACACTACCACAATATGCTGATTGTTTGGTGGAAGGACACCTAAAGTGAAGAGAGACTCTAAGAAGAGAGGACCAACTTAAGTTCTTTCACACTTTAATATGGAGGTTTCTGCACGCTCAGCATTTTTTTCAAAGCCCTTGTGACATCCTTATTCCTGAAACTGTAAATGATAGGATTCAAGACAGGTGTAAGGATAGTGTAGAAAAAGGATGACATCATATCTTTCTCAGGAGTTTGGTAGGAGCTGGGGAGCATGTAGTTGTAAATAGCAGCTCCATAGAAGAGGCTGACCACTGTAATGTGGGAGGAGCAGGTGGTGAAGGCCTTTTTCCGACCCTCAACTGAGTTCATCTTATGGATGGTGAGGATGATATAGTAGTAAGACACTGAAATGACCGTCACAGGTATCAGGAGCATGATGACACAGCACAAGTACATGAAAATCTTGTAAAGTGAGGTGTCTGAGCAAGAGAGCTTCAAAACAGCAGGGACCTCACAGAAGAAGTGCTGAATCTCATGGGATCTGCAGAAGGGGAAGCTCATGGCGATGGGAGTGAGCATGAAGCCATCCACTGAGCCCACAAACCAGCAGCCTGATGCCAGGAGGAGACATACCCTATGGCTCATGAGCACAGAGTAACGGAGAGGATGGCAGATAGCCACATAGCGGTCATAGGCCATGGCGGCTAGAAGGCAGCACTCTGCACCTCCCAACTGCAGGTAGAAGTACATCTGGGTGCCACACCCAAGGACCGAGATGGTCTTGTCTTTGGCCAGCTGGTTCACCAGCATTTTGGGGACAGTGACAGAAATATATGTCAAGTCTATGAGTGAGAGCTGGTTTATAAAGAAGTACATGGGAGTATGCAGAGAGGAGTCAATGTGGATCAGAAGTATCAATGTAATATTCCAAGACACAGCCATCAAAAATATACTGAAGATAAGCAAGCAGAGGCGGCCAGGGTGTGAGATCTGGCTGAAGATTCCCAACAGGAAAAAGTCACCACCCAGGGTCTGGTTGGCCAGCCGCATGCTGTATGATCGGCTGAAGTGGCTTTACCTGGAGGACAAAAGTAAACTTTATTTATAATCATGTGTGTACCACGTAAAAGTATGTTTGCTTCACTTTACCTTTTAAAAATCAATGTGAAAATCAGAGTGTATTTCCAACATGAACTGTGAATTTGCACTAAAAAGAGACAGCACATTAGATTGTGAATCTGATTCCCCATCTAGAATGGGAATGAAATATTTATATTCTCAATGAAGAGGTCCATACAACTGAAATTAAATTATTTCCTATAGATTATATAGTCACTAATAGTTATTTTTACTTATATATGTTCACATTTTGTGTGTGTTAGTATCTTATAGTTGCATGTTCCTGTATTGCCCAAATCCCATTCCCATGGGATTTTACAGAGCTAATAACCAATATAGATATTTCTATATATTTGACCCTCAAGAGTCATGTCTGCAAAAAAGGATTAGTAATACTTGTGTTTCTTAAATCTCGTTACAAATCTACGAACATACAATTTTTCAATACTTAAAAGCAATATATTAAGCCACCAGTAATTGTAAACATTTTAAACATAAAATTCCAAACCCTTATATAACGTTACAAATTTAGTCAAATTTCTTTAAATGTATTAAAGACACTAGTACAACTTGTAAATTTCTCTAAAATGATTTACTTTTACACATATGTGATTTATAAAATGTATTTTTATACTTCCACTTAACCTATTACAAAGACATTAATCTTGTGAGTTATTTATTCATATTTTCATAATTTCCATCAAGATGTTCTAATCCGTTGTGTTTCTGCCAATCTTTCAAGATATCAAAAAAAAATTATGGCTATCTCAGATCAATGATGCTTTAGGAATCAGCATTATCATCCAATCAGTTTATTCTGAGGTGATTGGTCTGAACCTCACTTGGAATTTCTTGATGTGAACCTTCTTTATAAAATTAAAGTAAAATGTAATTGGATTTTACAAGCCCACATCTTTTCTTCCAATCTCCCCATTTTGCCTGTAGAATTTTGGTGAGAGAAAGTTTGCCTCAATTTATACTTATCTTATCGTGACATCCAACATATTTATTGTATGCAGGTAGGTCATCCTAAGGTTTCTTCTCCCAGTGGTTCAAGCATGGGGGTCTCTGAAGTTGCAATTTTTTTTAAAGACTACTCAAGTGCACTAGTGAGAAGGGAGGAAAATGTAGAACAAGGAATTCTATCTGTAACTGGCTGTGAACAATCAATTGAGATAACTATCTTCAGATCATCCAAGTTCCAATTTCTTCTCAGAGCATCTAGTCAATTAATCACCTTGTAATAGGCTGTAGGACTCTTCTTCTACCTGGCTATTTTGGGGGGTCAGTGGTGCTGGTCAGCCCTTTCCCGTTGATAGCACTATCTTTCTCTTGTTCAGAATTCTGTGATTTACATATGGATGCTCATTATTATTATTCTCTACTTAAAGAAAATGCATATCCTTTATAAAATGAATAGTTTTAGATATCATTAATGTTCAATATATTAATAACGTGTCAAATGTTTATTTAAATCAGACACATATTCATCCTTTTTATATTGCAGCTTTTCTTATGTAACCTTTTACATTGTAATGTACACTTTATATTTTTTATCATTAACTTAAAATTTATAAATAAGAATTATTGCAATTGGTCATATTATTTCCTTTTTTATTTCAAATATCTTGCCCTGGCCAAGACTAAACTCGTGGGTTTTCATTTTGTTTTAGAAATACTTAGCAAAGGACACAGAAAGCATAAGAGTAAAGTAATGCCAGTTTTTAACAAATTGCTTTCTTATGTTAAGAGACTTAAAACCAAAGGGGACTTAATGTATTTTCAGTAAATAAACATGTCATTGGCCATAACAAATGGTAGATTTTAGTCAATTAATAAATTACTAGACTAATAAACTATATTTTCCTGGAGCAGAAAGTAATTTTCTAAGTATAAAGGCAAAATAAATAATTCCCAATAAACTTCAAAAATTCAGTGGAATTATTTAGTAGATTCCAAAAGACAATGAAGCAACATCATCTAGAAAAATTTGAAAAAAAAATTATGGTCCAAGAATGAAGCATATATCCAGCAGTGAAACAGCATAGAGGCCCTGTCTCTCAGATATCCAAGAACTCAGAAAGCAGAGAATCAGGTAAACCGTTTCAGAAATTCACTATCAGCCCTGCTCCAGCCACTGTCAGTCAATGTCTGTCCCGTCAAATAAAACAACTGCAAAATGTGAGAGTCATGGTACGCCTGGACCAAAGGCGAAACCTGAGACAAATAAAACACACATGTGCCAAATTGAATGATCATCGTCCATCTGTATCACATAATGTCTCAAAGAAAAATCAGGAAGTAGGCGCAAAAGGGGTAAGGAAAAGTAGACTTAACGGAATTTCCACAATTTATAGGAGATAAGCATTTTCACTTGCTGCCCAGCTTCTCAGTGAAATAAGTGTATTTAATGTCCGCTCCCAAAAATGGAGTCCATTTAGGGACAGTGTCCAGGATAAGACTGGTGCCTGTCAGAGCTAATTAACTCTAGGTCTATGTAAGGAGGCCCCTTCCCAAGTTGAACAGGTGGTTTACAATGAGTATAATTATGCAAATCAGCAGTGAGATGGACATGAGCTAGTCAGGGTGAGCATATCTCAGGTTTATTCAGGAGAACAAAAGTGAGAGTGGATATTGCATTTCTTGGCCATGTAGTTCAAGCTACCGTTCTTCCACAGACACTGAAACAAGGGGACTGAGTCCATAAGGCTGCAGAACAAAACTCCCCTTAACCAAATTAATTAATTTATCCACTTCTAGGAAACAAATGACACCAGCACAGACGGCCACGCAAGGCAAAAGAACAGCAATTAGGTTCATTCAAAAGCAATAAAATATTTTAAAGATGAACTGCTATTTCCAAAATGAAACCTTTATGACAAAGCAAGCAAACCAGTTGTGACAGGCTTCACAGTAGTAACATCTGCACTGTAGGAAGGAGAGCACCCCTCCTTCTTGAGTGGGTATTTATACTCCAAAGTGATGTGTCATGCTTCACCCAGGAAGTAGAATTATGTTGCTCACCATGAGGCTGAAACCTCTATCAACCATCTCCCACTCATCCACATCTTCCTGTTTTGGAGTCTGGGAGATCAGTTATTTAAAAACAAGGGGAAAAAAGGAGGAAAGGAAGGGAGGGAGGAAGAAGAGAGGAAAAGAAAACTAATATTCAACATTGCTCCGATTTTCAGAGGAAAAAATGTTTATAATTTAAGTCAGATTTGCCTGGAAAAATATACCACCAGGAGGAAAAGGCTCAAGATCTGAAATCAGTTATTTTTTTAGTTTAGTTCTCTTCTTTTCCGAGGTACGTTGCAAGTCACCTAAAACTTTTGAGTATCTTTTTTTTCCATTTATACCTGTAGGGGTACACACTACTTATTTCTACAGCCTAATTAATAGGATTGCAGAGAGTTTCAGATATAATATGCACAGCAAGTACTTTCTAAATTATAGCTTTGTATTAGGTTAAATATGCTTATGAGTTATTTTATGTGATCTATAATATATAACACAATGTTAGTATAATTTTACCAATTATATTTGCTGTATTAAATATATATTAACTGTTACATTGGTGATTAATATCAATTGATAATATAATTCTATAATACATATATTATTAAAAGTTAATAACAATAAATTATTCCTTTCTTACTGGAACAAAGGAAGAAATGTAATACCCTGAGGAATTTTATTTCCAATAAGATACTTCCAGTATAGTCGTCCCGATGAATGACAGCCTTGTCATTTTCGTTGTGATCAATCTGCTCTGTGATCAGTGAAACACCAGCCTGCTTTTCTGCGAAAGGGTTTCAGATGATGAAACACTTATGAACTTGATGACTCTCCCTGAAGAGCAGCTGATGCTGCCGAGTCTAACACGTGCGGTCCTGGGACGACAAACTTGAAGAATGATGCTGTCCACAGGGACCCCTCACAGGGCTGTGGTGGCCTCCATGGGAGCAGTCCTGGGGGAGTCTCTCTGGCCTTTGTTGAATGGTAGGGCCTGATTCTATAGACTTTTCCAATTGCCTAACTCCTCTAACCCTCCAAATGAAAACAAGCATCTACTAATGGCAAACAGACTTCACCAGACTGTTTCCTTGAAGACAACTTCGCTCACAGGTCAAACCATTGCATCATCTTGCCATGAGGGAAAAGAGTGAAACGAACCTGAATTAGACAATTGATAACACATTTAATAGAGTATATTCTTCCATTTATTTATTGGTTTTCTTAGTAATAACTGTAGAAAATTTTAAAACTAAGTATTATTATAAAAAGGAGAAATAACAACACATACTATAAAAAGCCAAAGATAACTAGAGTTTGAATTTTTCTTGCTTTTAGGCAGGCATTTTCATGTGATTTTCTTTATAGAATTTTGTATCCATTTGTCTTTGAAAATATGACATTTTAAACCAAAGTGTTTGCATTTGAGTGTCCATAAAATGTAAAACTTATTTCTAATTTCTTATTTATCTCAAACAATTGTGCATAGGAAACTTTTTAATTATGAAAATGGACATTCGTGATTGATATCGCTTTGTTAAATGTATAAACCCTTTTAACTGAAATTTTCATCAGAAGATAGGGTTATTGCTGAAAATTTGAAAAGCATTGAATAATGTAAATAATATAAAATAACATTTTTTACTTTTAACCCTTAGAAGCACCAATTTAGGAATAATGTAACATTTCCCTCCAGGATGTGTTTGGAGACAACTGATATATCCAAAAATTTGGTTTTTGCATTTCAAACAGAAGATTATAGAATGGCCTTTACACTGTAGCATATGACTTTGAAATAATTAATGTAGAACATTGGCTGAGTAAACACATTATATGACCTCCCTGTGTCTTAAGTCTTCAGGGTGTTTTTCACGTTTTGTAACATGAGTGATATTTCAATAAACAGTTCTCTGTTCAATGTGTTTATTTTGGTGGAATTACAAATTTGAAATTCCAGGTGTGATGGTCAGAGGATCTATACCTCTTAGAACATTCCACTAAATGACTTTCCAAAATGTAACCACTATTAAAAGTTTTATAGTTATGGCCGGGAGCGGTAGCTCACGCCTGTAATCCCAGCACTTTGGGAGGCCAAGGCGGGTGGATCACGAGGTCAGGAGATCGAGACCATCCTGGGTAACACAGTGAAACACCGTCTCTACTAAAAATATTAAAAAATTAAAAATTAGCTGGGCGTAGTGGCGGGCGCCTGTAATCCCAACTACTCAGGAGGCTGAGGCAGGAGAATGGTGTGAACCTGGGAGGCGAGGCCTGCAGTGAGCCGAGATGGCACCACTGCACTCCAGCCTGGGCGACAGAGCGAGACTGTCTGGAAAAGAAAAAAAATTATAGTTATTTATGGTCCCAAAACAACACATTCGTTATAAAAAATTTACAAATACAAACTTCAAGGAAGGAATAATCTACAGAAATTGAATGTGCCATTGAATATTCTAGTGTTTTATACTAAAAAGTGTATCAAACGTACTTTACCATGTGAGTGTTATTAACATCAGTCCACCTCCAAAAAGTGTGTGCATGTCACATGAGGATACGTTCCAAGCACACGGAAAGTGTTCAGTGATTGATCCAATCAGTAGTCATGCAGAGTAGGTGCTAATAAACACTACCCCGAGTGAGGATGCAGACACGGAGACGCAAAGGGCATAGGGGAATTTCCCCAAGTCAGACAGATGAGTAACAGGGCAGCTGGACTCAAGACAGACTGATAAGTAACAGGACAGCTGGACTCAAGAACGTGCTTCTAGAACCACAATGCTGCACTAACTCCTAATTGCAATTCCTGGTAACAGCTGAAGGATCTTCTGATTATATTGTAGTCCGTATTTAGTAGACTTTTTAGAAAATAAACAGACAAAAAATGCAAAAGTCATTAGCGTACAGCTCAAGTAGTCTTTGGAAACTGAACTCACCACAGCCTGCCCACAGATGCACAATCAGAAGTGAGTTAGCCCCCACGTAGACCCCCAGCCTGCATCCCAATACCCTCCCCAAAGAAACTGTGACTCTGCCTTCCTATAAAGTAGTTTTGCCTGGATTTGAAATTTATGTAAATAGAGTCACAAAACATGCACTCTTTCATGCCTACCTTCTTTTACTAAACATTATGTAAGATTCAAGCACATTTACAGGTAGTTATGTTGGTGGTTTTTTCATTCTTACTCTGTATTGTATGCTCTAAGAACAAAGAACAATTTGTTTATTTTGTTGTTCATGGCAACTTGTTTTCTATCTATGGCTATTATAAATAATACCCTGTGATCATTTTTAATTTGAAATTCACAACTTAAGAAGAGATAATCAGCACACCTTTACATCCACTAATAACACACAGATTGCATAGTACAAGCTAAAAGGATAACGCAAAAAAACAATACCACAGCTAAACTGACCATTTTGACTTTTATTAATTGGAGAAATTTATTGTAAATCATTTAAGTTTTATAAAACTATATACTTTTAAAAATATATATTAACCACTACAAAAAATTTATTCAGTAAAATATTTCACCTACATTTTAAAACATGTATTTTGGTAAACACATGTTTGCATTTCTGTTGCATATATAACCAGGAGTGGGATATCTGGGTCATAGATGGGCACATATTCAGCTCTATCAGATACTATCAAACTGTTTTCCAGAGGTTTTATCAATTTATAGTCTCATTAGCAGTTATTTTAATCATCATAACCACACTGACAGATGTGCTATTTCATTGTGGTTTTAAAGTGTCATTTTTTGACAACTAGCCAAGTTGAAAACCTTTTCATACATTTATTGGAATGTACATTTTGTACATTTATTGGAATAATTTATTGGAATCATGGCTATCATATTTGTAAATTCCCATTCTAGTCTTTTGCCATTTTTAAGTGGATTTTCTGCTTCTTTATTGATTTGTAGGAATTTCTTCTATGTGTTCTATATGAATCCTTCATACATATATCTATTTATAAATATTTCCTTGTTTTCTATGGGTTGCTTTTTTACAATATTAATTTTTTAAAATAAATTTTAATTTAATGAAGTCCAACTTACTATGTTTTCCTTTAGTGTTAGCACTTTTGTTTTCTGTTTAAGAAATACTTGCTTACCTCATCATTATAATGTGTTGTTCTATATTTTCTTCTAAGAGATTATTTTACCTTTTATATTTCAATCTATACAGCCCATCTGAAATATATTTTCTTATCCTGTAGTGTAGGGATCAATATTCATTTTTTCCATGTGGATTGTGCAGTGGAGTCAGAACTATTAAAAGCATCCTGCATTTCCCACTCTGAGTGGTTGCCCTGGTCATAAATCCAATGTACATGTAGGTGTTGATCCATTTCTAGGCTTTATTTTCTGTTCCATCTGTTCATTTGACAATTTGCACAGATACCATGCCGTATAAATTGGTATAGTTTTAAAGTAAAGCACATGGAAATTGGCTGCCACCAGCAAGGAATGGTGGTATCTGTGAGAGGAGTTGACATTTGAAGAGTAACTCCCAGGGCTTTGTTTGAGAGTGCTAATTTAGAAGAGTACAAAGAATGGCTGGAAATAATGTGTTAATATCCACCACTGGGAGCACTAACTTGGCTGACTCTTCCATTTTCAATGCTAAAATTTACTGAAACCTCCAAGGAAAACTCATACTTCACATTTTGAAGAATAAATGCCTCAGATGGAAGAGAGTGATATTGATTCAAGAACCTGGAAAACAAAAACTTATAAGAGGCATGAAGACTATTAATATAATGGAAGTCTTTGTTATGAAGATAAAGTTGTCTTGGAAAATCACATGAAACAATAAAAAGTGTTATTAATATGGAAATTAAAACGTGCTGTGTGAAGGAGTCAGTGGATGAATTTGAAGGTTTGGATTCTCCGGAATTTGAAAATTTATTCATGGTCTTGAACTTTAGGGTTTCACTTTTAATGACCTGTGCAAGGCTGAGTGTAGAGTTAGTGCAGCACCAGTTGTATTCAATTGTTCACATAAAGGAATGAATGTTCTAAAAGCAGTGACAACCCAGTAGCAATGAATGAGCACACGGAGTGCCTAGATCTTGGTTTCTAAATGCTAATGGTAGTTTGTATTTCTGTGGGATCAGTGGTGATATCCCGTTTATCATTTTTCATTGTGTCTATTTGACTCTTCTCTCTTCTTTATTAGTCTAGCTAGTGGTCCATCTATTTTGTTAATCTTTTAAAAAAAAAACCCAGTTCCTGGATTCATTGATTTTCTGAAGGGATTTTCGTGTTTCTATTTCATTCAGTCTTGCTCTCATCTTAGTCATTTCTTGTCTTCTGCTAGCTTTTGAGTTTGCTCTTGCTCCTCTAGTTCTATTAATTGTGATGTTAGGGTGTCAATTTTAGATCTTTCCAGCTTTCTGTTATGGGCCTTTAGTGTTATAAATTTCCCTCTTAACAGTGCTTGAGCTGTGTGTCCTAGAGATTCTGGTATGTTGTGTTTTGTGCTCATTTGGTTTCAGATAAATTATTTCTGCCTTAATTTTGTTACTCAGTCATTCAAGAACAGGTTGTTCAGTTTCCATGTAGTTGTGCGGTTTTGAGTGAGTTTCTTAATCCTGAGTTCTAATTTGATAGTACTGCGATTTGAGAGACGGTTACGGTTTCCATTCTTTTGGAATTGCTGGGGAGTGTTTTACATCCAGTTATGTGGCCAATTTTAGCATACATGCTATGTGGCACTGAGAATGTATGTTCTGTTCATTTGGGGTGGAGAGTCCTGTAGGTGTCTGTTCAGTCCGCTTGGTCCAGCCTCTCTTACCACTCCTATTCAACATAGTATTGGATGTTCTGGCCAGAGCAATCACGCAAGAGAAATAAAGGTATTCAAATAGGAAGAGAGAAAGTCAAATTTTCTGTTTGCAGAGGACATGATTGTATATTTAGAAAACCCCATCGACTCACCCCCAGAACTCAAGCTGATAAGCAACTTCAGCAAAGTCTCAGGATACAAAATCAATGTGCAAAAATCACAAGCAATCCTGTACACCAACAATAGACAAGCCAAGAACAAAATCATGAGTGAACCCCATTCACAATTGCTACAAAGAATAAAATACCTAGCAATACAATTTACAAGGGATATGAAGGGCCTCTTCAAGGAGAACTACAAACCACTACTTAAGGAAATAAGAGACAACACAAACAAATGGAAAAACATTCCATGCTCATGGATAGGAACAATTAATATCGTGAAAATGGCCATACTGCCCAAAGTAATTTTAGATCCAATGCAATTCCCATCAAGCTACTAATGACTTTCTTCACAGAATTAGGAAACTATTTGAAATTTCATATAGAACCAAAAAAGAGCCAGTAGAGCCAAAACAATCCTAAGCAAAAAGAAGCTGGGGGCATCACACTACCTAAATTCAAACTATACTACAAGGCTACAGTGACCAAAACAGCATGGTACCTGTACCAAAAACAGATATATAGACCAATGGAACAGAACAGAGACCTCAGCAATAACACCACATATCTACTACCATCTGTTCTTTGATAAACCTGATACAAACAAGCAATGGGACAAGGATTCCCTATTTAGTAAGTGGTGCTGGGAAAACTGGCTAGCCATATGCAGAAAACTGAAACTGGACCCATTCCTTACACATTATACAAAAATTAACTCAAGATACATTTAAATCTTTAACTTAAAACCCAAAACCATAAAAACCCTAGAAGAAAACCTAGTAATACCATTCAGGACACAGGGATGGACAAGGACTTCATGACTAAAACACCAAAAGCAATTGCAACAAAGCCAAAATCAACAAATGGGATTTAATTAAACTAAAGAGCTTCTGCACAGCAAAAGAAACTATCACCAGAGTGAACAAGAGACCTACAGAATGGGGGAAAATTTTTGCAAGCTACCCATCTGACAAAGGTCTTGTATCCAGAATCTACAAGAAAGTTAAACAGATTTACAAGAAAAAACAATCCCATCAAAAAGTGGGTGAAGGGTATGAACAGACACTTCTCAAAAGACATTTATGTGGCTATTAAACATGGAAAAAAGCTCATCACTGGTCATTAGAGAAATGCAAATCAAAACCACGATGAGATACCATCTCACGCCAGTTGGAATGGTGATTATTAAAAAGTCAGGAAACAACAGATGCTGGCAAGGCTGTGGAAAAATAGAAATGCTTTTACACTGTTGGTGGAAGTGTAAATTAGTTCAGTCATTGTGGAAGATAGTGTGGAATTCCTCAAGGATCTAGAACCAGAAATACCATTTGACCCAGCAATCTAATTGCTAGGTATATACCCAAAGGATTAGAAATCATTCTACTATAAAGACACATTCACACATATGTTTATTGCAGCACTATTTACAACAGCAAAGACTTGGGACCAACCAAAATGCCCATCAATGATGGATTGGATAAAGAAAATGTGGCACATACACACCCTGGAATACTATGCAGCCATGAGTTCATGTCCTTCGCAGGGACATGGATGAAGCTGGAAGCCATCATTCTCAGCAAACTAACACAGAAACAGAAAACCAAACACCGCATGTTCTCACCCGTAAGTGGGAGTTGAACAGTGAGAACACATGGACACAGTGAGGGGAGCATCACACACTGGGGCCTGTTGGGTGGTGGTGGGGGAAGGGGAGGGAGAGCATTAGGAAAAATACCTAATGCATGTGGGGCTTGAAACCTAGATGATGGGTTAATGGGTGCAGCAAATCACCATGGCACATTATACCTATATTATACCTGTGTAACAAACCTGCACATTCTACACATGTATCCCAGAACTTAAAGTAAAATTTAAAAAAGCTCTAGAGTCTTTGTGTGGTGTTAAACCATATCTCTAAACAAAATGATACTAAACAAAATTTAAAAATACTAATATGTGTGATTTGTTGTTTGCAACTTTCTCTCGTGTTCATACTCCCAACGTGGGTAAATTCAGGTTGCTAATATGATGTCACTGACCACACAGTTGGGAAAGGATATGAATAATCATATCTCACCAGCTAGTGCAAGCTGGCCCCAGCACAACACTGCAGAAATGTTAGAACAGAGACTACTTCCAGGAGGAGAAAATAAGGAGGGTTAACAGGACAAAATAATAGGAATAAATTTCTGAGGTGAGAAATGACACCTGTCTCAAATCCAAAAGGTATGGTATAGATACTAAACTGGGTAAATGAACCCAACATTTTTATTTTATTATTATTACTTTATATTTTTGAGACAGTCTTGCTCTGTCACTTAGGCTGGAGTGCAGTCGCACGATCTCACTGCAACCTCTGCCTCCTGGGTTTAAGCGATTATCCTTCCTCAGCCTCTGAAGTAGCTGGCATTACAGGCTGTGCCACCACGTCCAGCTAATTTTTGTATTTTAGTAGAAACTTGGTTTCACCATGTTGGCCAGGCTGTTCTTGAATTCCTGACCTCAAGCGATCCACCCCGCCTTGGCCTCCCAAAATGCTGGGATTACAGGTGTGAGCCACTGTGCCTGACCAACAGTAGCTGTTTTTTTCTGCTTCTCTCTTTCCTCCCACCCTCCATCCTCTAGTGGGATCCAGTGTCTGTTGTTCCCCTTTGTGTCCTCATCATTTAGCTCCCACTTACAAGTGAGAACATGCAATATTTGGTTTTCTGTTCCTGTGTTAGTTTGCTAAGAATGATAGCCTCCAACTTCGTCCATGTTTCTGCAAACAACATGATCTCATTCTTTTCATGACTGCATAGTATCGCATGATATATATGTATCACATTTTCTTTATCCAGTCTACCATTGATGGGCGTTTAGGTCGACTCTATGTCTTTGCTATTATGAACAGTGCTGTTATGAACACATGCAAGTATGTGTCCTTATGATAGAACAATTTATGTTCTTTTGGGTATATACCAAGTAATGAGACTGCTGAGTCGAATGCTAGTTCTGTCTTTATATCTTTGAGGAATTGCCATAGTGTTATTCACAATGATTGAACTAATTTACACTCCCACCACCAGTGCATATGTTCCCTTTTCTCTGCAATCTCATCAACATGTTATTTTTTGACTTTTTGATAATAGTCACGCTGACAGGTGTAAGATGGCTTCCCAATGTGGGTTTGATTTTCATTTCTCTAATGATCACAGATGTTGAGATTTTTCTCATATGCTTCTTGGCCACAAGAATATCTTCTTTTGAAAAGTGTCTGTACATGTCCTTTGCCTACTTTTTAATTTTTTTCTTGTAAATTTAAGTTTCCTATAGATACTGGACATTAGACCTTTGTCAGATGCATAGTTTGTAAATATTTTCTCCCATTCTGTAAGTTGTCTGTTTATTCTGT
Organism: Homo sapiens; assembly: GCF_000001405.40. Taxonomy (NCBI): domain Eukaryota; kingdom Metazoa; phylum Chordata; class Mammalia; order Primates; family Hominidae; genus Homo; species Homo sapiens. The sequence goes on from NW_025791755.1 coordinate 248,117, forward strand.
TGATAGTTTCTTTTGCTGTGCAGAAGCTCCTTAGTTAGATTCCATTTGTCAGTTTTTGCTTTTGGCATCTTCATCATGAAATCTTTGCCCATTCTTATATGCTGAAAGGTATTGCCTGGGTTGTCTTCTGGGGTTTCTAGAGGTTTGGATTTTGCATTTAAGTCTTTAATTCATCTTGAGTTGATTTTTGTAAATGGTGTGAGGAAGTGGTCCAGTTCTAATCTTTTGCATATGAGTAGCCAGTTTTCCCAGTACCATTTATTAAATAGGGAGTCCTCTCCCCATTGCTTATGTTTTAAGCTTTGTCAAAGATCAGATGGTTGTTGGTTTGTGGCCTTGCTTCCGAGTTCTCTATTCTGTTGCTCTATGTGTCTGTTTTTTGGACAAGTGCCATGCTGTTTGGTTACTGTATAATCTTGATGTGGTCCCAAAATGGGAGGAAGTGCAATATGCTCCACCTGGAGAGGGAGATGGAGAATGCCAAAGATTTCTGGAGAGGTGGACTAAGGCAGACCCTAGAGGGCTTGGTAGGGACGATAATCATTTCTACCACACAGTGTTGTTAAAAGATTCAGATGCAAAATCTCCCATAAATCATAGCAGGAACTACACAATCCATAAAAAGCAACCTAGTAAGATTTCAGTGAGTAGGCTACTAATTAATCAGTATGTTTCCCCTAAGCCAGCAAAAACCAATTCTAAAACAGAGTGAGAAGAAACCTACTCCAGAAAGCGAGCATAGAAATACAGGTCTAGAATTAAAGGTTCACAACATGTGCAATATCTGTGGTGAAGCATCATCACACTCTTCAAATTGGACAAAGACAGCTGGATGGAAGTCTCTACATGGTACACAGGTAGATTTCACTTAAAATAGTACAAAAATCCCAATATGACCTTTATCAAGCTTTGTTGATTTATTATTCTTGTTATGCTGGTTCTATTGTTCATACCTCCCAATTCTGTGAGCTGCTGTACGAAAAATAAAGCGTCTCCGTGCTAAAAGAAAAAAGCCAAAGAACAAGGCGGCCTCCACACTTCTACCATCTAAATCTCCTCACGTGCACCTCATCAATAGAACCTAAATTACTGGTGAATCTCAGATACCATGGAGTTTGTATACATAGATTTTAGTTTTCCAGCTTTACCAGTCAAAAGACATATGAAGAAGTTGGGATGAAAACAAGCAAGCCAACTACAGTATCCTCGGCTTCTGCAACACACATTTAGGTTTTGCCTTTACTTCAATACCCTTTCTCTTTCAATAGGTCTGTCCGTTCAATTTATGCAAATTATGCAATTTCAATTTATGGAAATTAGAAATGGTTGGTCTCTTTTCTGACACCTTATTTTTGCTATGCTTCCTTTTTTAACTTTTTATTTCTCCCCATGTATAGTTAATTATGTGTTTGTGTTTGAGAGCTCGGTTTTTAAAATTAAAATTTTTTACTTTTTCATTTTATTCATTTTTTCCAACCTCAGAAGAGCACATTGTTCTTTTAGATCTTTGGATTACTCTTATATTTCAAATAATATGCTCAAATGTCTAGTTTTTCCACAATCTAATTACTATTTAAGTACATTTACACATTTGCCACTCTCTCCACCATGCACTCAATTTTAGTTTTTCAGTTACATTATTCCTCTTAAAACCTTTTAGCATATCCCTATACTTTAATCATATAATTATATCCGTATTAACTGATTCATCAAGTATAAATTGTAAAGAGGTTGGTCTGCCAAGGAAGGTATGGATTTTGTGAAGATATAAAAGAAAATAAAAGACATGTAAATACTGGTAGAAGGAGACATCTTTATTAGTCATTTCCACATCCATCTCCCCAGTTTCTAGATTTTTTTATATTGTTATCACAGTCTATATTGTCTCAGTTTGTTACATTTCTATTTTAGTCATACCTTCATTTACTTATTCATATAGAGTCATTTTCTCATGTGTTTTTATTAAATGCTTTTACATATTATCAGGAACCTTTCCATTATAGTTTCTCCAGGCATCCTTTGGTGGGTTAAGGTTTGTCCTCAACCTGTTTTATTGTGATGTATATATGTGGCTATTCTACTTTTCCTTTCTCTTAAATCTTAAAGAATGGCTTTGTTTTTTAAAAGATATTCCACTAAAATATTGTTAAGTATTGCTCTATTTTTTATCATTTAATATAAATAAAATTCAAAGACCGGCCTAATACCACTATATTGTGATATTTTGCCTAGATTTCCTAGTAATTCTAACTTAGACACACACAGTACCATATTTTTGTGGGACATATCTGGATATAGAAAATACTATATCACATTTTGAAAAAGTATCTGCATGTACATTTTCATTCTAATCATTTACATGTATTTTTCAACCACAATATTTATGTTTGACCCTTTTTGTTGGTTTCCAAATCCACTGACACTTTTTAACCTCTCTCTTTATTTTCCTCAGGATTTTTAAGCCTCTTTTTCTGGTCCTTCATTATTTTTAAGCTGTTTCTCTTCATTTGTTAACATATTTTTATTTTACTTTTATCTTCTATTTATTCTCTAACATCTGTCACCTCAGTATTGATTTCTGTTTTTGCTTTATACCGATTCCTTTGACCCTCATGTAGCATTTGAATTCTATTACAAAGAAATATCAGATTTCATTTCAACTTTATTTCAAGGGAACCAACTTTTCATAATTTTGGTAGATATTATGTTGTATGTTTTCTATTTTGCTTTAGCTTTCTTTTTACTTTTGATATATGATGTTGCCTAAAACGAAATATTTAAGTAAATGTATTTCCATTCCTAGCTACCTATGTGTTTTAGGCAGATATGAGTTTTGAAATGTATTTGAAACCTTTTGGATCCTTTATATATGCTACATAGCTTTCATAGGACACCAAGCGACGCAATGTTTTACAGCCTTGTCTTGTATATTCTGTCCTATCCATTGTTACATGTCTGAGACCAAATTTGGCTGTTTTTATCATTTCTCTTAAACATCAGAACCTCATCTCCATCATTTTTCTGTAAACCTTGCTTTGAATTCTTCAGTCTCTCCTATCTTTAGTTATCTAATAACACATGCAATTTAATTCAGACTGATAAAGGATATTGTCTTAAATCTTTCTGCCTCTCTTTTGTCCTTACTGTGCCCCCAGTGACCAGCATAGGAATGGGCACAAAGCAGGCACCTGACTGTGGAGTGAATAAACCAATGCCTGGCAACATTTAGAATTTATAATCGGCAAATCCACTACTTAATTATATTGAGAGGATTAATTTAAAACAATCAACTTGAAAACAGTTAAAATGGTAGCTCAGTTCATTTACTGAAAACAAAGGAAGCATTTTAAACAATTCTCTTGGTCTTCGTAACCTTTCGGGACTAGCCCCCTAATTACCTGCAAGAATAGAAGAGCCCAGGGACCTCCTGAGAAGCCCAGTTTCCTCCGTGTTCCTTATGCTTTTTCCCTTCGTGGAAAAAAGTGATTGCACCTTTCTTTCCATTTCCTAATTCTACATCATGCCTTGTATTTAGCTGGAGACTCACTCAGAGTGGGAGAGCCTGAGAGAAGAGCTGGAGACAAGCAAGGTCTGCAGGGGATTCCAGGGCAGGCCGGCCCATGACCTGGCCAGCCCTGCCATGACCTGCTTTCCCACCCAGGTAAGCTGCTTACACTTCCGAGGTGAAACTATTAGAAAATTAAGAAAAAAAAATTAGACGTGTGTAAATTTAGGAGGCACAACATTTCCCTGGAGTTGAAGGGAACTATACTAAGTTCTACAGAACTTGAGTATTTGAAGATGCTTAAATTATCATTGTGCTCTATTCAGCCACAAGGATCTTGTGCTATAAATTTATCGTAGAATTTGCTGTTAAAACACACCCACACTAAAGAAGCCACCACATTACTCTATTTGTGACTTTTGTTGCAGAAATATTACTATACATTTATTTTTCATATTTCAGCTGTGAATTTTTAAAATCACATTCAAAGGCATGAAGAGTTAGGTAGTGAATTGTTTACTAAAGTGTCATTTTAAAAGAAATTCAAAAGTTTGTTTTACAAGTTTAAACATTTCATGTATACTAATCAGGGTCAGCCTTAATGAAGCTATGGTCTACTTAGAATCAAAACCTGCATATTAAGCTATTAAATGTTACTCAACAAAGTCACTGAAAATTTCTAGTGCCATAAACTGATGAAAACAGAAAAGTTATTTCTCCTCAATAGATTGTCAATGGTTATGGTAAAAAATTAACCAGTGAAATGTGTGGTTCCTTGGCACGACTGCAACACAATTCTGGGAAAATACTACAAGTCTCAAACTTTCCATTGTGATTCACTGAACTAAGGAAGCATTACTCAGTAAATTATTATGAAAATTTAGTAAAAAGTTAGGTGAAACTAGGTCCTGTTATCACATTAATTTAAAATATCAAATCGATTAAAGGTTTACATGTGGAAAATAAAAATATAAAACAAGACACATGAATGGGTAAAGATTTAGCTAAACGGTGAGCAAAGGCAATGAAGAAAACATGGAAAGTAAAATTAGTATTTGAAAACTGAAAACAATCTCTGAATAAAACAAATTTTTTCTAATTAGGAAATTTATGGTTCACATGACGAATCAAAGGCTGAGGATCGGTAATGTGTAAGATTCTCTTGCATATTCATAAGACAGACATGGCAATTTTTAAAATGACACAAACATGTTAGTAAACAATTTGTGGAAGACTTGTACATACAAAATAAGACAATGACAAAAAGCACAAAAATGTCCATTAATTTGTTGAATAACAGAGAGGCAAAAAAATGTGTGATTATCAGTGTTGCTGTGAGTCAGTGAAAACACCAGTGCGGCCTTTTGTGGTATGCCGGGGTAGATCACTGACGGGTACAACCCGAGTATATGAACATGAAAGGGACACTGTTTAATAAAAATGTAATAACCGATACAATAAAGGAATTCCTTACACAGATATTCATTATAGTATTGTTTTAGATTAGTAAAAAATTGGAAGAAATCTACATTGGAAATAAGAAAACTCAGATTCTGTTATTAAGGTAAATTGTGAAGTTATATTCAAAACAATATTTTTAAAAAGTAAACACTGAAAATATGTACACAAGAATATTTATGCAGATGTAGAGCTATATACAGCATGATTCTAATCTATAGTATTTTAATATATCTATGTATCTATATATTAAAAATATCATTTTCTCCCACAAAAAATAAGTATGTGAGATGGATATGTTAATTATCATGACATGGTCATTCCACAATGTGTACATGTATTGAAATATCTCACTGTACCCAAATATATATACAATTGTCAATTAAAAACAATTTTCAAAATCCTATTTTGAAAATTTTTATTCTGACTTGATCATTATACAATGTATATATGTGTCAAAACATCACCCCATACCCCATAAAAATATACAATTGTTATGAGTCGATTAAAAACAAAATAAACTAAAATTTTTACAAAGAAAAAATTTTATAGTAAATGTGGTAGGATTTATTTTATACCTTTATTTCTCCTTTTAGTTCCATCTATGTCTTAAATTATGTATAGCACTCACAGATGTATTTATAGAGTGAAAAAGATGTTTTAAAAAGATAATATAGTTTTAATCATAAGAAATTATTGACATGAATTTTTTTTGTCACCACGCAGGGCCCCCTGGTTTGGGCCCAAACACAGCTGCCCCACTCTGGGCTGACCACACCTATTGGTAGCAGCTCTGCATTTCTCTGGGATGGGGCCCAAGAAACATGTGAAAGGCCCTCTTCCACAACACTGCCAGGACCCTGCTCACACTGCCTCCAGGCTGAGGGGAACATAAAGCCTGAGTCACCCCAGAGGTGTGGCCTGTAGCCCAGGAGTACCAAGCTGAGATCTACAGCCAGCACTAAAGGAGGAAGAGGAGCCCACACTTTCAGAGCACTGAGAGGGAGCAAGCCTGCAATTGTGAGAAAATAGGCCCTTGTTCAGCCCCACGGCTCCTCTATCTACCGGCCATTATGCTTAAGCACCATCTACTGGATCACAGCCCAAACTTCGACACCAAAAATACTCTAATATACCTCCCCATGAAACCAAGGCCAAGAACTCAGCTATGAGTAAAGACCCTGCACAAAGCCTTGGGCCCTCTGAAAACATCCAGAAGTCAACTGACTGTACTCAAGTTACACCACAGTGAAGGTGACATGAGCCCACACAGATGAGAAGGAACCAGTGCAAGAACTCTGGCAACTCAAAAAGCCAGAGCATCTTTTCTCCAAACAAATGCACTAGCTCCCCCAACTAGGGTTCTTAAGTAGTCTAAAATGGTTGAAATGACAGAAATAGGATTCAGAATATAGATAGGAATGAAGACCATCAAGATTCGGGAGAGAGTTGAAACCCAATCCAAAGAATCTAAGGATTACAATAAAATAATACAGGAGTGATCGATGAAATGGCCATTATAAGAACCAAACTGATCTGTGAGAGCTGGAAAACACACTACAAGAATTTCTTAATACAGTTACAAATATTAATAGCAGATAGGACTAAGCTGAAGAAAATCTCAGAGCTTGAAGATGTACTCTAAACTCAGAAAAAATTAAAAATTAAAAAGAGTGAAGAAAACATCTGAGAAATATGGAATTATGTAAAGAGACCAAATCTATGATTTATATGGTATCTCTGAAACAGAGCGGGAGAAGACAAGCAATTTAGGAGACACATTTCAGGAAATTGTCCATGAAAATTTCCCCGATGTTGTTAGAGAGGCCAATATTCAAATTGAGAGCACTGAGAGAGAACACATTTGGTCTCCCCTGTGAGCCCTTTGTCCTCTTGCTCATCACCAGGAAGGGCCCCCCTGGTTTAGGCCCATGACACAGCTGTAACACTCTGGATCAATCACACCTATTGGTAGCAGCTCTGCATTTCTCCATATTCATGTGGGGTAAAGTGTGGTTGGTCGGAGGAAGGTAGACACTCTGGCAACTCAAAAAGCCAGAGTTCTTGCACTGGTTTGTTCTCATCTGTGTGGGCTCATATCCCTTTAACTGTGGTGTAATTTGAGTACAATTAACTTTTTTCTGCAAGACACAACACAAGAAGTCCATCACTAAGATACATAGTCATCAGATTCTCGAAGATGGAAAACAAGAAAAATGTTAAAGGCAGCTAGAGAAATGGGGCAGGTCACCTACAAAGGAAACCCCATAAGCTAACAGCAGATCCTTTAGCAGAAACTCTACAAACCAGAAGAGGTTGGGGGCCTATGTTCAGCATTCCTAAAGAAAAGAATTTTCAACCACGTATTTCATATCCAGCCAAAGGAAGCTTCATAAGCAAAGGAAAAATAAGATTCTTTTCAGACAATGCTAAGGGAGTTCCTTACAACCAGACCTGCCTTACAAGAGGTCCTGAAAGGAGTGTTAAATGTGGAAAGAAAAGACCATTACCAGTCACTACCAAAACACACTTAAATACATAGACCATTGACACTATAAAGCAACCACACAAACAAGCCTGCAAACAAACAAAAAAACACCTAGGAATAGGATGACAGGATCAAATCTACACATATCAATGTTAATCTTGAATGTAAACAAGCTAACTGCCTCAAAGGGCACAGAGTGGGAAGCTGGATAAAGAAGATTCAAAGGTATGCTGTCATCAAAAGACCCATTTAACATGCAATGACACCAATAGGCTCAAAGTAAAGGGATGGAAAAAAATCTACCAAGCAAATGGAAACAAAGAAGCAAGGGTTTCGATTCTAGTTTCAGGCAAAACAGACTTCAAACCAGCAAAGGTCACAAAAGACAAAGATGGCCATAATATAATGCTACAGGTTTCCATTCAACAAGATCTAACTATCCTAGCTATCTATGCATACAACACAGAAGCACCCAGGTTCATGAAGCAAGTTCTTAAAGACCTACAAAGATACTCAGACTCCCATACAATAATAATGGGAGATTTCAGCATCCCACTGACAGTATTGAGGCAAAAAGCTAACAAAGAGACTTGAGACCTAAACTCAACACTTGGCCAAATGGACCTAATAGACATCTTCAGAACTCTGAACCCCAAAACAGAATATACATTCTTCTCACGTGTACACAGCATATACTCCAAAATTGACCAATCGGACACAAAACAATCCTCAGCAACTTAATTATACCAACCATATTCTTGGACCACAGTGCAATAAATAGAGATCAATACTAAGAAAATCACTCAAAACAAAGTTATATGAAAATTAAATATGCTAATGGTGACCTTTTTGTAGACAACAAAATTAAGGCAGAAATCAAGAAATTATTTGAAACTAATGAGAACAAAGGTAAAATATACCAGAATCTCTAGGATGTAGCTAAAGAAGTGTTGAGGAGTCTGCAACACTAAATATCCACATGAAAAAGTCAGAAAGACCTAAAATTAACAACCTAACATCACACACTTAGAACTAGAGAAACAAAAGCAAACCAACTCCAAAACTAGCAAAGAACTAATCAAAATCAGAGCTTAATGGGAGGAAATTGAGATGTGAAAAACCATACGAAAGATCAACGAATCCAGGAGTTGGTATTTGAAAAACATAAAGAGACAAATAGACCACTAGATAGACTAAGAAAAAAGAGAAGCTACAAATAAGTACAATCAGGATTGTCAAAGAGTTCATTACCAGCAACCTGACAGAAACACCAACCAAAGAAAACCCTCAGACTACTATGAACAGCTTTATGCTAGAGAATCTAGAAGAAATCAATGAATTCCTGGACACATACAACCTCTCAACATTGAATCAGGATGAAACAGAATCCCTGAACAGACCATTAAAAAGTTCTGAAATTAAATTCACAATAGAAAGCCTGCCAACTACAAAAAGTCCAGGACCAGACAGATTCATAACTAAATTCTGCAAGAGGTACAAAGAAGAGCTCATATCATTCCTACAGAAAGTATTCCAAATAATTGAGGAGAGACCCCTCCCTAACTTATTCTATAAGGCCAGCATCATCCTGATCTCAAAACCTGGCAGAGACACACACACAAAAAGAAAAACTTCAGGCCAGTATCTTTGATTAACAGATGCAAAAATCTTCAACAAAATACAAATAGAATCTAACAGCACATCAAAAAGTTTATCCACCGTGACCAAAGTAGGATTCATCCCTGGGATGCAAGGTTGGTTCAACATCACATCACATAGAATTAAAAACAAAAACCAAATGATTATCTCAATGATTCAGAAAAGGCTTTTGATAAATTTTAACTCCCATGTTAAAAACTCTCAATTAAACTAGTCATTGAAGAAATATACCTCAAAATAACAAATGCCTTCTATGAAAACTCCACAGTGATCATACTGAATGTGCAAAAGCTGGAAGCATTTCCCTTAAAAACCAGCACAAGAAAAGGATGCCCTCTCTCACCACTCCTATTCAACATAGTATTGGAAGTTCTGGCCAGAGCAATCAGCAAGAGAAGGAAATAAAAGACATCCAAATAGGAAGAAAAAAACCTCAAACTATCCCTGCTTGCAGACAACATGATACTATATCTAGTAAACCACATGGTCTCTGTCCCAAAGCTCCTTGATCTGATAAACAACTTCAGCAAAGTTTCAGGATATAAAATCAAGGTACAAAACTCAGTAGCCTTCCTATGCACTAACATTCATGCTGAGAGCCAAATCAAGAATGCAATCTCCTTCATAATAGCCACGAAAATAAAATATCTAGGAATACAGCTAACTGGAGGTGAAAGATCTCTACAATGAAAGTTACAAAACACTGCTCAAAGAAATGAGAGATGAAACAAATGGAAAAGCATTACATGCTCACGAATAGGAAGAATCAATACCATGAAAATGGTCATCCTGCCCAAGGCAATTTCCAGATTCAGTGCTATTCACATATAAAACTACCTATGGAATTCTTCACAGAATTAGAAAAAAATATTTTAAAATTCACATGGAACCAAAAAAGAGCCCAAATAGCCAAGGCAATTCTAAGCAAAAGAACAAAGCTGGAGGCATCACACTACCCAACTTTAAATCATGCAACAGAGCTACAGTAACCAAAACAGCACAGTACTGGTACAAAAACAGATATATAGACCAATGGGACAAAGTAGAGAGCCCAGAAATAATGACACACACCTAAAACCATCTGATCTTCAACAAGGTGAACAAAAACAAGCAATAGGGAAAGAACTCCGTGTTCAGTAAATGTTGCTAAAATAACTGTATAGCCGTAATGCAAAAGATTGAAACTGGACCCCTTCCTTATACTACATAGAAAAGTCAACTCAAGATTGATTAAACCCTTAACTGTAAAACCTAAAACCATAAAACATCTGGAAAATAACCTAAGAAATATCATTCTAGACATAGGACCCAGAAAAGATTTTACGGTGAAGATGGCAATAGCAAGGTCAAGCAAGGTCAACAAAAGTGAAAACTGACAAATGGGATCTAATTAGACCAAACAGCTTTTGCACAGTGGGCAAAGGATATTAACAGATACTTTTCCAAAAATGACTTACATGCAGGCAACAAGGATATAAAAAATGCTCAATATCACTAACCATTAGAGAAGTCCAAATGAAAACCACAATGAGATACCATCTCACACCTGTCAGTGTGTCTATTACTAAAAAGTAAAAAAATAACAGATACTGGTTAGGTTGCAGAGAATAGGGAATGCTTATACACTCCTGTTGGGAATGTAAATTAGTTCAGCCATTGTGAAAGTAGTTTGGCAATTTCTGAAAGAACGTAGAATTACCTTTTGACCCAAAGGAATATAAATCATTCTACCACGAAGTCACACACACACACATGTTCTTCACAGCATCGTTCATAATAGCCAAGAAATGGAATCAACCTAAACGCACATCAATGGTAGACTGAATCAAGAAAATACTGTACATATACATCATGGAATACATGCAGCCAGAAAAAACAAGATCTTGTTTTTTGTGGCAATGTTGATGGAGCTAGAGGCCACTATACTAAGTAAACTAACACAGAAACAGAAAACCAAATACCACATATTTTCACTTATGAGTGGGAGCTAAACAGAGTACCTACGGACACAAAGAATAACAGACCCCCCCACCGGGCCTACTTGAGGGTGTAGGGAGGAAAGTGAGGACTGAAAACCTACCTATCAGGAACTATGCTTATCACTTGGGTGGTGAAATAATCAGTGACATGCAACTTACCTATATAACAAACCTGCACATGTACCCCTCAACCTGAAATAAAAGTTGGAAAAAAAACTTTAAAAAAGAATGTCTCAAGGACAAATGCTGTTAGAATAAAACTACCAATCCCGAATTGTAAACCCAGCTATACTATCATTCAAAAGTAAGGGTAGTTAGACAGGAGAAATAAGTTTAGATCTATTGTATAACATGATGATTACAGTTTATATCTATGTATTATATATTTATTTTCAAATTGCTAGATTTTAAATACTCCACCACTCAAAAATTATAGGATGTGAAGTAATTGATATGTTGATTAGCTTGATTTTGTCTTTCCAAAATGTGTATATATGTATATACATATTAAAACATTGGGTTGTACACCATATATACAATTGTCAATTAAAATATAAACTTAAAAATTTGAAAGAAAATGGTAATAAAAAATTAAAAGGATTAAATTAACAAAAGATATTTTCAGGCCTTTTTTGAAACATAAGTGTTTACCACTCAGTGAAGGGACTCTTATGTTTAAAGCATAAATACAGAAGAATCAAGATGTTGGGAGAAAAAACAGCAACAAAGTTTTGGAAGCTGGAAAGCCAAAGGAAACTTTTTGACTCAAAAATCTCAAAGCAGAACACTGAGCTGGTGAGTGGAGAAGTTCGGAAGCAAGTTGATTCCTACTGGAAGAACTCCTAATCAGGTCTGTCTAAATATTACAGGTAACATTGAAATGGAAGGCTTGGCTAAAAGTTTGTATAAAAACTGTTATACACGCACTTTAGTTAGACAACCCTTCCTCCCCGACCTGACGCGACACTAACTTGGGAGGTGGTGGTGTACCCAAAGGGCTCTGGGATTGGAAAACAGACATTGCGTGGGTGTAAGTGGGAAGTCTGCGCCCTACATTGTGAAGCACACCAGCACGTTTCCCCAACGTGGGTTCTCAGAATGCTGGCAGCCCCCAGAAAGATTTGCAGAGGAAGCAGACCATACCAAAGAAAATACCTAGGAATACTGACATTTGAGGTTTCCAAAATAAGTCATTTACATCATAGTTTAGTGACTCCTACTCGTTAAGGCTTGTCCTTATCCAGAGACTAACATTAGGAGAGAGACAGGGATTACAAAACTTGAGGAAAGCTTCTAAAATAAAAGGCAGAAATCACACAAATCAGTGAAAATAAGAGGAAATACAGTATGCAGTAATTAGAGAAACTCTTTCTATAAAAGATAACTGACTAATCTGCTATGACAGATAAGAACATACGAACAGATATTAAACTAGAACAGGGTGTTTTAAACAGAGCATTGGAGAAATTTTTAAGAGTTCTTGAACATTTAGATTATGGCAGTGTAGACTGTAAAGTAGGACAAGACAGATGCAAAAGAAGGTAGAAGAAGAGATCCAGTTTGTGAGTCAGGAGGCAAATCAAGTAATAAAAATTCCAGAGGAAAAGAATGTTTTAGATGGAAGGAAAGCACATATTTCAGTCATGTTTCAGAGCAAAAATTCTGGAATTGAAAGACACGTTTCAAGATTAAAAGGTTCATCAATTGCCCAACATAATTGTTAAAAAGAGCCCTTATGAAGACATTATGAATGTTTAACACGACTGCCAAAGGAGAGCCTGAAGCCTCCAGGGGGCGACAACACAACTAAAATTGAGAGCATGGAACTCCCAGGAGAAATACTGAATGTTAGAAGACAATGGAGGAGGGACATCCTCATATTCATGAGGGAAAGCTTTTTTCAGCCTACACATTGACACCTGGCCAGATCTACTGTCAAAGTGGGAGGATAAAAAAAGTCATTTTCAAACATGCAAGGCCTTTAAAAAATTTCCTCCCACGTACTTTGTTTATAAACCTGTTGAAAGACATGCTCCACAATGGGGAGGTTTTAAAGTAGAAGACGTGGTACACAGACAATCAAGAATCCAGAGGGTCATGGGGAAGAGGCAGCATCTCAGGAGGAGCCCCGTGCAGCGCAGCCCATCTCTGGGGCAAGCAGCCTGAATGGAAGTGGCAGAGCAGGGGCTGCAGAAGAGGGAGGGCTGTGAAGACGGCACCGAGAATTCCTGAGGGAGTCACAGTTTCAACAGGATATTTATCAGAAGGAGATTCTATATACATATATATATATATACACACACACATACACATATAGAGATTAGTCAGTTTTCTTTCATGTATACATATATATGTATATATACACACACACCCATATGTATGTATATACAAATACATATATCTCCTAGCTACTGGGGAGGCTGAGGTGGGAGGATTGCTAGAGACCAGGAGCTCAATCTCTTTCTTGACCCAGATGGTCAAGAATGATTACCAACCCTCAAAACCCGTCCTGTCCCCCCATTCAGTCACCAAAGTGATTGTGACTCTGACTTCTGACATGGTATTCTATCAGTGTCAATCTTCCATCTCTGCTCTTTAGACCTATCTGCCTCTCAGAGCATGCTCACAGGAGACTGAACCACACAACCTGCTTGTGCCCCTTAGAGTCCTCTTGTAGCCCAGCTTGCCCTCTGCACTTGCTCTTCTGCATATCACTGATGGCAGCTAGTTTTGGGACCTTGTTCACCAAGTCAGGTTTTGAGAGGTGAAGTCAAATTTTGTTCATAACTACTCTAGGCTCTTCATTAATGGCTGGGACTCTGGAAATAAGCTCATTCTGATGGAAAGGCTAATAAGGAATCTGTTTTCTTTTTAAAAATTCTTTTAATCTTCCCATTTTTGTGTCTTTTCTCTTTACTGGTATTTGAAATGCACATCTTTGTAACCAGGTCACAAGAATGATTTTGCTTGGATTGTTTGGTGGCTTCAGACATAGGGTTCAGAAGCATCTTTCAATGTCATTATCTTTTTATCAGATCTTGAATTGCTTATTTGTTGTTTGTGTATGTTTATGTCCATGGGCACTAATATGGGTTCTTCTCACTACAAAAATCAGGGTCCCCTTCCTAAAATTCCGGCTAAATACTAAAGGGTTTTAAACCAAAAGTAAAATTCTAAGGCTCCCTCAACCATCTGAATAGGGCCCTCGTCTCAGCAAAGGCATTCCAAAGTTAACCTGATAAACTAGTTCAGGCCATGATAGGAAGGAAGAGCTTGACATGCCTCAGGATACCCTCCCTCCCTTTTGGAATTACTGATAGAACAGATTCTTTAAGACTTAAGTCTGATTAAAAAACATTTACAATCTTCTCTCTGAAGCCTGCTTGTTGGAGGCCTCATCTACAAGATCAAGTCTTGGTCTCCACAAACCCTTACCATAACCACACATTTCTTTCTACTGATAAACAACTCTTTCAGCTAATTGCCAATCAGAAAATCTTTGAATCTGCCTCTGACTTAGAAACTCCTGCTTCCAATTGTTGTGTGTTTCCAGGTCAAACCACTGTACATCTTATACATGTTGACTGATGTCTTATGTCTCCCTAAAATGCGTAACACCAAGTTGTCCGGCCACCTCAGACCCGTGTTTCTCAGGATCTTCTGAGGGTGGTTCCATGGGCCATTGGTCACTCATTTGGCTCAGAATAAATCTTAAAATACAGGGTTTGACTTTTCATCGACAGGGTATACAATTTATATAATTTTCAATGAATAGTAAAAATTAAACTGTAGTATTTAGGAATATTTATCCAGTCATGCAAGAAAAAATCCAGGGAATAATTACTATGAAATTCATTTGGCAAAATAACTGACCAATATTCTTCGCTGTCAAGGCCCAACTAAAGAAATGTTAGAAACTTAACTGAAATGAGTGAGAATTGCTCAGTCAAGTTTCATTAAGCCAATATTAGAGTATGTCTAGAAAAATAAGCCACAGACACACCCATGGCCATTTTTCCAAAGAGGTTTTTAGAACACTCAGTACGTATACATTTTCTTAAGGTGGGGGAAGGCATATAGGAAGATGGGCGGGTTGGTGGTAAGGTCAATGGTTACGTTTCTGTGAGACTTCAGTTAGTGCCCAGTAAATGTACATTTTACACAGGATAAGGTGAATGTCTGAAGAGAAAGAAGGAGCCAAGGAAGAGTCAATTATGCAGAAGTCCCTGGGTAGGTGGAGGAATGATTTGTCTCATCTGGTCTTTCTTCTGCTCCTGGAAAGAAGCTTGTCATCAACATTATCAGTGTGCAATTGAGCAGACAGAAGAGTTCAAGACCAGCCTGGCCAATATGGTGAAACCCTGTCTCTACTAAAAATACAAAAAATTAGCCAGGCATGGTGGTGGGTGCCTGTAATCCCAGCTACTTGAGAGGCTGTGGCAGGAGAATCACTTGAACCCAGGAGGGGAGGTTACACTGAGCTGAGATCATGCCATTGCACTCCAGCGTGGGCAGCAAGAGCAAAACTGTTTCAAAATAATGTCAGCATTAAGAGAAATTGAGTGACGGCCACATTGGAAGCTCATTGTGCTAATTTTGCACATTTTTGCATGTCTAATAGTTCAAATGAAAGTTAGAGACATTTAGAATAATGCCTGTTTTTGCCCTGGGGCATGTGCGGTGATCAAACAAGAGCGCCCTGGAGTGCTGGTTATGTTCCGTTTCTTGATGGGGTGCGGGGTTATTTCATGAATGGTTTCACAACTGTTTTCTTGAGATGATTAATAATGAGTTTTGCATGGCATTTCTAATGTTATATTTCATAGTATAAGAAGAGATTAACACTGATTTATAATGTGATTTTCTTAGAAGCCCTGCTGTTGCCTGCGTCATTAAGTGGTGATTCAATTCACTCCCTAAAATTACAAAGTGGCTGGAATTAAATATCCCCAAGCAAAGACTTCTTTCCTCTATGTTGTAGCAAATTCAGTAACTTTTCAAGTTTTACCAAATAAAGTGAGGAATATTAACTATAATATTTAAAGCTATTAAATTCTATCTATAATTACAGAAATATATATGGAGAAACAAACTTTTTGGCAAATTATTTGGCAATAAATAATCATAGATTCAAGGTTTTTATACAATTCATTGTATTTTTTCCAATTGATTCTGGAGGGATTACAGAGTAAAAATAACTGCTAAAATGCAGAAAATGTTTAATAACAAAAATGATGTCACCATCAGTCCAAAGGTACCGATATTATTCATTTTTTTTTTTTATTCTCCTAATGATACATGCAGTTTTAAAGAATAGAGAACACATGGTGTTGTTTTAGGATAATGTCATATTACTAACTGGCCACAAGGTGTCAGGAGGAGGATGTCATGGTGTCCCATAGTAACAATCACTTGGGACTTCATATTCATGTATAGATTTCTTCTTCCTGTACAGATAGATCAGCAAGCCAAGAGAAAGTGGGGAGATATATAACCATCTTAGACGCAATCGCAAATGTCTCAGTGCAGTACCTGAGGTAGAAGCTATTCAACGAATCAAGGAACTCCTGATGAGAGCTTTGCCCAGGGAACCCACAGAAGACGGCTTGGCTAGATCACTCAGGCAGAGCCCCCATGGCCTGAAGGAGCAACAGTTGTAGGCTTAGAAAATATCTGCTCTAAGAAGCCTCTTCCTCATTCTTCAACTATGATAGACTCTGAGCAAGATAGTAAACTATGGCACAGAGAGGTTAGGTAACATGCTCAGGGCACACAGCCCAGAAAGAAATAGGCTAATATTCAGACTCCAGGGGGTTCAAGCTCCAAGCATATGGCCTTATCACCCTTAAATTGCCTTTGAAATTGGCAGATGGGGTGGAAATAATTAAAGAACAGTTAAATATTCATGGGGAAAAAACCTTATAAAAAGCTGTTCAACATCTGAACAATCTGTTGCTGGGCATATATGCTGGTATCACACAGTATTTTAGTGAAATCTGTGTGCCCATCTCCTCTTGGTGCCAACTACAACTAGGACACTCAGAGCAGGGACATTTTCCCACGCTAAATGGGAACCCATCACCAGAGAAGCCACCACCAAAGCCAAGATTACAGAGAGAATGTTTTAGGAGTAGGGTGGAATTTAACTTCTAAACGTAAATAATTAACATTTTGAAATGAAGTGACAGTGTCACCTTATAATGCAAAATCATGCCATATTATACAAGAAACTCCACACCATGAAGAATTCTGCCTATACAACTTTTAATTGCCCAAAGAGACAAATTTATTGAAATAAACAGCTACTGAACATCTATTACATACTGCAAATTATATGCCTTGGAAAAGCATAAATATGACACACTTTATTCACAAAGGAATAAGTTTGTAGTAGTAACAGCAGTTGCTGCTGTTATTTTGTCCTTGTTTTTAACATAATTCTAGTTAACATATTGAGTGCCTACTATTTTCTGGCCACCATCCCGAACACACATCATGAATCGTCTGACAAATGTGCTGTGCTAAATTCATAAATTCAATGCAAAGGAGGGGGAGTCCGAAGGTTGTCCTACAACCCAGATGTCTCTACTAGCTTATTAACTTACCTCTTCTCCAAGATGATTCTCTTCTCCTCTCAAACTTTTGACGGGACCACCCTGATCTTTACTCATAGACGCTCTCATTGATTCTAACTGCACCGAGAAGATACAAACCATCGGAAGGGATCTTAGTTATAACACACGCTCTGCCTGACCTCCTGCTATTGTCACTGAGTTGGCCATGCTCTTACAAAAGTTCAAACTCTCCACTTCTAAACTGGTTTCTGTGCTTTCGGCCACTCTCAAAGGCCATCTTTCTGAAAGTTTCCTCCATTTCTCATATATCGATTTTCTTTTTGTACTGAATTATTCCTTTGAACTTCATACTCAATATCACATGACAGCACCATTAACATCAAACACATTGGTATCACGTTTTTCTAGTTATACTCCATTTCCTTTACAAAAAAATCTAAAAATTCATACTCAACTTACCTTATCCACTTCCTCCCCCTTGATTTTACCCTGAATCATCTCTAAGCATATCTCCATTAAAAATGGTCACTAAGGTTACAAGTAACCTTTCATGTTGCTAAATACAGTAACCAAATCTCACTTATTTCAACCATAGACTGCACTTGTTGCAGTTGCTTTTACTTTCTTTAAACACTTTGTCTTAGATTTCTTCTAACCTCATAAAACCCTATCTTTCTAATTTTTCATGTGACGCCAGCTGCCTCAGATCTCAGTCTCAAGCTTTCTCTTAAGAAAACTCTCAAAAAACCTGTTTTTAAATGCTCTTCGTACTCTGATTATTAAATGTATGCTTTATGTTCAGAACTCTAATCTGAAGTACAATTGACTTTACATATAGCTTCAATATCTTTCTGTATTTATGTATTTATCTTGAGACAAGGCCTCTCTGCCAGTCAGGCTGGAGCACAGTGGTGCCATCACGGCTCACTGCAGCCTCAACTTCTCAGCCTCCCGTGATCCTCCCACCTCAGCCTCCCAAGTAGCTGGGACTACAGGCATGTGCCACCACATCCAACTGATATTTGTGTTTTTGGTAGATGGGGTTTTGCTATGTTGGCAGGCTGGTCTCAAACTCCTGAGCTCAAGCAATCCACCCTCCTTGGTCTCCACTAAAGTGCTGGGAGTACAGGTATGAGCTACTGCACCCGGCCTAGCTTAAATACCTAATAGATATTTCCAAATTATCTTAAGTGAATTCTTGACTTCTGCTACCGACAAGTTTTCCAAATATCAATATTCCATTTTTTTATTCACTTGGGCCCAAACCAATAAGTTATCCTTCACTCTACACCTGTTGCTAACACACGCCAAATCCATGAGCCAAATCCTTTGTGTCCACACCCTACACAAGCCATCCTTGTTTCTCATCTCTGAAACCTCAATTGTCTTCCTGTATCCATGTTTGCCCTTTGTTCTATTTTCCTACACTGTAGGCATAGTGATGCTTTAAAAACGTGTCTGTTATCATGTAACACCCGCATGGAAAACTCCAGGGACTTCCCACCCCACTCAGTCAGTCTCAAAGTGCCTTAAGTGTTGCTGTTGAATCACAGAACTTGGAAAAGTGAAGTTTCTGGCCATGGATGTTAACGAACCTGGTATCCTGTTAATACATCCTCAAGGAAAGTGGCAGTCATGTTCTTTGATGCTAAGTGTTAGAGTCTATTCCCTGTGAGTAGCTGTGTCATGCTGAACCTCCACCCATTCATACTCAGTTCTGTTCAATTCACCACCATTTATTGTGGCCTAGTATTTGATAGCTGCTGTCTGTACTCAAGAGGGTCAGAGATTCAACGATAATATTAGAGCTTCTAGTTACTTGGGGTTAATACTAAAATAAAAAACACGACTAAAGTGTGTGCTTTTATCTTCTTTGCCACTTGTGTATTGGCATTCTTTTACTCTATTGCTGCTAATCACAGAATTTGACTGTAAACATTTGATAGCTTTTGCAGGTTTCTTTCATTGTGTTGTTTAAACATGAACAAATGTTGTGAAGGAGATCTAGTTCAGAGTGAAAGGTTGCTGTGAACTCTAATATTTGGGGTTTTTCTTCCCTAAATAAAAAGACTAGATAAATTATTTAACTTCATAATAAACCATTTTTGATACTTCACTGAAAGATCTCTGCATAACAGTAAAACATCTTTCCCTTGCTCCCGAGGAGCAAGAATCCAGACAGGGTGAATCATCTTAACTGCCAGTAGTAAGTGTAGGTTGATAGCTGAGCAGATCATCTCCAGGGAAACAGGGCAAATGGAGGAAGTCCTTAGGAACCCTTATCCTCTGGGCAGTGACTCTCTAAGCATCACTTGTTGCTACTTTCCGAGCAGATGAGCAACATGCAAATACCTTTTTAAATGCCCCTATGACGTCCTTGTTTCTGAGGCTGTAGATGAGAGGATTAAGCATGGGCGTGACAATGGTATAGAAGGCTGACACTACTTTGTCCTGCTCGGGGGTGTGGAAGGACTGGGGCAGCACGTATGTGTAGAAGGCAGCCCCATAGAAGATGCTAACTACAGTCAAGTGGGAGGAACAAGTGGTGAAGGCCTTTTTGCGACCTTCAGCAGAGGGCATGCGGTGGATGGTTAACAAGATGAGGGAGTAGGAAGTGGAGATGATAGAGATGGGGATGAGCAACATGAGGACACAGCAGATGTACATCAGAGTTTCATACAAGGACGTGTCTGCACAGGCCAGTTTCAGAACTGCTGGGATCTCACAGAAAAAATGGTTGATACTTCGGGAGCCACAGTAAGGGACATTCATGGTGATGGGAGTGAGCAGAAAGCCATCGAGGGAGCCCCCAAACCAGGCACCAGCAGCCAGCAAAAGACACTTCTTGCGGTTCATCAGGACTGGGTATCTCAGAGGGTTACAGACAGCCACGTAGCGGTCATAGGCCATGAGGCCCAGGAGGAAGAACTCAGAACCAATCATGGTCAGGTAGAGGAAGATCTGGATGCCACAGGCCACAAAGGAAATGATCTTCTCTTTAGAAACCATGTCTGCCAGGAGTTTTGGGACAGTGGTACAGATGAAAAGGGTGTCCATGATGGACAGCTGACTGAGCAGAAAGTACATGGGGGTGTGGAGGCGAGAGTCCACCTGAATCAAGAATATCATGACCAAATTTGCAGTCACGGCCCCCAAGAAAACAGCAAGGATCACTGTAAATACAATCCCGGCAGCCTCACTGTTCACCAGAAGCCCCAGGAGGGTGAAGTCAGAGGATGATGTGTTCGTCATTGATATGGCCCACGAGCGTCCCAGGGCAACGGGAAGACACAAGGACCAGGAAGGAGGCAAGAGAACACGGTCAAGATGGGAAAGGTCTGCAGTAGAGGTGACACTTCTGAGGGTACCGTCAGGATGAAGCTTCCAGGCTAGAGGCTAGAGAAGAACAGGCAGACCAACATGCACATCATGAAGCAAAAACCATGGCTGCATTTCCCTGTCAGAGAACAGCTCCTTCTATATTGCGTCTATGGTTCATCATGCTGCTGGAGGTTATGGTAACTGCGTGATACAATTGCTGTATGCTACACCAAGAATGGGGTTTTAACCATATCTGTTCTGTCCATGCTGCATTTCTTGTATCCAGAAAGTTATCCAGCCCATAGTAGGGTTAAGTAAATACTAGTTGGAAAAAAGGGTGATTCATTGACCAAATGGATAAAGGGGAGTGAAGTAAATCACTGAAGAAATGAAGGGTTAGGATAACTATTAGGGAACGTTTTATTCACGAAGCCCCATGTTTCTGTTCTATTTCTTTTTAATTATTTGTATAAGTTTAAGGACGACAAGTGCAGTGTCATGACATGGATGTATCGCATAGTGGAGTCTTGTCTTTTAGGGTAACCGTAAGTCAAATAGCGTAGGTTGTGCTCATATTACTAATTTCTCACCCCTCGCTCCGCTTTCACCCCCTACTCTTCCAAGTCTTCGATGCCTATTATTCCACTGTTTATGTCTAAAGTTGGGACTCCTCACTGTTCTTTGTGCTGTTTTGCTAACCTTTTTGCAGATCTTTCTTCAGATAAATTAGAAGGTAAAAAAAACTATTTGCAAAAAGCTCCCAGAATTAAGTTTTTAAAAAGCAGTTTATGACACTAAGCTGACTCCCTGCATTGCTCTCCATTGCTACTGTAGGTTTGGGAAATGGGCAGGGAAATTAAAGGAAAATGTTGGTAGGTTGAAGCTATGTCAGCAGCAGACACACAGGAGCAGGGTTCACCAAGCTACACGTCTGCCAGCACTTAACAGAACTGAGGCCAGAGCCAAACTCAGGCTTAGAAAGCTACGGAGCAGATACATGGAAATGTGACAGCAACAGGCCACCGTTTAAGAAGGAATTTTATCTTTAACATACCAGGTGGAAGATAGATTTAACTGTTAGACAAGAGAAAGAACCATACATGTAGTAAGAATCGCCCCCCTCTCCCCGCCAGCACCTCCTCCCCGGCATGGTAGGCCTCAGTGGCTTGAGTCTCAAACATTTGTGTAAAAATGAAAGTCCGATCAACGGGGGAGCCCGGATGCTGCAGGGTTTCCCCCCATTCACATGTTGCTAGACACACCTTGGCTCCACTATCTAGTGTTGCCAGATTTAGCAAAGATACAGGATTCTCAGCTATGTTTGACTTTCAGATAATCAAAAAATGTTTTAGTGTAAGTTCATAATGTTCTTAACACCAAAAAAAAGGGTTCACTGTACATCTGAAATTCAAATTTAGCTGGTTGTCCTTTACCATGCTGAAGTCATATCTGGTTTCACAAAGGTACCAGAATTGTTATGACCTTGAAAAGTGACCAGTAGAATCAGTACAAATAGAGTCTAAACAAAAAAGTTATTTACTAACATCAAAATTAAATTGGCTTACTCCCAATTTCCCTCTGATTGATATATTCATATTACTGTGAAAGGGGCTAAGGACTGTGGCCTCCTCTGTCAGGCCTCCCAGAAATACTCCGTGGTCAAAACTCTACTTCAGTGAGTCTTAGCCTCCTGATCCACTCCTGATCGTTTCAATTCTATTCCATTTCCCAAGGATAGTGAACACAAATATTGCCTAAAAATATATTCTGCTAATTCAAAGTCCAAAAATATAAAAGAAACATTTTATATTAGACTCCAAAAACTTCCTAATAGAATTAACCCACACTAAGGAGAAGAGAGCACATCTCCTTGTCATATTAAACAAATTCAAACATTTTATCCAAAATGTATAAAACAGTAAAAACAGGCCAGGTGTGGTGGTTCATGCCTGTAACCCCAGCACTTAGGGAGGCCAGGGCGGAAGGATCACTTGAAGCCAGGAGTTTGAGATGAGCCTGGGTAACAGAGCTCGTCTTTATAAAAAACTAGCCAGGCGTGGTGGTGCACGTCAGTCGTCCCAGCTACTCAGGAGGTCGAGTTGGGAGAATTGCTTGAGGCTAGGAGTTTGAGGTTACAGAGAGCTATGATTGTGCCACTGCACTCCAGCCTGGGTGACAGAGCAAGACCCTGTTTCTAAAAAAGAAATGAATAAGTAAAACTTATTAACAATTAAAAACCTATAATATTTCTCATGTCCATAACTAGTAGGTGCCTGGCTTAATCCATCATGACACATTTTACCCTGGTTGTTCCACGAACTTTCCCACGATCTCCCTGCTGTCTCATGAATCCCTCCAAGTCTAGTCTCAGCACAACCATCAAAGTCACATCGGGACCCGTGCATCCCGCCACGCCACTTTCTGCTTGAAACCCTGCAGTTGTGCTTTACATCATACATTAAGGCCCATCACGTTCTGAACATTTTGTCTTCTGAAATGATCTCCCGCCGACTCCAGTCTGTCTGTCCCTGGGCTGCAGCGACGGTGGCTTCCTTGTCCTCTGTCCCCACTTTGCAAGAGCCCTGAGCCCAGGCCATTGCCTCTGCTGCTCCCCTTGCCTGGGGCTCCTCCTCCAACCGTGCAAGGCCATCCATCCCCTCATGTACTTCAGGGCTTTGCTCAAAAGCCACCTGCTCAGAGGTCCTATGACTATTTTTCTTCACTTTTCTTAACACCTTCTGACACTACCTTGTGTTTTGTGTCTCTTCAAGCTAGAAAGTAAGCTTCATGTGAATAAGGATTTGTGCCTATTTTGTTAACTGTGTACTCTCACCATCTAAAGATACGACTGGCACATTGTAAATCTTTGAATAAATCATTTTTAAACACATTCAGCTAGCAAAAATGCAAATTTTATGCTTTTTAAGGAATACCTCTAGAATTCCTTCAAAACACCTCCTGATTCTATATAATGTGCTGAAGAGAAATAATTTTTTTTAATGCTAGGCACTTGTGTTTATCTTCAATGCAAAATAGACAAAAAAATGGGATCCACCAATATTTGATCAAAAAAAACTTCATTCTAGGAAAAATAAATAACAAGTTTCTAAGATCAGACAGCAATACAACTTCTAAATCATTAAGGTTTATATACAGTACAAATTTGAGACAATTACGCTCTGGTTTAAAATACTTAGAGTAATTAAGATGTCAGCATAATTCACAAAAAGGAGGGACTCGCCACTTCTGTCTTCTGAATCTGTCCTTGCTCTGACAGCTCTTCAACTCAGGTACCAATTAATAGGTTGAAGATAACTTTAGCTTCAAGTGTTATTATACACCCAGAGATTGTACTGCAGATGTTAATCTAGTTAGAATTCACCTTATGTTAAACAGATAAAATTGTGTATGATTTATTGCAAAATGTCATCTGCCTTCTATGATCAGAATTGTCTTCAATAATGCCATAGGGCTTATTAATTTGCTACTTAAATTGAACGACACTGTAATAGACTTAGTGTTAAATATAACCACATGTGGGCAGAATCATCTTCCACCTCCAGCAAAGGTCCTCATGTGCTAATGTCTGGAACCGATGAATATGCTCTCTTAAGTGGCAAAAAAGACTTTGTGGGTATGATTAAGAACTCTGAGATGAGGAGATTCTTCTGAATTATGCTGTTGGACTCAATTGCAAATGCCAAGGCCTTACATGGGAGAGAGGAGGAAGGAGAGTCAGAGACGTGATATGAAAACAGGTCGGAGGGACTCAGTCGGTCTCCGGGTTTGACGATAGAGGGGACCCCAAGCCAAGGAATGTAGATGGTCTCTAGAAACTGGAGAGGGCTAAGAAATAGATTCTCTCCTAAAACCTCATAGAAAAGTAGGTAGCCTTCCCAACATCGTGATTTCAGTCCAGTGAGACCGGTTTCCAACTTCTGACCTCCAGGCTGTGATATTATGAACTTTGTGGTCATTTGGTACCACAGCCATAGGGAGCTTCTATGCTGATAAATGATTTTCTTACTTAGCTTTTAAACAAAACTGAGACATGTTGCAATAATGAATTGGCCAGCACTTGTGTAGTGCTTCTTGCTGGGTCTCAGGCACCGTGGACGTGTGCCAACGTTTCCACGTGCTCTTCACAGCACCTCGACGGGTCGATCACTAATTATCACCATCTCACAGCTGGTAAAACTGAGGCTCAGAGTCAGGTGGGAGGAGCTGGATCCAGGCTCAAGGACTCAACTTTTGTTTTTCATACTCTCTGCCACTACCCTTAACTTCTCCCCAAAGACAATATCCCTTTGAGCATCACTTCCGTTTACAACCAGCCAAAGAGAAGTTAAATGAATGCAGGGTAAAAGGCCATAAACACACCCAAGGAAAAGTTGAATTTCTGATCACAAGTTGTCAACAAAGCAATAAAGTGACAACATGAAGTTAATAATTTTCCAGAAACACAAAATTCTCCCTAACTCCTGGGCAATTCTCAGTCATTACACACCTGCCTGCAGGTGTCTGGCTTTATACTGAGGTACATAAAAAAAATCTCATCAAATGTACCCCAAGAAAGGTCTTACAAATGCCACTCACACATGTCACTGTTGTGCAATTGCAGAGGGCAATGACTCATCTCCCAGCAGACATCATAAAGCCCCATTCAATAGGCATGTTTCCTGCACAGCATCACCGCTGTCAACATGAAGCCCTGTACGTACTATTCCCTGTTGGGGATCTGAGATTTGAAGATCTCTGTAATGTGGCAGAGTTCACTTAAGGAGAAAATTCCAATGTTTCTAGCATAAAGAAAATACAAATATATATTTAAGGTAATGGATATCTCAATTACATTGATCTTTACAAATCATATGAATGTGTTATCACATGTACCCTAAGAAAAAGAAAAACAGAATGACCCTTGAAGAATCTTAAAATTACATGAAAAACAAATTCATTTCAAAAGAAAAATTACAGAAGTGTGAACTGAGTTTAAATCCTTGTGGAATCAATTGAAATGGTACTAGTGATCCTATCAATGATTTATGAAACAATGAGTTAAATTATGATAATTTTTTTCAACATAATTGTCCTCGTATCCTATATTTTCCTAGGTACTGAAGACCTCTAATGGGCAGATTTTTTTAAAAGATAATTTGAAGGGCCAACTGTGTAGTCAGACTTTATATTCTTATGGTGATGTTTACTTTTGTTGTAACACACTAGATCACTTTCTTAGAAGTTCCCTAAAGTTGGGGGTTTGGGGGAACTAAGTTACAGGAGAGTCTCCCTGCTGTGGATTGGGGACAGTTGAGGGACCATTTCTGAAATGATTATTCACGACTTGAGCCAGATCAGATTATCTAGACTTCGTTATTGAACTAAACATCTTTGGAAAATTAACGCTGTTTTTGGCCTCTTGCCAATCAAGCGGTCTTTTCAGGCCTCTCTTAGGTGGAGTCATGAAAACAACTCATCCCTCCCTCTTAATACGTGTCTATCACTGCACAGTTAGGGTCACATTCTTCTTACTCTTGCAAGGCGATGAAATGCAATGACATGCAGATCTACTCAGCTGGGCCTTGGATTGCCAGAGGCAGAGGGCTTGAACTTAATTTTATTCTTACCTAGAGCATGAGCCCACGAAGCTTCCTCAATAGGATAGCAATGTAGAAGGGCCACAGTGCAGAAATAGAGTTTCAGTCAATCTTATTCAACTTGAATATTGTATCAACATCGAGGATAAAGGGGGGAATCTCAAACTGCTGGTGGGAATTACAATGGGTTTTCTGTCTTGTTTTCTGGTTTGAGAGTGTGCACTGAGTCAATGCCAGGAGTTTAAAAAATACGTACAAGCTTCCGCTCCTAGGGAAGCGTAGTATGGAAATAATCAGATGAGTGGGCAATTTATTAAAAAAGTCCATTCCGGTGTTATTTGCAATAAGAAAGTGGAAGTAACCTAAGCGTCTGCTAACTGGACACGTACTAAATAATTTGGGTTTTAGTACATAATAGAATTCTAAGTGACCACTGGAATGTGAGGTGATCTATGTTCATCTTCATCCTATAGCAGGTTCATTGTATTCTTAAGTGAAAAGGTGGCATATTTTCAACCTATATAATCATCTCCTTACAACTGTATTCTCTATCTTTGAAATGAAATCCCTTAATACATACACAGCATGTATTATAATCTTGTTCTTAGAAATAATCAAAAAAGGTAAAGATTTTTACAGTCTTTCAAATTACACAAAGCCAATTATTTGCAAGCATCCCTGCCTTGGGCCAAAATTATATTATCCTTTCTCCCTTTGAAGTAGTTTCCCCAGTTTATACAGGGAGACAGAAAAGCAGTTCTCTTCATTAAACCTTCAGCTATTCAGAAGCTGAGGCCCAAAGATATGGTTTTAACTATGTTCAAACATGTTTTCTGATTTTAATTTTTCCAAGTTTATAGAATACTTCATTAACATCACTGGTCATATTTCAATTAAACACTTTGGAAATCCAGGGAAAGAACAATTTTGACAACATCAACTGACATATGTAATCCTAAACTTTGCATTTAAATTTTCAGTCATGAAAGAGTTTTCTGCTTCCACCCTTGAGAAATGCCCCTAATGGGACTTACCTCCTGTTTGCTTCAAAGAAGGACTATATGAAGAATCTAGCAAAAGCCAATGACTTTTTCACATAAGCTCCAATTTTAAAATAGTTAATAGAAATCACTTATCAGTGAAGCTGGAAATAATTTAAGTAGTTTTTTGGTGTTTTTTTTTTTTGCTTCTAGCATCACCCTTGACATGCAGTTCTATGTGAGCCTATAAAAGTCTAACTTTGTTAATCTTCAGTTTCCACGTCGTCTCTTCAAACCCGAGATGCCAAGGAAACTTTCTTTTAAAGATTTTTAGAAGGTACTAAGCCTTCTAAAGTGAAAGTTTTCATTCGTTTATTATACTAGTATTTATTAAGGGCAAATTCTATGTTAGGAAAAGTTTTAAGTGCTTGCGATGCCTAACAATTCTTTTAGGTATGTGATGATTTAACAAAACCAAATAAGCTTAAAGTGCTCATAAAAAATACAATGTGAAACAACCAGAGTTGAAGCTACAGGTATTTACCATTTTATATTCTTAGCTAGTTGTATAAACCAAAGGAATGTAGTCAAAGCAAACCAAGTATTTTCCTGGCCTTTATTACCTGGGATTTAGAAGGAAGCACACAGTGAAATGCTGCTAAGTGTGTGACATGGTCACGGGAGTCACCCAGGTTTAAGAAATCCATCCTCAGTACAATCCCAGCTGAAAAAGAAGCTTAAAAATGCATCTGGTTTTTATCATTTGTGTATGAATCAGCCTATTGTTTTAACTAAATAACCTATCGATGCCATAAAGTTGTCTATGAATACAATTGCTTTATGTATGGAACTTCTTTGTAGAGTCAGGACCTGACATTTCAGTCATTTTGTTTTCACAGAATTGTCAGAATTCTTAGCAGAACTTCATTTAATGTCAGTTGTCCAACTTGACAGGGATGTTCTGTCACTTTTTCAGATTTTTAATTTTTGTGGATACAGAGGTCTGCGTTTTTCCTTTATGCTAAATAATTATCTAATTATCTTCAGTTTCTCTGATCATTCCTTTTTGCCTGATATCTTCCTGAGCATTGAATAAAGCAGTTAATAAGGTATGTAATAAGTAGACTTTATGCTTTCTTCTATTACAATTTTATATTGCATATAGATGTTTATTGTATAAAACAAGTCTGTAGAAGCAAGGGTTCAGTTAATTTTATATCCATATCCCTTACCTGCAGAAAGACCCCACAGGGAATCTGATTACCCCTCAATGTGGGTCATCAGGTCCTTGGCTAGACCAGCCTAACTGGCATCCAGCAGCAAATGAACATGGCTTTTATCAGCATGTTGCTCTGAAGGGACCTTTGTCCCCAGGTCATTATTAGGGTTAACAAGCTGGCAGATACACATTGTGCCATGTGCTTCTCCCCTTTGTTTTGTTTTTGAGAGAGTCTTGCTCTGTTGCCAAGGCTGGAGTGCAGTGGCACAATCTTGACTCACTGTAACCTCCACTCTGAGTTCAAGCGATTCTCCTGCCTCAGCCTACCAAGTAGCTGGGATTACAGGCATGTGCCACCACGCCCAGTTAATTTTTTGTATTTTTAGTAGAGACAGGGTTTCGCCATGTTGGCCAGGCTGGTCTCGAACTCCTGGCCTCAAGTGATCCAACTGCCTCGGCCTCCCAAAGTGCTGAGATTACAGGCGTGAGCCACCATGCCCGGCCACTTCTCTCATTTGTAAATTGTTTATCAGTATCGTGGCTTGGCACAAAACACCAGACCAGAGGTTAGAAGACGTGGTTCTGAAGCCCCATCTGCCTCTTGCTGGAATGGGGCAATAATTTGCTGTGAACATCAGCTTCTTCATCTCCCATGAGGCTAATTCTTTCTCTAAATACTTTATAAGATTTTGTGAAGATCAGAATCAAAATCAGGTAATGTAGTTAAATGTTTTCAAAACTAGGGACAGTCTTCTATTTTTTCCTCATTACCTGGATTAGTGCATGCCATGTTTCAAGTATACAACTGATAATTTAGCAACTTAAATATTATGTATATTACTCAAAATTTATATATTATTTTAATAGAGAAGCAAATCTGGTGACCACAAATTACCTTATGTAAGAATTTGGCGAGATGACTGGGGAAAAATCCTTGGTCACTCCCTTTTATAGTGGGACTAGTTTTATGTGTGAAGGGAGTGGAGATTAAAATTTTTTTTTAAGTTGTATTAAAATAGAGCCTACAATAGAAAAGTGCACACACATCAACAGGGGAAAGATTGATAAATCACCAAGAAAAGAACATGTTGATGTAACCACCATGAAATTTGTTGAATAGACTCAAACATTGAATAAGTCACCTCCTTCCATGCCCCAATCACTAATGTCCATGATATCCCTAGAAACTTGTCAAAATGCATTTCACTTATTGCTTCAGGTATACTCTTGAAATGTCTGTCAATGTTAGAGTTAAATATTCTAGTTAAATATGCAAAGAATTAATCTTGGAAACATAAGAATAAAAGTCCTAATTTTTAATACATAGCAACTGAGGAAATGGGAAAGAAAACACAGATATCCCAGGATAGAGCACAAATACAACGTGAACTGAAGGAGTTTTGTAGAGGGAAGATCGAGAAGGTGCTAGCTAAGGCAGGAGAATGGAGAATATGGAGGGCATTAGTGCAGACACACAAAGGAATAAAATGTGAATGGAGCTGAATTGAAATAACACCGAGGATATTTCATAAATGAATCCTGGTCTGTTTCTTCACTTAATCCCTCCAGGACATTCTTCCATCTCTTTTCCATGTGTTTGATTTCAGGGTAAAGATCAAATTATTAGGAACCTTCTGAATGAAAAGCCACCTAGGGGTTAGCATATTGAAGGGAATATTCTTTATCTACATCAGCAACAATGGAGGAAACATTTTTCCTTCTATCTGTGTTGACACTAGAACAACATAAGGCTGAGTAACGTTTGCTTAGTCTTTGTCAACTATGTAACCGCTCTGTCCAATGTTTTCTAAGCCTCGTATCAACAAAATAAACACCAGGTCCCGTCAATATTTTTTATGTCTCATATTTCAGGACCTTACACACAGGAGAAACTAAAGTTACATGAATCGTGGGGTCAGTGTAGTCTTTGCTTAGTTAGTATTCCACCAAAGTTACACATCTATCAAAGCACCACACCTAACTCCAACTAATTACAAAAATACTTGTCTTCAGCATATCAATGAAGATGTTGAGAATAAGAAAATTGAGCAACTTATTCCACGGGAACTAAGTTAGCTAATAAAATGTCTTGGTTTATTCATT
Organism: Homo sapiens; assembly: GCF_000001405.40. Taxonomy (NCBI): domain Eukaryota; kingdom Metazoa; phylum Chordata; class Mammalia; order Primates; family Hominidae; genus Homo; species Homo sapiens. The sequence goes on from NW_025791755.1 coordinate 279,001, forward strand.
CTACATTTATATATTAACAATTTGAGCATAAATGGCAGTTTTGTAGGTTTTTGGCCATGTAACAATCTTAATGGCAGAGTCAATTTTCAATCAATGAATCAATATTTCCAGGAATATATTGGACTCCATGTGAATAAAGGCAGGGCAAGTATTTAATTTCAGAGGTAAGTGATAACATTCATAAAATGTAACTAAGAATATGGAACCAAAAATAGTATCACCTTCCTAAATATTTTCTAAATAAAATTGCTACACATTTGTCACTAGAAAATATTTTACTTGTATTGAATGTTTGAAATTAAGTCATCAAGGAGGTGGCAAATGCTCCAATTTCCATTCAAAAGTTGGTCAGCAATACAGTCAGGACCCATGATCACACGTCAGCAATACAGACAGGCAGGACTCATGATCACACATTAGCAATACAGACAGGCAGGACTCATGATCACACGTCAGCAATACAGACAGGAAGGACTCATGATCACATGTTAACATGGGCACTTCCAAGAGCTGCTTGGCGTGCCATGGTTTGTAGGGCTACTTGACTGAGAATGCCCTCTGGAAACGTTTGTGAATCCAGTTGAACAAAGTTGACTAATGCAGAGATCCTCACCAACCTCGCTACTGTTCCTAAGTAATCCTTGCAACAGGATGATTTTGCCTGTTAATTCTGAATTGCTAAAAGTGACACTGAACATTCTTCAGAACCAATACCATATTTTCTGTAATAGCTGCGTTATTGGCCGCAGCACCGCAGATGTTTGCGCTAGTCCTTGCTAGTCCTTCCTGATCACAGTCGCCACCCTGATGCTCTAGGAGTCCCCACTAGTCCTTCCTGATCATAGTCACCACGCTGATACTCTGGGAGTCCCTGCTAGTCCTTCCTGATCACACAGTCATCACCCTGATGCTCTGGGAGGAGCCACATCTCCCTAGTACTTTCCTCAGAGCTGCAGCCACATCTTTATTCCTCAAGCTGTAGATGAGTGGGTTGAGCATGGGGGTGAGGATGGTGTAGAAGGCAGACACCACTTTATCTTTCTCTGGAGTGTGGTAGGAGTGGGGCTGCACGTTGGTGTAGAAGGCTGCCCCGTAGAAAACGCTCACCACCATAATGTGGGAGGAACACGTAGCAAAGGCTTTGCGCCGGCCCTCAGCAGAGTTCATCCTGTGGACAGTCAGGAGGATGTGCGTGTAGGACACAGAGATGACAGATAGAGGGATAAGCAGCATCAGCAGGCATACATCAGGGTCTCATAGAGTGACGTGTCTGTGCAAGACAACTTCAGCACGGCTGGGATCTCACAGAAAAAGTGATTGATCTCTCGGGATCTACAGAAGGGGAAACTCATAGTGACAGGAGTCAGCATGAACCCATCCAAGGAACCACCAACCCAGGAGCCGACCACCATGAATAAGCAAACCCTGCGGTTCATGAGGAGAGGGTACCGTAGAGGGTTGCACACAGCCACATAGCGGTCATAGGCCATGAGACCCAGCAGGAAGAATTCCCCTCCAATCAGGGTCAGGTAGAGGAAGATCTGAACTGCACAGCCCAGGAAGGAAATGGTCTTGTCCTTGGACAGGAGGTCCTGGAGCATCTTGGGGACAGTGATACAGATGTAGATGGTATCCATGATGGAGAGCTGGCTGAGCAAGAAGTACATGGGTGTGTGGAGGCGGGAGTCCATGTGGATGAGCAGAATCATGACCAAGTTGGCTGTTATAGCCACCACAAAGATGGAGAAGACTATTGCAAAGAGAAGCCCGGGGAAGGCAGGATGGGTGATGAGGCCTGTGAGGACGAAGTTAGTGGAGTTCTGGAGAAGACCCTCCATGCCCATGGTCCATGACAAGCTCCTTGGGCTGTAAAGGCAGAAATCTGGCAGCTTATTTAACGACCTGATATGTAGGAAGAGCCCACCAGGAATAGTATGTCAGAAGCAGCGTGAGATCAAGAAAAGATCACCTACTTCAGGATCATTTGAAATCCTGGGTTTCAGTATTAATGATCTGTATGATATTGGACAGAAAATTAATCTCTCAATTCAATTTCATCATCTGTGAAAGGTCATCATAGTTCTGTACTCTACAGGCTGGATGTGAGATGTAAATGTAATTCATACAGTACCTGGTTTAGAATCTGATTTTTACTTTGAACTATCTTCTGAATACATTTCATAATCTTATCACTTTTAGATTGAAAGTTTTCTGAGGGTTGTTACTGTGCCTTATTTCCCATTTCGCCTTGCGAAATGATTTGAATTTAAATTGCTCTCTGCATCTCCATTGAGATGATTGTACTAGAGTCATCCACAGACATCTATTTGTGACTTAAATTGATAGAAAACATCTAGATAACTGACTTTTTGGCTGCTGTTGTTACTGAACAGCTTTATGAAAGTCAGGAACATCAAAGCAGTACAGATGACCTCATTTGGGGTCAGGAGCCACACTGTCTTGTGGTTAGACTTTTGTCCTGCAAAAGGAGTTCATCTTTTAGGCATGGACTGCTGTGAGAACTTGTGTCTATTTGTTCTCACAGAATAATTTGGGGATCATAAATCTGGCAGGACAACCACCACAAACTGCTTCAGAACAGGGCTTTAGTTTCGTTATCCTGGTGGTCTTTCCGGTTGACAATGAATTCTGCTAAAATTTAGATGCTGCATCATAGAATTCAATCATGACCTCATCTTAAAATATTGTTTAGCCAAAATGTTAGAGTTTCTCTGACAGAGTGGAATCCTGAACCTGTCCTAATATTATATCATCCTAGTAATCCACTGCTACTTGGGTTTTTTCCTCAAGTTTATTTCTCTACCATTTTACTGATCCTTCATGTTTATAAGTAAAAATAACTACAGTTGGGTGCAGTGGCTCCCACCCGTGATCCTAGCACTTTGGGTGGCCGAGGCAGGCAGATCACTTGAGGTCAGGACTTCGAGACCAGCCTGGCCAACATGGTGAAACCTCATCTCTACTAAAAATACAAAGATTAATCGGGCATGGTGGCAGGTGCCTGTACAATCCCAGCTACTCAGGAGGCTGAGGAAGGAGAATCGCTTGAACTTGAGAGGCGGAGGTTGCAGTGAGCTGAGATCGTGCCATTGCACTCCAGCCTGGGGGACAAGAGTAAGACTTTGTCTCAAAAAACAAAACAAGAAAACAAAAACTATAGATGGTAAAGAAATTTCTGAACTCAGACGCGACACAGCAGTATCAAACATTCCTTGAATCAATGGAATGAATTCTCATGCTTTTTTGAGTAATATGAATGCGTGTCCCTTTTATATGTTCAGGGATACTGAGGGATGAATTTTTCTTTATTAGATTATGGTGTATTTCTTCTCATTTTAGTGACAGGATTACTGAAGAAACTTGTTTTCTGTCAAACGTTTTGGCCACCAATACTACAAATGTATCTGAATCTTTTGGTTCTAGAATAGTCAAAATTTACAGTCCCTGAAGCATCAAGGAATAAACTCTCCTTATGTTGAAGCAAAAACAATAGCAACAGTAGAGTTTTCCTTCTTAGTGCTCAGAGATGGAGATATGAGTAATAGGCCTAAAAGATGAACATCCAAAGGGAGAAAGAAAAAAAAGCAATTTTTGTGTTGGTCTGTGCTGAAACTTCAGTTTGTCACACCTTGGTTGAGGAGAAAGAAATACATGAGCATCAAATATTAACTCCTGTCAAGCGTGATAAAAGTCAGCTACTTTTGCCTTCTCTAACAGGTGAAAGATTTTCTTGTGATAGCCACAGCTTCGAATCATGGGTCAAGAGACTATTTAAATATACAATTCCATTTGCAATGGCTTTTGCAATAGCTTGTTGGAAATTAAAAATATTAATCTCGCAGACAGTAAGTTTGTCTTGACCCACATCTATTGTTTCAGTTAAATGCATTATGGATATTATACATTAATTACTATAGTGTTAGGTTAGCTGACAATCATCCTTTTAAAAATATACTTTGAGGAACTGAAATAGGCAAGAATGAGACAAACGAAAATGACCTAAGAAAATAACCAATTACTTTTGAATCAGAACATGAACCAGAGCATTTTGTTTCATGTAAATAATCAGACTCCACAAGGTATTCAAAGAGGAGGTAAAACACTATTGCCTCAAATGTCTATGATAAAAGGATAAGAACGTTTTCAACTCCTAGATCTTATCTTACTGTAGGATCCCAGAAGAGGAGAGTAAAAAAGCTGAAACAGGAGAAAGATATGATTTTAGCCACCTCATTTTTATACAACCGAGACCGTGTTAAAAAAAAAAAAGAGGTTCCTTGTGAGTGTGAGCATTGTGTGTACATGTGTGTGTAGTGTTCATATGTGAGTGTGTGAGCATGGTATGTGTGGTGTGTGCATCTGTGAGTGGGTGGGGATATGTGTAGGGAAAAGGCCCTGCTAAAGAGGCCTTTACTACACTGCTTGGCACAAACGAGCAATTCACCCATTTCAATGAAGCCAATATTTAGAACCAAATGTGACATGTTCAAATGCATGCCTAATGTTAATTCCATAGGCTACTGGGCATTGCAAGTAGACAGGGAAAATATCTGCATTATGGACAAAACATGTCATCAGTTACTTCTGTTTACATCAGTTCCGAGCATCTACATTTTAACATTAGAGTTGATGCTATTTAGCATTACGACGTGTGGTTTGACTTATTCACACATACAAGATCCTAGATTCCATTCCCCATCAGGTCATCTTTCCCTCACTATCATCATTCTCCACTCTAAGACACTTAGGTTCCCCTTCATCAACTAGTCTTTCCAAAAAAAAAAAAAAAGAAAAAGAAAAAGAAAAAGAAAAAGAAAAAGCTTTTATTTGCGTGATCAAAGCTTCAGGCTCTTCAAGGCGGCGAATGATTTCTCCCCAGTGCAGATTAGAACATAACCCAGAACCCCTGACCCCCAGGACCAGTTATAACATCACCCAGTGTTGCAACATAATCATCTGGCAGGAATGGGAGGGTGGGAAGATCAAGCCGAGAGGTGGAGGACACCAAGCACAGGAGCTCCACATCTGTTATCTGCACACTTGGGGCTGATGGATGAGGGATGAGTGAGCTCGCCAAGAGGCATTTATTCTACCTGTGGTCTGCCACATGGAGAAGAGGGAAAGGAGAATCTCTGCAGGGTGCCAGGTGATCAAAGCTGTATGTTTCAGGACAACAGCCCTGGAGTTGTTCTGGGAGAAGCCATAGAAATCAAGAACAATTGGTGACTCACCGAAAATTGAAGCGATCTCCAAGAGAAGTCACAGGTTCTTCTACCAGGGAGAAGAGCTTAGAGCAATTCATTCTGACACCCCTTTCCGGGAATTCAGCATGACTAGAGCTATGAGAAGTATCTGCCAGTGTCCTTTCTGTGGCAATAAAGCTGCTAACCAGAACTGATCTTCTCCACTTGACACAACGTACCTGTAAAGCTTGAAAGGGAAGGGTTTTCCATTCCATCCTTAGAGACAGAATGCCTGAAGCACAAACACATTCCGTGTTCAAAACACTCACCTAGCACTGGGTGAGCTATGAAGATTGATAGAACTGACAATATTCTTAAGGGGCACATAGTTAAGTTTGATTAATGTATCATATCAAAAATCCTCATAGAAGCAGATCATTTTAAGTCTAAAGTGGGGATTTCTAAAAATGAAAATATATTGGGGACTTTTTAAAGGTGTTTAGCCACAAATAACAGCTAATGCCATTGTGCTTTGCTCAGCTGTCAAATTGCTCTGGGGATGACACGCATAGTTACTTCTCCAGACCTCAGTGTTCTTTCAGTAAAAGAATGGCATGTCACCAACATGTTACTAATCCTAAGTGCCACATAGCTCTAAGAGTCATCGATTATTTGTTCCTGAATGAGAAAAAGGGGGCCAAGGATAGTATATTGGGATCTTTCTGCTTTGATTAAAGCTTATGAGAGAAGATAATGGTGTGGAAGGCACTAAGAGACAGAGGAAGAGAAACAGGAAGTTTGGTATTCCCCAAACCATAAACCAATAGGGCTTTACGTGTGCCAGGTACTTTAGAAGTTTTACATACATGAAGTCATAGCAAACCAGAAGATGCTATGCATCAGTTTGAGTAGTGGACAAAGGTACAGTTTCCCCTTATCAGTGGGAGACAGTTTTCAAGACCCCCACTGGATATCTGGAACTGCAGACAGTACTGAGCCCTATATATACACCATATTTTATCCCATGCATACATACCTATGATCAAGTTGAATTTATAAGTTAGGCACAGTAAGAGATTAACAATAATAAAATAGAATACCTAAGACAATATACTGTGGCTATAACTTTTTCAGTTTGATGTGACAGCAAAACTTGCATAATTTTTTCCTTCATGATTTCAAAGATAAAGTTTTTCTTAATATAGATCTTGGCAAAGTCAGCTTTTGAGGGTTTCTCTCTCCTTAAGTCAAGAACTTTCACCTTTTTAGTTAAAGCAAGCACCTTACAGCCTCTCTTTGGCACATCTAAATCGCCAGCTTCACTAACTCCATCTCTTTGGAGCCATTAAGAAAAACTGAGTTACTTGAACACAAGCACTGAGTCCGCCACAGTCGATTTGATAACCTAGACAGCTACTGAATGACTCAGGGGGTAGCATAGACAGTGTGAATCAACTACACAGAGGGATGATATTTCCACCACACTACTCAAAATGGTGGGCAATTTAAAATTTGAGATTTTATTTAATATTTTTTACACATGGTAGATAGCAACCTGGCGGATTGCAGGTTAACTAAAACTATGGAAATGAAAGTGTTAAAGAGAGGAATACCATGTCAGAATTCTTTACCCTCAAAGGTTCAACCCTAGGGCTAGAGACTGAAAGGATCTTAAAGCATGAAACTTTTAAAGAGCATCTAAGTGATCACTGCTTTGAAAATAGTGGATCACAAGAACCAGGAGAAGACAGGAGTCAGTTCAGTTAAACAGTGCAATAGTAGAGAGGGAAACCGGTCTGATTCCGAAACTCGAGACTGAAGGAGAGAGGACATGATCAGAGACAATGTGAATAATGTCAAAAGGCTCGAAAATGGGAATTAGCAGGCACTAGGGGTGGAAGAAAGAGGGGAGAGTCCAGTCTAACTACAGCTGAAGAGCCCGTGGAGAGCTGAGGTGTGTGGGGTGGAGTGCGGCTGGAAAGTGAAGGCAGAGAGACCAGAACTCAGCGTCGAGAAATAAGGTGCAAATGGGAGTTGTTTCAGTCAGAAAGTTACATGCTGAAATAAGGTACTTATGAAAGATCCACCTGGCAGTTTTAGTCTTGAAAGCAAGATTAATATTAATTGCTACTCATAAGTGTTCATAGCCACAGTGGGCTTTGGCCAGGAACTCCTTTTCTTCTTCTACCTACACAAACTACTCCTGTACTCCGTCTGCTTTTATGAATGAATGCATTTGGACCTTGCTTCCTACATTAATCAGATTTTATCCCCTTCTCTCCACAGCAACGTAGTATCCAATGATGTGAATTTCTCTTTTCCCTTACCTTATCTCCAGTTCTAATTACATACTGCCTTAGTTACCACCCCCCTTTATCTGCCTATTTATTTAAATGGTAACTTTTCATTCATGGAAAAGTAGTCTACTTTCCCTCCCATCCCAACTGACAATTTGGAAATTTTCAGTGTGGAAAGTTAGGCATAAGATAGAAGAGGTTTGCTTGGCTTAAAAAAAAAAACACAAAATCAGCACTATAATGGCATGTAGGTGAACATTTACTGAACACTTACTATGCCAGAAATTAGTTCAGTTTGAAGAATACAGGTTTTAATGCTACATGCCAACTTACCTAAACTACTTTGTCAAGGATATCACCAATGGACTAGAAAGAAAGAAGTACATCTGGTTTCCTGGAGCATTGAGAGTAAAAGGTCTAAATTCCAAGCTGCCAGCAGGAGGGCTGTGATGTGGATGTGCAGGGGAATGCTTCTGGGCAGCAGTGTCAGTTCGTGTGGTGGCAAATAGAAATCAAAGGATCTGGCATATGGCCCATCCAGTCCACCCTGCTAACGCTGTGGAAGAAGAAATGGAGAGTAAGGGAATGGAGGATTACACAGGAGCAGCAGTGGAGAGGTGAGGTGAGGTGAGGCGAGGCGAGCTGAGGTTGGCCCATCTAGTCCACCCTGCTAACGCCGTGGAAGAGGAAATGGAGAGTGAGGGCATGGAGGATCACACAGGAGCAGCAGTGGTGAGGTGAGGTGAGCTGAAGCAAGGGGCAGACACCTGCAGCTATAAACACAATGCACTCATTATTATACCCCTACAGTCTGAGCTTCCAACATGTCCACATCTCCCCCTGGGCTCCAATTACTCAGCTCAACAGGCTTTTATATGCCATGCTAAGATGGCTTCTACGAGACCTCTAATAGTTTTATTAAAAAAAAAAAAAAAGATTTTATCTTAAGGCACACGTGGATGCCTTATGGGTTAAATAAAAGAGGAAGGAGGTTAAAATGAAATAAAGAATAAAATCATAATTTCCCTCCAAGCATGAAGTCTTCAGCCACACCTAAATGCATATGAACGGAACAATCATTTAACTTAAAATGTAAATTAAAATTTTAACAAGATATTCAGAGGGCAATCTATGCTTATCCAATAGTATGCACCCCTGCTACCAAGTCTGAAACTTTCTCATTGTGAATACCAAGCACATTCTTCCAACTTGTCAGCTCTTAACATGCCATTTTCCTTCAGTAAATCTATTCATATTCTTCTGAACTATTAGATTTCCCTTAGCTTCCCACGTTTCATGCTAAATGCCCTTTTCCAGTTGTCTGCTTGCCAGATAGTGAATATATGTTATTTATGCTTAATCTTGAGAAGACCACTGCCTCAGTTATTAGCAGATAAGCTCACAGTAGTAACGTGGCCTTCTAATAGTTACAGAGTAATACCTGAAGAAAACATCCCAGTATCTGGGTGATGTTCTGTTTTTCATGAAGATCTAAGGATCCTACCTCAGAGAAGCTGGGTCCAAGTCTTTCTAAAGCAGTAGTGGAATGTCAGACTTCTTATTAAATACATTGTGTAGGGGTGAGGCTAGGTCAAAAAGTCTTTTCACTAATAGAGTCCCACATCCCCCAGGAAGAATTCCTGGGTTAGCAATTAATCCAAGTTGACTGAGTTTACCATGAACTTTAGAAGCAGCCTGTCCTTTCTTGCAGAGGGTGCATTGTTTTCCCAAGTGAAGGACTGGAATCGTTTCTTGGTATTTCATCATGAAAATGTCTTACTGAATCTTGGCATCTCTCCAGAGAGATTTTAAGGGCAGTGATGTGGGGATAAGAGCCTCGCTCTAAATTGAAAATTAGATTTTAAATTTCTTTAGAAATAGAGGCTATGACAAACTAAAAAAGCTCTTTCTCAAAAGTCACTGGCCTCTTTTGTTTGGGGAGAAATCTTTAAAGTTATAAGTGTGAACCAAAAAGCATTGGAGCCAAGTCTCAATCAATGTAGATGTTTCTGGTGCCAAGGTTGAGGATGCACCTGGGAAAAAGGAACACAAGATGACAGGAGCATCTGAGATTTGTGCTTCTTCCCAAGACGGTTGGGAGACTTCAATATTTAAAAGGGAAACAGTGGGCATTAGAGGAAAAAAAAGAAAAAGGAAGTGTGAATAAATGAAGTAGTTTCCTCCTTTCCAGGCTTTAATCAGTGTTGACTGAATTCGCACTTTAGATGTGACAGGAGAGGGTTTAGAGGAACACTCAACTGGGCGTTCATCTCCTGCTCAGTGAATCTGGATTGTATATAAGATAAGGTGCACAGTAGAGGAAGCAGTCAAATATGCATTTGTTTCAGGGGAGTGGAGGGATGACTCCCAGGCCTGTCTGTCTACTGCCTGTCAAGATAAGCCATTCATTTACATTGTCAGCATGACATTCAACAGAATGGTTTTCAGGTAAAGATCTTTGGGCCAGCCAGGAATTTCCTTGCTAGCAGATTGTGAGGGAGGTCCCTTGGGGAGGTATGTAGCCTTCTACCTGTGTAGCTGTCCATTCAGGGACAGTATGGAATCTGTAGCCACACAGTCGGGAACAGATATGGAATATAGTTTTGCATGACAGAGTTCCCAAGCTTGACTTTTCCCTTTGGCTTAGTGAGTTTGGGTCCCAAGAGATTTTCCTTCTACTTTCTCCTATCTTCTATTTTCACAAAAGTGGCATTTGTCACTTAGGTTAAGTGTTTTTCAGAATTATTTGTCTTACGTGTACTACAGAATATTGAATTCAGTACGAATAAAGGAGACATAAGAAAAATGATGGAAATAATGCAATTGGTAGAAGAAAAAAGTGAGGGTAATACAAGTTATGCATTTTCTAAAGTTTTCACCAGAGCACATTAAGATATTTAAACATTAGGAAAATTGAACTTCCTAACATTTATTTTTCTAATGGGGAAAAGAAGGTGGTCTTATTACTAAATTTTTGCTTCCCAATCATCATTGAATGCTTTTCATGCATTAAGTCAGCTAATGGGCACATTACTTGTGATTTCTAGTCATCACAAATCCATTGGACACATACCTTATACCCTCTGTTACAGGTAATCAGAAAACCCTATACCTTTTTCAGCCTTTAGAATGTGATTCAATAATTCCTGAAGAATATTTTATATGTCATCCATAAATAAAGTTCTCCAACTATTGGATTGATTGGATACACTCTTCCCTCTGGTGTGATGTGTCTTTCTCCAGAGCCACAAATGGGTTACAACCAATATTGATCCTCTCAACCCTGGATTGGTCTTCAGTGCCCGATTTGGCTACAGCCACAGGGGAGTTGATTTTGCTGTCAACAGCCACATCAGTTTTCCTCAAGGTGCCATATCACTAATTTTTATAGTTATGTCATGAAAGCGTTTGAGAAGTGCTGCTATATCAGTTGGGAAAATTGTTAATACAAGGCCAACCTAAGGAAAAAATAACAGACCTGTGAACAGTGTATTGATTGGTATTAGTTTCTAACTCATGTTCATGTGTTCACAATACTTTGTCTAGTGTTGAACTTAGTTATCTTATATAATTTAGACTTTTTACAAGAGGTATTTTGTGGTGTCTCAATCTTCCATGTTTCTTATTCACCTTTTTTCTCTTTTCCTTCCCTTTAACTCTCTTCAGGAAGTAATCCTTTTATATCATCAGTAGGTATAGACTTGGTTGCTACAAGCCAAGACTGACTCCCACAGTTTGGAGTTTAGATTCTGTTTTAATTTCAGATAATTCTGCCTGCCCACTCTCACTCCATTCCAAAGTGCCACTTGACATTTTTGGGTGAATCTGTATTTGGCAAAACCTTGCTAGCTCCTATAAGACTTAATTTTTAAGTGTTCTATATTTCTAAAGATATTGGCCCTCTGCTCATGTCTCTGAAAAACAGACTATTAATCCATTTTCACACTGCTATAAAACACCCCAAACTGGGTAATTTATAAAGAGGTTAAGTGGGCTCAGTTCCACATGGCTGGGGAGGCCTCACAGCCAATGGTGGAAGGTGAAGGAGAAGCAAAGGCATGTCTTACATGGCAGCAGGCAAGACTCATGTGCAGGGGAACCACCCTTTGTAAAACCATCAGATCTCGTGAGACTTATTCATCATGAGAACAGCATGGGAAAAACCCACCCCCAGGATTCAATTAACTCCCACCAGGCCCCTCCCACTACACATGGGGATTATAGGAGCTACAATTCAAGATGATATTTGGGTGGGGAAACAGCCAAACCATTATCAGAGACACATTCTAATAAGTTCTTAACTGGAGGTTCTGGCAAGAAAAATATGCTGAGATTGCCAAGATCTACAGTAAGAATGAATCTTCTTTGAAATTGTGTAGGAGGAAAAACACATTTGTGGTAATTTTGCTGTCACACCTCAAACTGCAAAACCTACAGCCACAGTGTGTGATAAGTGCTTAGGTAAGAAAGAAAATGTATTACATTTATGGTAGAAGATGAGCAAATATGTTGTGACTGACAGCAGTCAGGTTCTATAGTTCTATACTATGGTTTCAGGCTTCCCCCAAAAAAGACTTAGAACACAGCCTGAGGATAAGATGGTGACTGCTATATTTGAAATATGATAAATATTTGAGTTGATTCTTTATAATGGTCAATGGACAGACTGTCTAAAGGGGAAAAGTCGAGAGAAGTCAGGGAAGTAGTTGAAGATGACCGTTTTTGTCATGACTGAGCAGAGCCAGAAACAGGCTACTCCATGATTTTTAGTGGAATACACACCTTGTTAAGAGCTCATGGGTGACTACTAAACCTCAGCTTTATGCCTACCCCAGCCCAAACTGTTCATTGTTCAGAGCCTTCATACCTTTCAAAAAAATGAAATCCTTAAAATCCCAGGCAGCTTTCCAAATCCCATAAATGCCCCACAGTTGGTGGCATGTAGGTCACTTGTTTCCAGGCAGAGAATATTTAAATTCAAGGGCAATGATAAAGTCTTGTATCCTTCATTTCAAGTCTCTAGCAGCATATGAAATTTCTTTAGAAAGTGGTTACCTTTCCTGAGGACACACACCTCCCCACAACCTTCTGTAGGGCCCCTGTGACATCCTTGTTCCTAAGGCTGTAAATGAGTGGATTGAGCATGGGAGTAAGGATGGTGTAGAAGGCAGATACAGCTTTGTCCTGCTCAGGGGTGTGGTAAGAATGAGGCAGCACGTATGTGTACATGGCAGCCCCATAGAAGAGGCTGACAACCACCATGTGTGAGGAGCAGGTGGCCACAGCCTTTCCCCTCCCCTCTGCCTCGCTCATCCTATAAACAGTAATGAGAATTCTTGTGTAAGAGCCCGAGATCACAGAGAAAGGGATGAGGAGCATCATAATACAGCAGACATACATGGCTGTCTCGTAGGCTGATGTGTCCGTGCAGGAGAGCTTCAGAAGGGCAGGCACCTCGCAGAAGAAGTGGTTGATCTCCCGAGAGGCACAGAAGGGGAACTGCATGGTGACGGGGGTGAGCAAGAAACCATCGATAGACCCTCCCAGCCAGGCTGCCGCCACAATCAACCAGCAGATCTTGCGGCTCATGAGGTCAGGATAGTGCAGAGGGTTGCAGATGGCTACGTAGCGATCACAGGACATGAGTCCTAGGAGGAAGAACTCAGCCCCTGCTAAGGTCAAGTAGAGGAAGTGTTGGGCAGTGCATCCTGCAAAGGAAATGGCTCTCTGGCTCATCACCTGGTCGACCAGCATTTTGGGCACAATGGTGGAAATATACAGGATGTCCCTGAGGGAGAGCTGGCTGAGCAGGAAGTACATGGGGGTGTGGAGGCGGGAGTCTATGTGGATGAGAATGATCTTGACCACGTTGCTGGCTATGGAGGTCACAAAGACCAGGAGAATGAGGGCAAAGAGAAGCCAGGGGAAACGGGCGTTGCTGAACAAACCCAGAAGGATAAAGTCGGCATACACGGAATAATTGCTCTGCTCCATAGCTCTGTAGGGTACACAAAAGAGATATGACAAAGTTGGAAAGGTATCTGATTTACATAAAACATTATGATGTAGTCATGAAACCAAGGTCAAAATCTTATTTCTTGAAGCTCATAATTTCCCTGAGAGAACTGCCTGAGCAGGATTGTGCTACATCTCATTATACCATCATTGTTCATTTAAGGATTTTCTTGATTTGGTGATTACTTATTTAGAGTTCATGATCAATCTTTTTGTTCATGACCATTTATTTCTGTCTTTCGAGTACCACCTTACATTGGTGAAGATGCACATAAGACATAAGAATGGAACCAGCCTGATTCAATAGGATAGGGTGGTGGGGAGGAAAGGAGGATTGTCCACATCCTACACTGCTCTCCTTATACTAGACTCTAGTTCTCACACTTAGAATCCAGTTTGAAGATCACCACGAGTATATATTTGCCTATGGAAGAATAACTGCATTATTTGACCTAATTTACACCATTCTTGACACACTTGTACATTGTAAAATTTGAGTGCTCAACTTACATGTATCAGGTGGAGTATTGCAGAATGAGCCTGTGTTGAATAAAAAGAGCTGAGTTCTGAGAAGTCATCCAAGAATTCATAGGAGGAAAAATCATGGGAGAAAACGTTGAGGGTCAAGTGGTGTTTGCTTTCCTTCTTGCAGCAGCAAACTACCGATTATTAACATACAACTCGTTAAAATGTTAGAATCCCATTTAACTTATGAAAAAAAACTAGTTTAAGTATTAGAGCTAGTGTATCCCAAAAGAAGGGATCTCTCAAACTTGAAGTTAGATTCTGCATATGTATCCATATCAGTTAAATATTTTACCACAATTTAGGACCACTTATGAGTTATTTGGATAGCTTCTCCCTGCATCATATAGATCTGCACTATCCAGGGTGGTAGCCATGAGGCTTATGAAGCTGTGGAGCCCCTGAAACACGACTGCTCCAAATCAAGATGTGCCATCAGCACAAAGTTAACAATTCAAACACCTGTTAAAAATATATGCAACACATCTCCTTAAAACTTTATATTATGGTAACTTAGATATATTTGGATAATATAGATTAAAATTAGTTTCACCTATTTTTTACATTTTTAATGTGGTTACTAGAAAATTTAGAATTCTCTGTGGCTCCCCTAGGATTTCTACTAGGCAGCACTGGTCTAGAGTTATCCCTGAGAATATGACAGCTCCAAATACCTTCATCCAAACAAGTCCTCCAGAGTTAAACACACCACAAATTAGAATTGAGCCAAAAAATTTAGGTGTACCAAATTAGAAAAATGGCTTTACTTGTATATGCATTCACCCTCAAATAGCAGTAAGAACATTAATAAGTGATTCGTAAATTTTACGTTTCCAAACAACTTTGTAAGATACTAGACCATTCTACAGTTGAAAATTAGGCTTAAGGAAACTTCCCCAAGGAGGAACATTGTTCTTTAAACAGTGACAGTGTAATTGTTCTATGCTGTTTTCCAACAGGACAAAGTAGACATCAATTCATTCCATAAATATTTCCCAAGAGGCACATTGGGTAAGCCAAAGTTTGATATTCTGAAAGGCCCTGAAAGAATGTAAGATATCGTGTCTTTGAGGAGCCTAGAATTGAGGCACATGAACGTGTGTGACCACAGGTGCACTTTCAGAATGGTTTTAAGACCTCAGCAGTTTTGACTTACTTGGTATGTGAACAAAGGACAATAAAAATGATGGAAGCTGCAGCCCACTGGCTGGTAGACAGGAACTTCACACCAGGGCCCCTCAGTACATTCCACCACAACCATGCCACAGTGGATGGATGGAAAACGATGAAAATTCAGATTTTTACTGATGAAACCCACATTATATCCTTATGCATTTTTCAGTTCTCATTCTTGAAATATTACCAGCTTTATGCCAGAGCTTTCCATCAGCTGATTTATAATGTATCTTTATTATTTTAAAAACTGTTAAACCAGTGGGAAGATTAAAGGCAAACATTTAGTAGCAATTCGTATGATGGAGAGTGCTGAATGCTCACCCAGACCTGGTTGTCCATAATTTAATAAGAACAAGATCCTTGGAGGGCCGTGCTTGTTATTTCACAGTAAATTCAGAGAATGGTGGCTACCTACTGGGGACCAGCCACAGCGACTGCTATTGGTCCACTGGGAATATTAAAGCCCAAGAGGAAAAAATGGGTCCAAAAATATCCTTATCAGGGCAGCTGTGTCCCGAACCCTGACCATGAATACTCCTGGCCCTGAAACTTGCTAATGAGACCCTGGGGATCTCCCCAGCTTACTTCACAAAGGGAAAGGGGAGATATGAGTGGCTCCATAACCACTCAGATTTTACAACCATCTTCCAACTCTGGTAGTGTTGATTCATTCACTGTATTTTAAGGATTACCCAGTATAGCAACATTTAAAGAATACTTGGAAAATAAAGGAATCAACTGGATTATAGCATGCCCCATGTAATAACTGTCTATGCATAATTCCAAACCTTAGTAAACGTCCAGTTCTATGTATACCTAATAATTAGCACATCTTTCCCAGTCTTTATAGAGAATATTGCTGTGATTGAATATGAGACGCTCAGCTTGGTTTACACTCACGTTGTTGAGTTTGCTTATATACAGTATTATGAGGTGAATTCTCTGGCATAATTCATGGACAATGGTTTACTATGCTTTAAGAAGCTTATCACCAAGTTGTTAAATGCTTAACAGTAAGAGAACACACTTGCGGCAGCATCATGCTTGCCCCAGCATTTAGCACTAGTATCGAAACTCACAATATGGATTTGATTATGAAGAAAATTGAACATAGTGTATATTTTGGCTATTTTGATTTTTCATGACCTTTTCTATATAGGTGATTTGTCAAGATTAGTGTCTATAGATTTTTATTAATATTCTTTTGTTCTATTTAGTGCAGCTATTTTGCCCCCGAGTTACATACATGTAATTTTAACTTTGATGTTTAGGCCAAAAAGTTGAAATATTTCAGACATTTTCATTCTGTGTGCTGGATTTTTGAAAAAATATTTTCCATCGAGGTATGTGATTAATATACAATTTAAAATTTTTTAAAATGTAATTTTCTATGCATTTAAAATCTTTGGTCTAGACATTAAAACTATGCAACCATTGGTTTATGAGATCAACCATGATAAATCTGTACTTTAAGATCATGCCAGTGAATTCTATCTAATTGGAGTTCTTCAAATAAGCAGGAGTTCCAGTGTGAATGATGAGCAGGAATGACCTAAGTAACAAGGAGAACTGTTGGAAATGTGGGAACACTGTCATGGGTAACTTAGTTTTCACCCTTGTTGCATGTACAAATTCTGGTATAAAAAGCGAGTACTAAAAATGAGTGCCAGGTTAGCCTTAAGACTGTGATAGCGACAGTTAGCTTTGGGAATCTCACCCTTTGCTGTCCATTATGTTTTTCTCTTCAATAGCAGATCCAGCAGCAGGTAGCCAAGTTTTCTACTTTTTCATTTTTGTTGTCGTTCTGTCAGACCCTGCTCTGCATCAAAGATTGGCACAATTCTTGGTGACCATCTAACTCAGAATACGTTTGAGTGCTAAAAGGCTAAGCTAGACAGGACATGAGGACAACAGGCATAAGAAAGGGAATATCTTGAGAAAACAAGGCTAAATGGTGACCCTGACTATAAGACATTTAATTCTCTGTACAATCAGATTCATTATGTTTCCTCCCCAGCAGTATTTTCACATGAAGTGTCACTTCTAGTTGTGGAAGAAAAGCCATTTTCTAAAGTAAAATCACTTGGGGAATCTTTAGAACGATAGAGAAGTTTTGATTAAGGCCGAGGGATTGTCTTGAAGCAGACCAAGGGCATGATCACCTTCAGTCTCTACAGAAGTTGAACTGAGTTCTTCCCCTGTCTATTCCTAACCCTTGAAACATTCTTGGCATGTTTAATGTTCACAATGCTACATGACATGGTTTTTAATCAAAGCTGGCTTTATATTCTATCTTCATCACTGATAAGCTTCTGGACGTCTGGCAAGCCACTCACATTCTTTTCAGCTTCTGGGAACTTCTAAGTATTAAGTATGCTGCAATGGTTTCTCGGAGCAGGATATGGAGGGTCTTCCTAACTAAACCATTTTTAGAGATGCTTATGAGGTACCTAACAAGGTGGAATACTACGATTTAGATAAGCCCTTTATGAAGATTTTAAAGTTATAGGTGAATATATGTTGCAATGATAAAAACTGTTGGAATCATTATGCAGACAGATCTGCATAGAATTCAAGTAATCTGCTACATTCTGATGTACAGAAAAGAGTCCATAACTACTAAGAAACGAGATTGAATTATCTAAGATTTATATATTAGTACTATCCACAAGTATCTGCAGTTCAAAGTCAGATGTATCAACTTCAACATTCTCCAGTATTTCTCTGGTTTGAACCAAAACTTACTAGTAAGTCCAGAATCTATTTAAAGCATCCTGCGATTGATCAGCATCAAGACTGCAAACTTACCTTACACAGTATCTTCCCCAAACACGATGATCTGAATATTTAGAGAAAAACCTTACAGAACTAAGGTAGTACATGCAATTGTTCAGCATTTCCTTTTATGTAGTAAGTATGGGGAACTAAGAGGCATACATCAGACTTTCTAAACTGGAGGTACTCTATATTCTGTATTTCAAACTTGTTTTCTGAACTGAAACAGGAGAGTACAGGCAGGGAGGGTCTATGAATTCAAACAAGAAGGTACAGTGGATTAGGCGTGGGAATTACATCTTGTTGGCAGAAGGATAAGGGTCAGTCCCTAACTTATTGAGACTTTTTAAAATACAGTGATAGGTGAATCGTTTGAAGATCTAGAAATAGAACAGCCTGAATCTGTAAATGCCTAATGTCAGTTGACAGCAGCTGCATTACGAAGGCTGTTAAGAAGATAGAGATCCAGTGACTTAAATAGGAGAGCTTGCATCATGGTGATGGCTAGTACTCCCATTCAGGAGATACATTGACATCACTGTCTCTGGGGTCCTTGTCCCTAGAGCCTGCAATTACAGTTCATATAAAATGCGACAAACTCAAGAAAAATGTAACCTCTCAATTTACAAAGTAAACACCCAAGATAAGTCAGGTTGCTGGCAGCTGCAACTTAAATTGCTTTTTTCTCTTTTACTTTGTTCACGACATTGTTTTGAAAGTTTCTCTTTTTACACTTCCAACTTTCAGGCATCTCTCTTGAAATAGAAATCAATGTTTCTAAGGAAGTATTGTCTTGCAAAAGATACATTTTGGGCCATTCCCCATCACTCAAGTATTAGTATGTAATCATCCTGTCTTTCTTGTAACTTGTAATACATAAAACTTTCAGCATTGCAAGCATTTAAAAATATTCATTTTACTGATCTCAGTGTATATAAGATCTTTGAGTTACTTCAAGAAGACAGACCTTTTCTCATCCAGTATTCTCAAAAGGGCCCACAACGATTCCTGGGGGGAGCGGGGAAGGGTGGGGGGGAATTTTAGACCCTGCAGTCTTGTTGTGCTGCAATCTATGCCTGCATGATCTTGGCTTTCATGTAATTCATATTTACCTCACTGGTGTTTAAATTAGTGGGGGTTGGAATTCAGGTTTTCTGAGGCTGAAGCTTAAGCAATCTGGGGTATCTTAAAACAGGCTACAAATCATGATTGCACAGGTATAATATTCTCTTCAGTGAAACTCCAACAAATTACACCTTTAGAAAGCTGACAAAATACCACAAAAATACACAAACACCCCAACTTAAATCTTAACTGGTTGAACTTACCACTTTTACCATTTTTTCCAACAACTGGCTACATTACTATGTACTCTAATATTTTCTATAAGCAAGAAGAGATGATTCAATCCTAGTACGGTTGGTTGAAATTTAAGTTTTTTGGTGGTTTAGAAAATCATTTGGGTCTTTCCCCTTTGTTTAGGATTGAGGTCCAATCTGAGAAAGCCACTTAAATTACTTTCATATATGACCTGCCTTAGCTTCCCCAAAAATTGACCTTAGAAAATATTTGAAACTGAGAAAAATGATTCAGAGCAGTCTGAAGAATGTGAGCTTTACAAAACGTCTTAGGCTCAGAGACGCGAGCATGAGAATTCAATAACTTCCCTACCCAGCCCTGCTCACACATGCGCACCTGGGGTTGTTTAAAGGAATTTTATACTTTCCCCCCGGCACCGCCCCCCCGTAGTTTCCAGACTAGCTGATAAGTTACCTAAAATGTTACAAGTTGTACAATATGACCTTTACCAACCATCTTCATGTTCCCTACAGAGAATAGTGTATAGCTGATCAATAGCTACAAAAGAACAATGTCTAGTTGATCAATAGTTTATGTCAGCTTAGAACTTCCCTTTTCCCTTAGAGGCCCCATTATAACTGCTGTTAGTTGGAGCATTTATTTAAGGCTACTAGAATCTGTCTCCTCAGATTGCATTTCCCAATCTTGGTCCAAATATACGTGTTAACTTTGCCTCAAGTTTTTTCCTTTAGGTTGATACAACCATCACCACCATCCATCTCCAGGACTTTTTCCTCATCCCAAACAAATCTTCTGTACCCATTAAACATTAACTCTATTTTCTCCTTTTCCTCATCTCTGGGGTAAGGTGTATTCTGTTTCTGTGGATTTTCCTCTTCTAGGTACTGTAGCAAACCTGTACAATTGCTACTTGAGACGGTCACTACCGCAGTTACTGTTACTGCTTGAGATGCTCATTACAGGACTGAGCGAAGGGAGGGAGGTAGAAGTGGGGGAAAAACACTGTTCGAAGGCTAAGCTCGGGGAAGAAGAGCTCCCAGCTTCTAGTGAGCAAGGGCAGCCGCCCCAGCTTCTCAGCACTCCGCATGGATCGAGTAGGAGCAGGGAGGAGGACGCACGATTGATCAGCTGCGTGATTGATCGCAGGTGCACATGGTTGCGATCGGACTTTCCCACGCACCTAATGACACACTCGTGCCTGCGCGTGACGCCCTCCGCTCCACCTCCGCGCGGAAACGCAGTCTCTCAGTTTGCCAACATTCTGCATTTGTGAGAAGCAGTTTTGCTGCTTACTCGTCCGGCCTCCAGTGGTAAACCGAGCCGATCGCGACCCTCGCCCTTTCGGCCTCCAACCCTTTTTTAAATTATGTCTGTCCCTGTATTATGGGGGTTGAGGTCAGCGGGACTGCGGTCGGCCCTCGGTCCCGAGGGCACCCACACGGTTCATCTCCTGTAAAGACACAGGCATGTCCTGTCCCCACGTTAGTAACTCTACAAAAGCAAAAAGCTTTCTGGGGCTGCAGCCGGGAGCCAGGCCATTGCCGAGGCCTCCGCTCCACAAGCTGCGGCGCAGCTTCTGCCTCTTGGCCTAATTGCTGCGGGGTAAAACTTTCCGTTGATAGTGAAAGCAGCTTTTTCTGATGAACAGAAGGCACAGAGAAAACAAGTTGAGGCTTATCCTTCTCGTGCAACAGTGTAGCAAAAAAACAATCCTTAAACCTTCCATTTGCACTTACACAGGCGGGTCTGTTAGATGCTGTGGGTTGTGATAGCTTTCTCCCAGCTGTACTTCCAAATGCCTGACCTCCTCGCTTCTTACGTAGAGAAGGGTACAATTTACAGGGGATGAGCAACAGCTGCGCAATATGTTCTCCTGCTTCAAAACCCAGAGACCTTGGGACATGACCGCTACCTGAATTTCTCCATAAGCCGAAGAACTCCTGGGACTTCAGTAATGCCCCGCAAGTTAAGATGACTTCTGCCTAAAATTAATCCCACCTATCCTGTTGGCAAAGGTCCCCAAACGCCAGTGTGAGTCAGGTTGCTTTCCCCCCAAGGCCGGTTGCTTTCCCCTAAACCCGTTCGTTTGGGAGATCTAATCCTGTGCTTCCTACTGCGTGAGGAGGGGGAGTCAAAGCACCTCCAGAAACCCCCCTGAAACGGAGTTGCGGCCTGGACTGGGGAAGTCCTTGTTCGAGGTGCCCAGGTCCAGGCCCGCTTCTGGTTTCCCCACGGGGAGTGCCGTTCTGGTGAAATATAGAGTAGCATTGATTAGCCTAGTGATTTCCCTTATTTCAACGACGGCAAAGTCCTGGCACTTTTTCTGTTGAGAAGAGAACTGTTTTAAGACCCCTTCTGCCCAGAGGTCTGACTGCATTCTCTTTTGCAACGTCCAATTCTCTACACTTACAACTTTTCCACTCTAGGGCTCAACCCTTGGCTCCTTTTAGATCTGTCAACTACCAAAATTAGCCGTTGCCTGAATCAACATTATAAAGTAGTGAAGCTCAGTTCCCACATCTTGAAAAACTAAGAAAACCTCCTGAACTTTCTGCACACCTCACAGGTGCCACTGCACGTTCCCAATCCACATTTGTAGCCTTAATAAGCCATAGTCAAAGTGAGCATTTCTGTAGCCACAAAAGATGCTGCCAGCCAGTTTTCATTCTCCCTTTTGTCTACCACTTTTGATAGGTGCTCTAAGTGGGGCAAAATAGTCTCTCCGGCCCTGAAATAACGGAAAAGGTATGTACCAAACTCCAAATGAAAGAAAAAAATAACCAAATTCTTCCCCATGCTACCCTGATTCAAAAACTTCCTGTTCTTCAAACCTCTGGGGCACTGACAAGTACCTTTTTAGAGCACTAGCCTTATGTTGCTGCTGGCTGACTTGTAATGGGGTTTCTCGTTTGTCTGGCTAGTTTTAGCTTCTGTTCCAGCAGACCTTCCTCGTTCAAGTCTCTATAGGACCCTGTCTGTCCCTGCAAGTTTCTGCTAGTCTCTGCTAGTCTTTATCTATCCCTATCTGTCCCCATGGTCCCTGTTAGTTCCTGCAAGTTCCTGTCTTTCTCTACCTATACTCTGTCTTTCTCTCTATCCCTGCTGATCTATTTATCCCTCCAGGCCTCTTCAGGTCTGTACTTGTCCCTAGATGCCCCTGTTCAGGCAACACTTGTGACAGACTTGTACAATTACTACTTGAGACCATCATTACAGGACTGAATGAAGAAATGAACGTAGAAATAGTAACAAAAGACAGAAGAAAACGGTTTTAAGGAAAGGCTCGCTTAGGGGAAGAAGAGAGATCCCAGCTTCTAGTCAGTAAAGGCAGCCGCCCGAACTTCTCAGCCCTCCGTATTTATTGGGTAGAAAGAGCAGGGAGGAGGACGTCACGATTGGTCAACTACTTGATTGATTACAGGTTCACATCATTGCTATCAGACTTTCAGACGTACCTAATAACAAGAAACACTTGTGCCTGGGGCGTGACCGCCCTCAGCATAACCTCTGTGTGGCAAACGCAGTTTGTCAGTTTGCCAACATTCTGCATTTATGAGAAGCAGTTTTGCTGCTTACTCACCCAGCCTCCAGTGGGGTACTCAGTTGATCACGACCCTCACTCTTTCGGCCTCCAACAGGGTACCTCAAATGAGTAGAATCATACAATATCTGCCTTTATACTTACTTCACTTCATTTTCAGGGTTCATCCATGTGGCAGTAAATATCAGAGTTTCATTCCTTTTGAAGGCGGAATAGTATCACATTGCTTGTATATATCACATTTTGCTCATTTATTTGTCTATTGATGGACACAACATTTTGGCTACCGTAAATAATGGAGCTATGAACATTGTTGTACAATTTTCTGAGTTCATGATTTTAATTCTTTTAAATTTCAAAAATAATTTTGAAATTCTTTTGAATGGTATCTTCAATAAGTTGAGACACATACATTTGTTGTGTAAGTCACTGAGATTTTGGGGTGTTGTAAGTAAGTCCTATGAAGGACTCAGTGTGAGCAGACTGGTGCACTGTTCTCCCTTTTCATGGATGCATAGGAATATGGTCAGGGCTAGAATGACAACACACTGGCTATTTACCTTGAAAGACTTTAACATAATAATAAAGGGAGTTTAAAAAGGAACTGATTGTTTGAGATACTGAAGAAATAGAAATAGATTCAGAGATTAATGAAGATAGATACTTAGAGCCAGAACTACAGTTAGAAACAGAGATATAGATTCAATGTTCTCTCTCTCCCAAGATAGACAGATAGCTAGATAGATAGCCGGAGGATATGAATACAATTTGGCAAGCTGATTCTTAAAAAGATGATCAAAGAGCCAAGAATAGCAGCCAAGATAATGTTAAATAAGAACAACGCAGATAAATGGTCATGCCAGAAATTCAGACTTACTTTCAAGTTAAACCGTTAAACAGTATACAACTCACACATCACAAGACAAACCAAAAAAAAAAAAAAAGAATAAAGAGTTCAGAAATAGGTCCATGCATCTACAGAAATTTTATGAAACCTTATTTCATCTGACAAATGTTTGTTGAATTTATACTATGTACAGCCATCTATTGAACTATTAAGACCCTTGGGATATATTTGTTTGCAAAATAGGTGCCTGTCCTCATGAAGCTGCCCATGTAGCCCAGAGGCAGTGAACAATAACAAACAGAAGAAAGAAGTTAACTATATAGTCTGTCAATGTCAAATGGTATAGAGAAAGGGAAAAAGTAGATTAAGAGAGAGAAAGAATTGCCGAAGCTGTGGTAA
This sequence comes from Homo sapiens, assembly GCF_000001405.40. Classification (NCBI taxonomy): domain Eukaryota; kingdom Metazoa; phylum Chordata; class Mammalia; order Primates; family Hominidae; genus Homo; species Homo sapiens. The sequence continues at coordinate 303,100 of NW_025791755.1, forward strand.
CGTTTGTTGCTTTTTACAATGTCATCGATAGTACAGATCTCTTTGGAAGGATAACATTCATGCAGTCTTGAGGACATAAAGAATTTAGCCCTGAAGAGAGTGTTGGGGTGGGAGGGATCCCAAGTGGAGAAAAAAAAAAAAAACTGGTGGGACAGGCCTGAGGTGAGAGTGTACATGGCTTATTCAAAGAATGACAAGAAGGCCAGGATGGCTGGAGCAGTGAGGGAAACAGTGGCACAAGCAGACATCTAAGAGGTAATGGGGCAGAGGAGCATGTAAAAGGGCCCTGTAGAGCTTCCTGTAAGAATTTTAGATTTTACTCCCAATAAACAGTGAGCGACAGTGGGGTTTTAATCACCAAAGTGGCATGATCTGACGTTTCTTCAACTGTTGCTTTAGAAATAACCCTTAGAGGATTTAGGTAAAGCAGGAACATATTGTAGAAATGGTTGGAACCTAGATGTCTTCTGAAGGTAGAGCCAACAGGATTCCTTTACTAGTTGGATATCTGATTCAAGGGAAAGAGAAGCACCAGGGGCAACTCTAAGGGCTTGGATTGAGCAACTGAAATTGTGGACCTCCTACCACTGGGCCTAAGGAAAGACGCAGTTGCAGGAAGTTTAGGGTGGGAAGACAGAGGCACAGATCAGTTTGGTGAATGCCAAGTTTGCTTTGAACTGCAGTCATTAATACATAGATATTATTATATAGATACATGTTTATAGCTAAGAACCCCAATGAGCTTAACAGAGAAAAGGTACAGGAAAAAAAAGAAGAGGACCCATAACTGAGCTAGGAGCCCTCCAGTATTAAGAAGTGAGCCTGGAGAAATGACACAAGGAGAAAAAAAATTAAAAGGAAAAACAAAACAATGAGTTAGGAAAAGCCATCAGTATGGTGTACTTGAAGACAGATGAAAATGCAACAAAACAAAATACACATCTTCAATCGAGGGAACAGACAGTTATATCAAAACAAGGAAAAAAACAGACAAACAAAAACTGTGCTGATTGCCCTGAAAGATTTGATTTATCCACATAAAGATCATTGAAATGAGAGGTAAATATCCTGAATAGAGAGGACAGTGGAGGAATTGGGGAGACCAAGAGCAGGCAAAGCTTTTATGGAATGTGACTATAAAGGAGACAGAGATGTCACTGCAGATCTGGGAAAAATAAATTTATCAAGTTGTATTGGGAAAATTGTTTGTTCATATGGGGAATGGAAAATTTGCCTAAAGTCACATACCACAGATATGTTTTAGGCGGGTTAAAAACTAAAAGGTGAAGAAAGAAAAAAAAAAAACTATGAGCTTTTAGAAGATAGGATAATATTTTCTTGACTTCAGGTTATGAACAGATTACTTAAGACAAAAAAGGCTAATATAAAGTAAAATATTGGTAATTCAATTTACAAATAAAATTTGAACACTTGGATAGGTCACAAACTAGCAGATGTGTAACAAAACTGAAAACAAAATATCCAGCACATGTATAAAAAAATTCTTATGTGTCTATAACAAAAGGCCAAAATTTGATAGCAAATGGGAAAAATACTTGAATAGGTACTTTACAAAAGGGAAACTCTAAATGGCTAATAAATCAAAGAAAACTTACTCAACCTCATTATAAGTCAGAAAAATACATACCCATCAATTCTACCCATAGGTATATGCACTATATTTTTTGCATTTATATATGAAAACATAAGGACATAAATGTCAATAGCAAAAGCATTCATAATAGCCTGAAGCTGAAAATAACATACATACCAAATAACTATAGAATAAATATATCAATTAAGATATTCAATGACTTTGCATATGCTAAGGAAAATGAGCAAACCATACACGATAATGAGCTGAATATCACAAAAATTATATTTAGCAAAAAAGTCAAAAAAATATTCAAAGTAACTTCATTTTTAAAGTTCAAAAATAGACAAGAGTAAACTCTGTTGTTTAGAGATAGATACTGTATTAGTCCGTCCTCGTGCTGCCATAAAGACATACCTGGGACTGGGTAATTTATGGAGAAAAGAGGTTTAATTGACTCACAGTTGCTTAGGCTTCACAGAAAGCTGGCTGGGGAGGCCCCGGGAAACACACAATCATGGGGGAAGGTGGAGGGGAAGCAGGTACAATATTTACAAGGCTGAGCAGGAGAGAGAGAGTGAAAGGGGAAGTGCTTCACACTTTCAAGCAACTAGATCTCAGGAGAACTCACTCAGAATCATGAGCACAGCAAGGGGGAAATCCACCCCAGGATCCAATCACCTCCTACCAGCTACCTCCCTGAACACTGGGAATTACAATTCAACATGAGATTTAGGTGGGGACACAGAGCCAAACCATATTGACACATAAGATGTAAAACTATGAAAATAATAAAGGAAACTAGTCACCTATCAGCTAAATGACAGTACCTGATTCATTCAGGCCAAAATGTGAAAGTATTACTAACCACAGGTTCTTGGGCTCCTGTGCAATAGAAATGGACATGAGACCAAGCAAGTTTTCCAGACAAGGCTTTATTAAGGGCTTATGCTCGAACACAAGGGAGACAGCACTGGAATGACAGTTCTCTGGCTGGTTCCCCATGGCTAGGTCTTTGCTGTGTTTTAAGATGAGTGACGTGGATAATCATGAGGTATGGGAGGCTCTTTATACATGTGGAGTGGAGCACAGGATATGCAGGCACAGTGAGAAATTATGTGAACACATACATTGCATGATCAAAAAATGGTAGGTAAGCCCTTCCCTGGGTGGAGATTTTAGTATTATAATGAAGCAAGGGGTAAAGATCAGTCATTCTTCTGGTCTTAGGCACACGTGAGTGATAAGGTTAACTCCCTTGAATAAGATTTATGGTGGAATGCTGCTTATCTTAGTTTCTTCAAGTTATCCATCCAGTGGGTATCGTGCCAGTGGAGGTGGTGGTGCAAGGTCTGGAAGTTGGCAGGTACGGGAAAAAAATGTGATAGTAGGAGTGGGGGCCAAGCCCTGTCCTTACTGTGTCTCAGAAGTAGGTTATGTGTATTGATACAGTTCAGACACACATTCTGTCCCTGATATAATGAACTGATACAGTTCACAGACACATTCTATCCCTGATGTAATGAACTGATACAGTTCAGAGACACATTCTATCCCTGATATAATGAACGGATACAGTTCATAGACACATTCTATCCCTGATATAATGAACGGATACAGTTCAGACACACCTTATATCCCTGATATAATGAACTGATACAGTTCAGAGACACATTCTATCCCTGATATAATGAATGCATACAGTTCAGACACATTCTATCCCTGATATAATGAACGGATACAGTTCAGACACATTCTATCCCTCTTAGTGATGCTAAGCCTAAGAATCTAGGAGTATAGAAACTGTAGCAAAATCCCGTATAAATGGACTGCATAGACCACATGAGCTGTGTTTGGACTTCCCTGTGAATGAGATGGGTCACACCATAAGATGATAGATAGTATCAAAACTTTGCAAAGTTTATAATTAGTGCTACGGGGGGGGGGGGGGGGGCGGGGGGGAAGTAAGACATTTTTTCCTTGCTCATCAAAAGGTTCGTGGTTGGTAACTTCTAACAAAAGACAGATTAGCAACAGAAAAGTATAGCAAATTTACTTAGTAGAAGTTTCATGAGGCATGCGAGCCTTAAAAGTATGATTAGAACATTTAAAAATATGATATAATGGAAATAAACTTAGGAGGAGGACTTAGTGAGGTTTGTTCAGATTCTTAGTGGCCTCCCCATGTGACATTTTTTTCCCTCTGGGCATTGGTCAGGGCCCCTCTGGAATAAGGGGCTTATTACCTTCTCTCAGAACAGGTAGGTCTGAGAATTCTTTTGTGGACAGCTCTCAGGGGAGAAGGGCAGAAAAAATCAGAAAGTGACCTTTCTACCTCTTCGGTTTTCTCAGTTTTCTTCAGCTTATTTAGTATGTCAAGTTTGCATCTGATGAAAAAGCTGAACACTGTAAAATATTTAAAGAGGTTTATTCTGAGCCAATATGAGTGACGATGGCCAGGGAAAAGCCTCAGAAGATCCTGAGAAAGTGTGCCCAGGGTAACTTCTGTCTCCCTAAAACTTAGGGAAAGAACTTGCAGGCAAAGTCATAAATCAATACATGTAAAATATACATTGTTCCAGCCTGAAAAAGCAGGACATGAAGTGGAAGGCTTATAAGTCATACGTGGATGCAAAGATTTTTCTGATTGGCAATTGGTTGAAAGAGTTAAACTAAAGACTTGAAGTCAGTAGAAAAAAATGTTTGAGTTAAGGTAAGGGAGTTTGTGGAAGCTAAGATTCTTGTTACATATATGAAGCCTCCATGTAGCTGGCTTCAGAAAGAATAGATGGTAAATGTCTCTTTTTGGACCTTAAAAGGTGTGAGCCTCACAGTTTATCTTTCCTAGATCTGGAAAAGGCCTAGCTGCACTAATGGCAGATGCAAAATTTCCCCCACAAAAGATAGCTTTGCAGGGCCATTTCGAAATCTGTCATATAAATATATTTTGTGGTAAAATATTTTTATTTCTTTCAGTGTCTACTATCTGTCATGTGATGCTATATGGGAGTCAGGTTGGAATTTGGTATCTTATTGTTTTGTCAGTCCTGTGATCTCTATTTTAATGTTAATTCCACAATGGAGGGAGTGCAACAAGGTGTGCCCAATCCCCCTTCCCTCATGGCCTGAAATTTACTTTTTCAGATTGCTCTCAGCTCCACTGGCCAAGAAGGGGGATCCATTCAGTTGATTGGGCGGCTTAGGATTTTACTTTTAGATTTCATCAAGAAGCCATATTTGGAAGGATCATGTTCTGAACCCTGACAGAGGAGTTTAAAATTTTTCACATCTGTCTATTAACTCATCATAGACTAAACTAGTTTACGCAGTTAAATAAAATAATGAACTATTTCAAAACAAAATTTGACTCTAGTAGACAGTGTCTGCACAATCATAGCAATCCAGTTGTGAAAAATGTTATAAAAGAACCAAGAAATAACCATGTGACTACAAAACAATGAGGGATTAGGCATCAGAAGACTGAAAATAAGCAACATAGTTGAGTGTACTCTATTTTCCATCTCTCTCATTTTATTGTATTTACTCTTGCATTCCATGAGACAGTGTTTCTGCCTCTATCCAAAATTAGACCTCCTACTTGGGCTTTGTGTTGCAACCTCAGAAAATAATAATAATAATAATAATAAATCCCAAGCCCTGTCATTGACTGATTGGAAACTCTCTTGCCCAGGGAGATCTCAAAGAAATCTGAAAAACTAGTTCAGGCCATGCGGGAAGGGAGGTCAGACATGACTCCTTGTATGCCATCCCTTTGGAGTTTAGGCAAAACTGACCAGTATTGACATTAACACAGTGATTATAAGACTGACAAAACAGACTGTAGCAACAATAGCAGATTCCAACCTGACTCTGGTGTAGAATCACATGACAGGTAACAGGCCCTGAAGGAAATAAAATATTTTACCCCAAAATGTATTTCTTTGACATGTTTTGGAATGGCCCTGCAAAGCCAATTCTTCTGGGGGAAATCTGAATTCTGTATAGAATTTGCTTCCCTTTCTAAGTCCTCGTGAGGATCCAGAAAACATTTAACTAAGAGTCTGACACCTTTTACCATCTATCCTCTCTGAAGCCTGCTACTTAGAAGCTTTCATAGGTTGATTAAAAAATTCTTGACTGGCAGTTGGTTGAAAGAGTTAAACTAAACACTTGAGGTCTCTAGCATTACCATTGAATGCTAAATGACTGACCAGCATTAACATTAAAACAGAGATCATGAGACTGACAAAACAGATTCTAGGTGGTAATAAGATACTAAATTTCAACCTGACTCTCATATAGCACCACATGACAGATAGCAAACCATGAAGTAAATAAAAATACTTTACCCTGGAACATACTTATTTGACAAATTTTGAAATGGTCCTGCAAAGGTATCTTTTGTGGGGGAAATTTTGCATCTGTAGAGAAACTTGATTAATGCCGCTAAGCCTTTTCCAGATCCAGGAGAGAGTAAATGAGAGTCTGACATCTTCTAAGGTGCAAGAGAGACATTTGTCAACTATTCTTTCTAAAGCCTGCTACATGGAAACTTCATCTACATAACAAGAACGTTGGCTTCCAGGACCCCGTTATCTTAACTCGAGCATTTCTTTCTATAACAAAAACCTTGGCTTCCACAACTATGTAATCTTAAGCATTCCTTTCTACTGACATTTTAAGTCTTTAGACAAAGCTTAACTCAAACAGTTGCCAATCAGAAAATCTTTGAATCTATTTTTGACTTGTAAACCTTGACTTTAAGATGTCTAAACTTTCTGGAACCAATGTATATCCTTCATGTATTGATTTATCTCTTTGATTGTAACTTTTGTCTCCCTAAAATGTATCAAACCAAGCTATAACCCAACCACATTGGGCACATATTCTCAGGACCATCTGGGGCTGTGTCCTGGGCCATTTGGCTCAGAATAAACCTCTTCAAATATTTTAGAGTTTCACTTTTCTTCATCAACATTATTTGGTGCCCAATGCAGGACCTCAGAGAAGACTAAGGACTCTTCTCCCCAAAAGGAGTCATGTGAACTTGGAAATAAGGTACCAATTTGGGCTTGTTACCAGTGGAAAGTCTTGACTACAAGTTGTCCAGGTCCTGCTCCCAGACCTTGGTGTTTTCTCTTTTAGGAAGTTAGCATAAATTGGCCTTAAGTTCCCTGTCTCCAGGTCTCCAGACCATATTCTCCTGCTGCAGGCTTATTGAAAGCCTCCTGACTTTGAGGTTCTCCATAGGTGGAACTGGTAAGTAAGTACTCCTGAGCCACAGATCCCTTATGTAGTTAATAGTACTTTGGTTTATTCTGAGCTGGTCTTTTCCTGGGAACTTGTTTCAGATTCTAATTTTGGATTCACAGGTTCATTCTAGAGTTTTCTCCATTGCTTTTTTCTCCAAAAATTAGTCTCAATTGGTTCATCTGTGCATTTGCTTGAAAAACCTGATGTTTGTATAAGTGAATGAGAGACAACTTCTGAGCCCCACTGCACTGAAACCCACGCTACAGTCTGGCTCCTCCATTAAAAAACAAACAAACAAAAAAAAAAACTTGCAAAGCAAATTCTCAAAGATTGAGAAAAGACAAGGAGATGACCTCCTTTGGGGCACCCCTGGGGGTTTTATGGCACTCTACTTGCAAATGTTTGTGTAAATGTGAAGGTTTGAGAGCATGCTTGGTTTTCTAGTACTCTGGCTGGTTATGTATTATAGTCTGTTCTGGCACATTTTTAAACTGATGGGTAAATTCAGAGCTCAAAGTTGACCTGCAACTATAGAATTAAATATAGCATCTCCTAAATTCTCAATTTCTCTATTTTATTTTTCTGTTTTAAATGTACTGTTGCTTTTCTACTGGTTTTGAGATAAAACCCATTGTTTAAATTAAACCATCTTTTGCAAGCTGGTGAATCTGTATTGCTGTCTTGTGACTAGAGTTCTGAAATAAAACCTATGGGATCTTTGTATCTGTGTATCTATGTTGAGTTGTGTTTATGTTACATGTACATGTATTTTCTTATATGTTGTAACTGCAAGGTATCAAATGGGCTTAAAAATAAAGGATTACTCATAAAGTCCAAATGCTCTTCAAGTTCACATGACAAGTAAATCTTCAATAAATAAGCTGGCTTTATAATTATTAGTAAAATAAAATTTGAAATGCCTTCAGAATTGTCAGCATACATTTTTGTCTGGATTTATTGGTGAAATAGTTTTATATTTAGCGGTGTTTGTATTATAAGGTACCAAACTTTGTCATGAAGGTTATAAAACTTTAAAACCCATCCCTTAATGATCATTGTGTAATTTTTTATAAATAAGACATTTAATACTGTTGATTTATTGAAAATAGGTAAAACCTTAGTGGTTGGCCAAAAAAAAATCAAATAAACATATATTTAACATTTGGTTCTTATGTAGGTAAACACCTGAAATATTCACAGCCTATAAGAATGGTTAGCTGAAAAATAACTTTAATGATGACTAGCTTTGTCTAATATGTCAGTTTTTGTAAGTAACCTAGGAAAACTGTTTTAAAAAATAAATTAGGTAGCTTTAATGGCATAAATGCTTATAAATGAACTTGTCATATAATTTAAAATCTTAAAGTTAAAGTAAATAATACTCATTAAGTGTCTGGATCATTTCTAATTTAAAAAACAGAAAAACATATTTCTAAAATAATATAAAATGGTTCTCATCTATAAAATACTGATATATGACAGACAATTCAAGATTTACTACTTCCTAGGTTTTCACAAAAATTTAAGGTTCTAAGAATAAAAATTCTAGTTAATATATAATTCTGTATTTAGAGAGTACCAAAGTAAATATTTTTATGGAAAAGAAATTATAATAAAGACATAAAAATATGTTCTTATTAAAAGGAAAATAATCTTTGTCAAATTCAAAGGCTATTATACAAATCCAAAGATGTATTTATTTTTAAAAATGGGTAAAAAGTATAATTTTGTATGAGAAAGAGACTTGTATAGTAAATGTAGTTCTAAAATAAAACAACTCATTATTTAAGAGGGAAATTTTGGACAAAACAGAAAGTCCAAGTATGTCATAAATAGTCTGTGTAAGATATGATAAGGTTTATAAAGAGAATTTATGAAAGAAAAGTTTTTGGAGACTAAAGCTACTCTTTCTTAGATGGGAGGCTCAAGTAACTCCATCTTGAATGGTGATCTGCCCTATTGGCTTCTGATTAACTCCAGGGGAGAAGGCCTTTAAGATTTCCAGTTTATTTATTGCTCCTCGTGTAAGAACAGGTACTTATTATAAATCCTGCCCTTAGGTCAAACAACTTTTATGTTATCATACTTCAATTGTCCTACACATGCCTTCTGAATCATTCCTTCCCTATGGCATATAAGTCCTGGGTTTTGGGGTTAATGGCACAGGAATTTGCCATCTCATCTCACTGCTGCCTGAGACACACACATGGCTTCTGTTCATAAGTCCCTATTAATTGTTTCTGCCTAAGAAACTGTATTTATCAGCCTCTATCTTCAGCATCTCAGCTTCCTCCAACTTTGGATAGGTTTGTATAGACCTGCTCATTGTGAAACAATTTTGTATGTGACTAAGTTGTCGATAACTTAAAAAGAATTATTTGTATTAGTGTTTCTAGAGATTGGGATTTAATATTAAAAATACACAAATAGAAAAACTACCTATAGGGTACTATGCTTATTACTTGGAAGATGAAATAATCTGTACACCAATCCCTTGTGACATGCAATTTACCTATATGACACCTACACAAGTACTTCTGAACCTATGTAATTGGATTGTTTGTAATGCAAAGGATAAATGCTTAAGAAGATAAATGCCGCATCCTCCATGATGGGCTTATTTCACACTGCATGCCTGTATCAAAACATCTCATGTATTCCACAAATATATACACCTAACATATACCCACAGAAATTTTGAAAAATAATTTGTGGATTAAAACCAAAATGACACTCTAAAAAAATTAATTTTTTATGTAGCAGTATTCAGATGTGGGGCCTTTAAGAGGTGATTTGGTTGTGAGGCCTCTGCTCTCATAAATGAATTAATTAATTCATGGATTAATGGATTACCATAGAAGTGAGATTAACTTTATAAGAAGAAGAGAGATCTTGGCTAGCACATCAGACTGCTCAGCTCCCTCATCATGTAATGTCCTGTGCCACCTCATGCTCTGCAGGGAATCCACACTGGCAGAAGTGTCCCCACTGGTCCACCTGAGGCTCTGCAGGGAGTCCCCGCTGGCAGAAGGGTCCCCACTGGTCCACCTTAGGTTCTGCAGGGAGTCTGCGCTGGCAGGAGGGTCCCCACTGGTCCGCCTGAGGCTGTGCAGGGAGTCCGTGCTGGCAGGAGGGTCCCCACTGGTCTGCCTGAGGCTCTGCAGGGAGTCCCCGCTGGCAGGAGGGTCCCCACTGGTCTGCCTGAGGCTCTGCAGGGAGTCCACGCTGGCAGGAGGGTCCCCACTGGTCCGGCTTAGGCTCTGCAGGGAGTCCCTGCTGGCAGGAGGGTCCCCACCACTCATCCACCTGAGGCTCTGCAGGGAGTCCCCGCAGGCAGGAGGGTCCCCACTGGTCCCCCTGATGCTCTGCAGGGAGTCCCTGCTGGCAGGAGGGTCCCCACTCATCCACCTGAGGCTCTGCAGGGAGTCCCTGCAGGCAGGAGGGTCCCCACTGGTCCCCCTGATGCTCTGCAGGGAGTCCGTGCTGGCAGGAGGGTCCCCACTGGTCCTGCTGAGGCTCTTCAGGGAGTCTCTGCTGGCAGGAGGGTCCCCACTCATCCGCCTGAGGCTCTGCAGGGAGTCCCCGCAGGCAGGAGGGTCCCCACTGGTCCCCCTGATGCTCTGCAGGGAGTCCCTGCTGGCAGGAGGGTCCCCACTCATCTGCCTGAGGCTCTGCAGGGAGTCCCCGCAGGCAGGAGGGTCCCCACTGGTCCCCCTGATGCTCTGCAGGGAGTCCGTGCTGGCAGGAGGGTCCCCACTGGTCTGCCTGAGGCTCTGCAGGGAGTCCGTGCTGGCAGGAGGGCCCTCGCTGCATGTGGACCCTTGCCCTTGGACTTCTCAGCCTACATAATTGTAAGGAATAAATGTATTTTCTTTATAGAAAATGAACTAAGAGAATGTTATGGGTTTTCATAAAAGTGAATTTTTAAAATTCCTCATATTAGGAAACATAAAGAGGTAGTGGAATATTTATTTAAATATTGTTTTAACATAAACCCTACTATTTAATTATTCTACATATGCGCATTTTATGTGTGTTAACTAGAAACAGGGCTAGGCAGCCTTAGTGGAACTATGGTCTATTTCAAACTAAAATCTATGTATTAATATATTTATTAAATAGTAGTACTTAATGAAATTACTGAAGCTTTCTAGTGTCATAAACTGATGAAAATATAAGAGTTGGACAAGAGAGGGAGAGGTGTTTTCTCATCAACAGATTGGTTCATTTTGGACATTACATGGCAATGGAAAGGAAGGTGTAGTTCCCTGCCATGGTTTTAGCACAACTCTTTGAAAACACAAGCAGCAAAGTTGCCACTGTGATTCAGTGATTGAGAAAAAATTACTTAAATATTCTGAAATTTTAATAACACGTTAGGAATAAATGTTATATACTGTTTTTACATATAAAAAATAAAATTGATTACAGCTGTAGAAAATGAAACTCTAAAACAACTAGAAAATATATGGGTAAAGATTTGTCTAATGTATAAACAAAGACAACAAACAAAATACCATGTATTCATGGATATAAAGATGTCAACAATTGAAACCAGGGACTGCTAGATGGGGAACGAGTCGGGGGAGATAAAGGTTAGAAAGCTAACTACTGGGTGCTATGCTCAGTTCTTGGGTAATGGGATCACCCATAACTCAAACCTCAGCATCACACGCTATACCCAGGTAAGAAACCTGCACATGTACCCCCTGAATCTAAAATGAAAGTTGAAAAAACAAAGTAAATACTATGGAAAATAAATTAGGATTTGAAAAGAGAAAAAATATATATATATATATATTTGGGAATTAAAGAGTAGATTATTATTTTACTTGGAAAATTTTTTTGGATCTATGACAAAGCAAAAGATAAAGATTAGTAACATATAGCCATCACTTAGATATTATTAATATCAGAATAATGTAGACATATTTTTTAATTGCACACTTTACTAAAAAAGAATTTGCAGATAACACAAATACAAGACATTAATGATAAAAATGTAAACTATATCCAGAATATCTACAACAAGATCTCACTCTTACTGCTGAATTACAGAAAGAAAAAAAATAAATGATCATCAGTACTGTTGTGAATAAAGTAAAAAGATGTCACCAGGTTCTGCCCTCTGTCATGATAGATTGTTGAGAGGAAGCAACTTGGATATATAAATTAGAAATGAACACTTTTTTATTTAAAGACCTATCACAAAGAGAATCGAGGAATTCTTTACATAGATATTCATTTCAGTGTTGTTTTAGATAAGCAAAAATTTTAATAAGCCTACATTTAAAATAAGAGAAAAATGTTTTATAAATTCTGTTTCAAAGGCAAAATGTTATGAAACTTTAAATTATATCCAAAAATGTAATATTTCTTAAAGTAACTAAAGACATGAGCCTCTGTACACAATTTTATTTATGCAGATATAGAGCTATATATGGCATGATTCTATAGTATATATAGAATCTATGGTATATTCTATATGATATATAGTATATATACTTCTATAGTATATATAGAATATAAAAAAGATACTATATATTATCCATATTATATATTAAAAATATATATTGAAAATAAATTTTTATAGGAAATATATTTGATGATGGTATTGCAGATAACTTTATTTCTTCTTTTTGCTTCATATATATGTTAAATTACCTATGGTGCTCATAAACTGCATTTACAGAGCAAAAAAAGATATTCCACAAATATAATCAATGTAATCAAAACCACATAATGGCATTGATCTGAATTTATTATTTTTTACATGAGGAAAAACTGAACGCATAATATCATTTCAAAAACAAAAGCTGGGTGGACATCTTGAACATTCTTGTCCAAATGCCACAGTCTCAGGCCCTATTGCCTTCTGAGCCAAGTTGAGGTAAGTAGATATACTAGAATGCTGTGGAAACTGAGGTAATGAAAGAAGTGATACAGTTTAAGGAGACAGAACGGGCATTGTGTAGTTAATTCAGCGTGACTTGCAGACTTAACAATGCGATAAGTTCATGGTCATGGTCACAGAAACATGAAAGAGAAACTGAGTTCAGCTGATGTACCTGACCACATCCAGTGCACATGACCCTCGCTTTTTCCTGGCCATGCTGGATTTCTTGGAGCTGACACACTTCCTCAGCAGAAAACTCTCTCCTCTTTTAGTTATCCCTGAGTGAAATGATCCTCATCTGGTTCCTGCATCCTTCACTGCTGTCCTTAATTACAATACCCTGATCTTTTATGTATAAAACTGGTCATATGAAATAGTAGAACCCATTTATTTGTCCTTTCTTTGCTCTTGGCGTCTCTCTCTTCCACAGGCCTGTGAGCTCTATAGGAGGAGGGATATCATCTCTCTAGTTCACAGTATCTCCCCACATTATAGCACAATGCCTAGAGCATGGCAGTCACAGAATGCATACCTATGACACTGCTGAGTAGAAGTAGTCTCCCATAGTGCTCCCCAGACACAGAATATATACCTATGACATTGCTGAGTAAAAGCAGTCTCCCGTAGTGCTCCCCAAACACAGAACACATACCTATGACACTGCTGAGTAGAAGCAGTCTCCCATAGTGCTCCCCAAACACAGAATACATACCTATGACACTGCTGAGTAGAAGCAGTCTCCCATAGTGCTCCCCAGACACAGAATATATACCTATGACATTGCTGAGTAAAAGCAGTCTCCCATAGTTCTCCCCAGACACAGAATACATACCTATGACACTGCTGAGTAGAAGCAGTCTCCCATAGTGCTCCCTAGACACAGAATACATACCTATGACAGTGCTGTTGAGTAGAAGCATTCTCCCATAGTGCTCCTCAGACACAGAATACATACCTATCACACTGCTGAGTAGAAGCAGTCTCCCATAGTGCTCCCCAAACACAGAATACATACCTATGACACTGCTGAGTAGAAGCAGTCTCCCATAGTGCTCCCCAAACACAGAATACATACCTATGACACTGCTGAGTAGAAGCAGTCTCCCATAGTGCTCCCCAGACACAGAATACATACCTATGACACTGCTGAGTAGAAGCAGTCTCGCATAGTGCTCCCCAGACACAGAATATATACCTATGACATTGCTGAGTAAAAGCAGTCTCCCATAGTGCTCCCCAGACACAGAATACATACCTATGACACTGCTGAGTAGAAGCAGTCTCCCGTAGTGCTCCCCAGACACAGAATATATACCTATGACATTGCTGAGTAAAAGTAGTCTCCCGTAGTGCTCCCCAGACACAGAATACATACCTATGACACTGCTGAGTAGAAGCAGTCTCCCATAGTGCTCCCCAGACACAGAATACATACCTATGACACTGCTGAGTAGAAGCAGTCTCCCATAGTGCTCCCCAGACACAGAATATATACCTATGACATTGCTGAGTAAAAGCAGTCTCCCGTAGTACTCCCCAGACACAGAATATATACCTATGACATTGCTGAGTAAAAGCAGTCTCCCGTAGTGCTCCCCAGACACAGAATACATACCTATGACACTGCTGAGTAGAAGCAGTCTCCCATAGTGCTCCCTAGACGCAGAATACATACCTATGACAGTACTGTTGAGTAGAAGCAGTCTCTCGTAGTGCTCCCCAGACACAGAATTCATATCTATGACACTGCTGAGTAGAAGCAGTCTCCCATAGTTCTCCCCAAACACAGAATACATACCTATGACACTGCTGAGTAGAAGCAGTCTCCCATAGTGCTCCCCAGACACAGAATACATACCTATCACACTGCTGAATAGAAGCAGTCTCCCATAGTGCTCCCTAGACACAGAATACATACCTATGACAGTACTGTTGAGTAGAAGCAGTCTCCCATAGTGCTCCCCAGACACAGAATACATACCTATCACACTGCTGTTGAGTAGAAGCCATCTCCCATAGTGCTCCCCAAATTTTCCATTCTTCAGTCACTTTCAAAAATATAACATTTAAAATTTACGCTCTCCCTCTCCCCTCTCCCCTCTCCCCTCTCCCTCTCCCTCTCCCTCTCCCTCTCCCTCTCCCTCTCCCTCTCTTTCCATGGTCTCCCTCTGATGCCGAGCCGAAGCTGGACTGTACTGCTGCGATCTCGGCTCACTGCAACCTCCCTGCCTGATTCTCCTGCCTCAGCCTGCCGAGTGCCTGCGATTGCAGGGGCGCGCCGCCACGCCTGACTGGTTTTCGTATTTTTTTGGTGGAGACGGGGTTTCACTGTGTTGGCCGGGCTGGTCTCCAGCTCCTAACCGCGAGTGATCCGCCAGCCTCGGCCTCCCGGAGGTGCAGGGATTGCAGACGGAGTCTCGTTCACTCAGTGCTCAATGGTGCCCAGGCTGGAGTGCAGTGGCGTGATCTCGGCTCGCTACAACCTCCACCTCCCAGCCGCCTGCCTTGGCCTCCCAAAGTGCCGAGATTGCAGCCTCTGCCCGGCCGCCACCCCGTCTGGGAAGTGAGGAGCGTCTCTGCCTGGCCGCCCATCGTCTGAGAAGTGAGGAGCCCCTCCGCCCGGCAGCCGCCCCGTCTGAGAAGTGAGGAGCCCCTCCGCCCGGCAGCCACCCCGTCTGGGAAGTGAGGAGCGTCTCCGCCCGGCAGCCACCCCTTCCGGGAGGGAGGTGGGGGTCAGCCCCCACCAGGCCAGCCGCCCCGTCCGGGAGGGAGGTGGGGGGGTCAGCCCCCCGCCCAGCCAGCCGCCCCGTCCGGGAGGTGAGGGGCGCCTCTGCCCGGCCGCCCCTACTGGGAAGTGAGGAGCCCCTCTGCCCGGCCACCACCCCGTCTGGGAGGTGTGCCCAACAGCTCATTGAGAACGGGCCGGGATGACAATGGCGGTTTTGTGGAATAGAAAGGCGGGAAAGGTGGGGAAAAGATTGAGAAATCGGATGGTTGCCGTGTCTGTGTAGAAAGAAGTAGACATGGGAGACTTTTCATTTTGTTCTGTACTAAGATAAATTCTTCTGCCTTGGGATCCTGTTGATCTGTGACCTTACCCCCCAACCCTGTGCTCTCTGAAACATGTGCTGTGTCCACTCAGGGTTGAATGGATTAAGTGCGGTGCAAGATGTGCTTTGTTAAACAGATGCTTGAAGGCAGCATGCTCGTTAAGAGTCATCACCAATCCCTAATCTCAAGTAATCAGGGACACAAACACTGCGGAAGGCCGCAGGGTCCTCTGCCTAGGAAAACCAGAGACCTTTGTTCACTTGTTTATCTGCTGACCTTCCTTCCACTATTGTCCTATGACCCTGCCAAATCCCCCTCTGCGAGAAACACCCAAGAATGATCAATAAAAAAAATAAAAATAAAAAAATAAAAAAAATAAAAAATAAATTTACATCTCAGTTTTCTTTCACTTAGTAGCATTTTTGTATCCAATGTCTCTTGTGTTTTTGACTTCCTCTGAACTATTCTACAATTCTTGGAAGACAGAAAATTAATATTCAAGGGCAATGTTCCCCACATTCAATGTCCCTGATTGATATTATTCATCGAAGACTGCTACATCATCTTTTCTCCCTGCCATAAAACAGGGTTTTAAAACAATCGCAGATTTCACAATATTGTCACTTGGATGAATTACTATTTTTCAATGATACTTCCTGGTTGATAATTATTGATTATTGTGGTTTTTGCCATTAAAAGCAATGGCAAAAATTGCAATTACTTTTTCACCAACCTAATACTTCTTCAGTCACTCAAAAATACTGTGCTCAGGGTCTCACTGATTAGAGTGCATACTGGGAGCAGTCAGGTCTTGTTTATGCAATGATCTCCATTTCATGCATTCCTATTAATATCACCAAAGGATACAAGATAATACCCTGCTACTTTAGGGGATAACAGTATAGATACATGAAAGATAAAGTTTGCATTCAATATTTTATTCCAAATATTTTATAGAGCTACTACATAATGACAAAAAGGACAATAAGGCAGGAACATATAAATAAGCTAAGGTATCTAATGTAGTCATGAGGGTGTCCACAGGGGATGTTGTGATAACAGATTTAATGTCTTTGAGGACATTCCATTCAACATCAGAATATACTTTTATTTCAAAGACTCATGAATAGTCAGCAAGATAGACCATTTCACAGATCATTAAATAAACCTTAACAAATTTAAAAGATTCTAAATCATGTGCAATGTTTTCTCTGGCAACACTGAATCAAATTGGAAGTCAATTACAGGAAAACAACTGGAAAAATCTGTAACTACTTGGAAATTAAACAATATGTTTCTAAATAATCCACAGGACAAACAGGAAGTCTCAAAGGAAAATGTTAAGAAATTTATGAAGTTTTAATTCTATTTTTAAATTACATGCATATTTCATTAATTATAGTTGTTGTATGTGCTATGAAATAATTTCAGGTTACCTACAAAGCCTTAATTCTAAATCCAGCTAAAGTATCATTCAAAAATAAAGGCAGAGAACACAAGAAATTTTCAGATTTCTTTTTTTAGACAAGAGTTTTTACCATTGTCTGAAGGAACTATTATATTTAAAGCATAAATACACAAAGGCCAACAGTTTGGGAAAGAAGATAACAGCAAGAAATTTTTGGAGGCTGAAAAAAAAATAATTAGAATTGGACTTCTTAGATCTAAAAAAGCTGAATATTAATGTGGTCATAGAAGCAGCTCAGAAGCTTGCAGAATTATACTAGAAGAATCCCTCCAAAAGCTTGAAGTTGAAGTAATCAAGTACCTCTAAACAGTTCAAATAGGAGGCTTGTCTAAAATTTGTATAAAAAGCTGTTAGATCCTGATCCTTGTAACTACTTCATGTAGGTGGGCAGCTACTCCTGCCCCAAATGGTACAACCCTAGAAATTTACTTAATGGAAATGTTGAATGCCAGGGGCTCTGGATCAAGAAAAATATGAATGACACAAGTACATAAGTGAAACTCTGTATAAAATTAGGAGAAGCTGGGTGAGCACTACATAAAAACTCTGTACAAATTTTGCAGCTTTTCTGAATACTTAAAGTTCAACGTAAGCATTAAAAAATTAGAATAATGTTAATATTTTTGGTGGGGAGTGTGTGCTGATTGGGAGGAGTGGCAAGAGGGCTTCCGTGATGGTGATGTTCTGTCGCTTGATGTTTAGTACTAATATAATATATATTGTAATATATATTAGTATGGTTAGTACTAATATATGTAATATAGCTATATGCTATATTATACTATGTGCTTTATTATACTACTTAATATTAAAAGGGATTAAAAACCATTTATAATGTGCTTGTCTTTCTTAGAAGCCCTGTTGCCTCTTTCATTAAGTGATGAGTCAACTTGCTCCCTAAAATTCCCTTAAAATAGTCCTTGACCTCAAGAACCCTGAGTAGTCACTCAGGAACACTCACACCTGCTCTGGTGGGACAGGTGTCATTTGAGCCTTATCAGCTATAGCTGGTCCTGAGTCCACCTCCATAAATTTCAGGTCTAGAAGCTGAAGAAAGCTAGCACATTTTCCCCATCCTGGGCCATTGGCTTCTCTGACATCAGGGTCATAAGACTGAGGGTGAAAGTACTTGCTTATCTAGGACTGTATTTAAGTAAAAATATTAATCCATGGCAAATTATCTTATAGTTTCAGATGTTCATCTTATGAGAGAAAAACAGTGATAGCTTAATAACAAAGGTTTTATTATGCAATAAAACATTTACATTCATTTAGAATTATAAACAATATTTAATGTTTTAAATGTACTTTCAAGAACAGGAAAAAACATATATTAAGCATTCAAGTAAAATTTTATATAAAATAGTTGCAAATAGATAGGTCTAAGCAAAGAATTCTTTCTCCTGTGTTGTAGCACTTTGAGTAACTTTTTTCCTTGTTTTATAAAATTAAAGCAGGACAGTTTTTAAGAAAGACATTTAAAGCAATAAACATCTATTACATTGATAACTACAAAAGCATAGTTAAAAATGAGAAAAAATAATTTTACAAATTTTTATTTGGCAGCATATCGAAGAATTATATTTACAGAATTTTATGTTTTATTGTATTTTCCCAATTGTTTGCAATCTCTCTGGAAAGTAAAAGTGAGATTTGGGATGTAAAGTCCAGTGCCTAATGGAGAGGTCAGCCTCACACACAACTGCGATGGGCTAATGACAGTTCACACATCAAGACTCTTATCCTGAACCAACTAAGAATATCAGTGTTTCCACGAATCCTCTTCCCATCCCATCAAGTGAAAATCAGGAATAGCCAGTGTACATTTCACGAGCCCAGTCACCTGAGAATGGCAGACAGCCCATGTGCCAAGGGACTCACGCTCAGGTGTTCTGACAAAATAATGACAATGGCGATGATGATAATCACCAGCAGTGACCAAGAACTCAGACCCAGGAAAGAGCTCTGTATGTATTAACACATTGAATATTAACACAGGTGTAGAAACTGAGGCACTAAAACCCAGGAAAGAGATCCGTTTCTATCAACACATTGAATACTAACACAAATGCAGAAACTGAGGCACTCAGTGACAATCTCAGTAGATGCATTGATGGAAATTGTGTTAATTTCCTGACAGATTTCTAAAAATAACTAAGTGAAAGAGAAATATCCTTAAAATATTTGGCAAAATCTAAAACATACGTTCCTGTTCTAATAACCCTTCTGCTTGTTTTATGTTCTTTTTTGTTGACTGGCTAAATCAGGTACTAAAACTGTGTGCGTGTGTGTGTGTGTGTGTGTGTGTGTGTGTGTGTGTGTGTATGTGTGTGTCCTCTTCCAAAAAATTCATACTAACAGGAGTGCAAGGCTACAGGTTCAAGATGAGGTAATTAAAGCAGTTCGAACATGTGTGGAATGGGAAGGAATAAATCACCACAACAAGCTGCAGTTACACAACCTTGAAATATTTTATGAAGGTACTTTTATACTTTTATACTTTTAGTTTTTGAAGAAACATTTGCATTTCTATCTACATATAGTAGTGCAAATATTGTCTTTCTCCCATTCAACAGGTTTTTTTTTTCAGGATTTTTCATCATTTCATCAACAATTTTTTCATCTTTTTTTGTCATAAAGTATTTATGCTTTTTTGGGGTTTTGTTGCAGATCTTCTATAGTAAAGACCAGGATGTTCTACTTTTGCAGAAAATATATCTTCACAAAGAGTCTCCACATGGCTGTTTTAATCTCCTTATTCCTAAGACTATATATGATGGGATTGAGGAAGGGAGGCAAAACTGTGTATGTCAGAGCAATCACTAAATCCTGAATGGACAGAGCTTTTGCAATTGGTCCTAAGGCAGCAAAGAGCCCTGTGGTAAGAAAGAGCATGATGACAATGAGCTGGGGGGAGCAGGTGGAGAAGGCTTTTGCTCGACTCTGTCCTGAAGGGATTCTGAGCACCGTTGAGAAGATTTGGAAATAGGAGATCATCATGAGAATAAAGCATCCCAGAACCAAGCATGAGCTCAGGGCCAGGGTCAAAAACTCTACAAAGAAAACCTCACAGGAAACCAGGGCCAACACATGAGGGATGTCACGGAAGAACTGGTGGATCACATTGGATCTGCAAACGTGCTCCCGAAACATGTTGCCAGTGTGGACGGCTGCGTAGGAAAAGCAGCTTAGCCAGGTGGTGACTGCCATCTGATAGCACCCTCCTGATGTCATCACGGCTCTGTATTGGAGGGGGTGGCAAATGGCAACATAGCGGTCATAAGACATGACAGTAAGGAAGGCCAGCTCAGCAGATGCAAAGGCAGAGAAAAAATAGACTTGAGCCACACAGCCAAGATAAGAGATGGAGCTTCTGCGAGTCAGGGAGTTACGGATGGATTTAGGCACAGTGACTGAGATGTAGCACAGATCCAAAACAGAGAGGTTCTTCAGGAAGAAGTACATGGGTGTGTGAAGATGCTGATTGAGAGTGATGACCGCAATGATGAGCAGGTTCCCCACCAGCGCTGCCAGATAAATCAGCAGAAACAGCCCGGCGTGCAGCACCTGCAGCTCCCAGATACCAGAAAACTCCATCAGCAGGAATTCTGTCACTTTTGTGAGATTGTCCATTTGGCAGGGAAATCTGTGATCTGATTGTTGAGAAAAAATATACAATAGTTTTAAATGAGACAAAAAGTGAACACAGTGTGGTAGGAGTAATATCCTCCTAAATTAAATTCAATCCACTGGACATCTTCCACACTGCTTAAACAAATAAAATGGTGGGAGATTTTTAACATGGAAAGATCATAAAAAATATATGCCTAAGACTATGAGTTGAGTAACCAATTTCTAAAAGCTTTTGATTAGTACTGTTTTTCTATTATATGGAACTTCTCAATCTTGAAATTAAGATTTTTCTCATCAAATAATCTAGGGTGCTTATTAAATATGCAGAATTTCAAGTCTCAAGGCAAATATACTAAATAAAAATTTGTGGGATAAAACCAATAATTTGCTTTTCATACAAGTTTCTGGGTGATTTTTTAGTACAAAAGTTTGTAGTTTTAACTGTGGTTATACATCCTGGGCAGAGTCAACTGTCTTTAGCTATTTGTTGAATAAATTGGGTGGTAAGCCACTTTAAAATGAGGATTTACTGTTTAAGACATGGAATGAGTATGGAATATGATTTTAAAACCATTGATAATTAGCTCTGGTTTGGAGAGAGGGAAATTTATTTTGTGTCAATGTGCAAGACATGACAATAGTTATACTAACAATGCCATTACCCATGTGTTGCACCTTCTCTGTGCCCGATGCTATTATCTCTACAGGACACACCTTGGCTCAATTAATATTCATAATTGTACAATAAATTAAAATATGCCGTTATTATTCTTTTTCTCAAGATAAAACGGAGGCATAACAAGATCAAATAAGTTGCCCAATGCACTGAAAGAGCCAGCACCTGAGCCAGCATTTAAATCAAGGCAGTTCATTTCCAGGATGTGTTGCTGACCTCTGCATTCTAAGTTTTTTTCATAGAAAATAACTTTGACTAACATAAGCTCACAAAAATAACTTTTTTCTATATATTGTTTATCATATTTTGTTTATTTTCACTGGTATTATCTATATGTTTAAAATTAGTTTTTCTGCATCAAAGTCATGTGTGTTAGATCCTGTTCACATGACTCAAATATTCTCACTAAAAACAACTTATTAATTTTTTTCAAACTAGAGCCAACTTTAAACAAGTGATTTTAAAATCAGGTTACTGATCATCTAAGGTTTAGTTGCCTTATTTCATTAATGATAAACTCTATTAAGCACATAAATGCTATCCCTTGCTACCAGGCAAATGTGAAATGTTATTTATAAGACAGGTAGAACCTATGTTTTATGACAAATTTTAAAGATAATGTGAAATGTTATTTTTTATAGGACAGGTAGAACCTATGTTTAATGAAAAAATTTGAAGATAATCTTTTGTCCAAATGCTATAAATGATACAGTCACTTTGAAGCATTTCATTGTATCATTAAAACAAGTAATTGAAAAGAATTGCACTCTTGGCAAAGCGCGGTGGCGAACTCCTGTAATCCCAGCACTTTCGGAGGTTGAGGTAGGTGGATCACCTGAGGTGAGGAGTTCGAGACCAGCCTGACCAACATGCTGAAATCCCGTCTCTACTGAAAATACAAAATAGCTGAGCGTGGTGGCACATGCCTGTAATCCCAGCTACTCAGGAGGTTGGAGCAGGAGACTCGCTTGAACCTGGGAGGTGGAGGTGGCAGTGAGCCAAGATCGTGCCACTGCACTCCAGCCTGGGCAATAAGGGCATAACTCCATCTCAAAAAGGAAAAACAAAAAGAATTGTACTGTCACACAAAGTCAAGTGACGAGCAATACATATTTACAATGAAAATGACAAAGGAGCACTATCCCTGATAAACGACAAACTATAAAAACACATTAGCATAAACAATGAGCAAAGTATATGAACAAGGGCTCAGAAAACTGGAAAGCTAATGACCCAATAACAATTCAAAATGTGTTCAACTTTACTAGTTATGGAAATGCAAATTAAAACTTTAACATGATGCTATTTTGTGTCCATTGCTTTAGAAAACATATGTCTGGCAAGTAAAGTCTCGACAAACATGTGAAGGGACGAAGCTCTTTGCTGCTGCTTAGTTTGCTGTGTAAGCAGCCTACCTACTTTGGAGGGTCAACTGGAAATTTTGAACACAACTGAAGATGCGCAAGTTTGATGCAGCAATGCTCCTTCTCACAAATGTACACTTGAGTTTTAAAAAATGACATATGTGAGGATGTTTGCTCCATGACGTTTAAACCCCTAATTACCATCACTAGGAAAATGGATAACATACCCTACTTTATCCCAGAATGGAACACTCTCTAGAAGTTAAACTGAATGGGATACTCTACATCAATATTGAACATTTCAACATAGTTTTGAAAAAACCCCACAAACTATTACACAAAATATGTTCCCAGTCATATGCATTTAAACATTCAAATTGTGCAGTGCATTATTTATAAATACACACACATACATATATATATATATATATATACACACACACACAGATAAGCTTGTATAAAACAGTTACTGGAATGAATACAAATGCCAATAAATGGGGTAGCGGAGGGAAAAAATAAGTTGAAAACATTGAACAGTAATTATATCTGTAATATTTTAACAGTTAAGATCATTAAAGCAAACAAAAATATGAATAAATGATAAGCCTAAGTGCTCGTTCTTAAAAATCATTTGTTATACTCTTTCTAGATTTTGGATATTTCATATTTTTAATATTATTTATACATTAATGTCAAAGAAGCAACTGAAATACTTTTGTGTGTTATAAATTGCTTTTATATTTTATATATTTAAATTGCTTGTAAAATTCAGTGAAAAAAGCTCTCTTTTTTCCACTGTTTTCTTTGACATTATAGATTAAATAAAATACCTCACATATTAAAGTAATAATCTCAAAAAATATGATTAAACATTAATAAAAAAGTAATGGGGACTCAGGTGATTACATTCTGCATATTTTGACATCCATTATAATACTATTTAACAATGCAGAGTAACTTTTAAAACTGGGTTTTTGTTCTGACTTTTTAATAGAACTCAATGAAACAAGTAATAAAATGGTTGTTAATTGGTTTGTATTTAAAATATCTCAACCAAACAACCAAGAATTGCAGCTGTCCCATAAAACAAGGCAAAAGGTTACCCACCCTTCCAGCAGAATCAGCAGTGTACAGGAGTATACTATCTCCCGGGTTAGCTTGCTATCGGTAGATGTAAAATTCTACAAAACTGCCACGTGGCCAATTCCTTGTAATGTATTATCTAGAGAATGAGAAAATAATAATGCTCTTTCCTTGATTCTAACACTCACATTTCTGCACTGCTAAAGGAAAAGCATCATATAATTTATATATAGTTGTGTATATATAGTGCATATATAGTTCGTGTATATATATACATATAAATATACATGTATAGTATATATATACATATATATGTATAGTTGTGTATATGTATACATACATATATATGTATATATAGTTGTGTATATATTTGTGTACATATAGTGTGTATATATAGTTACTGTTTATTGAAAAGTTATTAAATTAATATTTTCCTTGAAAATTGTCTACAATTTGAAATTGAGGACATACAAAACAAATCTATAGGGATGCAAACATATTATCATTATGATATATAAGCATATATACAATACACCTATTCAAAATATTAGGCAAATTGATGTGCATTTATTAACAAAAACTTAGTAGTTAACACATTGGTTAAAAAGACACAATACATTTTCATATACATATGTGCATCATTGATAGATATAAGTTGAAAATTTTGAATATATTATTTTTAACCGTAAAGCATATTGAATTAAATATGTATAAAGATTTCCTGCTTCCAAGTCTGTCTATTTTAAATTCACACATGTGGTATGATGAGTAATAAGATTAAAAGAGACCTGAATTCTTGTCATGTTCTGACACAGCTGTTTTAAGTTGGGGAACCTACAAATACATTTTAATTTCAATTTACTGAAATGTAAAACTACACTCAACAAGATGGCCTCTGCTGCCCCACCTCTGAGAGCATTTGTATCTAATCTATATGAAGCCTTTTTACTTCAGTGTAGTTTTCTCTGAGTGGCCTGATGCTGAAGAGCTGCCCTTTATCCCACTTATATCAAGCAAAAGAGCAACACTGAGGAACAAAACCAATACACACTGCACCATGAGCTGCTTCCACTCTAGTCTCAAACTAAAAATAGATCTCTCCAAAACTGATTAAAATGATAAAAATTCAAGCAAACTGAATGCACTATTTTGTTTGCTTGTTTCATTGGAAAAAAATATGAAACATAATTACTAAGAGAACAATTAAATCACTTTAAGCAAACATGTCTTGATTTTTTTCTCATAAAAAATTTGAAATGATTGCTTACATAAATCTCATGTAGACAAATTCAATTTCCTTATTGGGTAAATATCTGAGAAATACAAGACCAGCAATACCTTGATTAAATAACATGTAGCTTCTCAATATGTATTCACTGTCTGGACCAATGATGATAAAGAAACAGTTCTGAAGTTTTCCTCTGTGTCTCACCAGAAGAAGTGACCCAATTTAACATGCAAACTCAGTGATAGAGAAAACCTGATGTATAATATATCAAGGAGACAATCTTCTCTGTTAGTTTCCCATAGAGACTGGGCCGCCACAGTCTGGAGGAGATTGGCTTCCAGAAGGAAGCCTGGGGGACGCTGGTCTCAGGAGGATGCTGCCTCCTCTGGGTTAAATTGTAAATTACCTGCTGAAACAGAAAGCAGAATATGGAGTAGGTGCCAACTGAACTCAGAGTCCGTGAGGAAGTGATGAGCATGAGATATAGAGATTTTCATTAAGAGAGTGAGGAGAGTAAACAGTGAAAAAAGTAAAGGATTTATATTTTCACATTTCATAAAATAATCTTCGATAAAGTACAAAACCCAGACATTTAAGTACTCAGAAAATAATAAATTGTTTTACTTCATCACTATGCCTAGTCAGTATGCCACATGAGAGCAGTTAAGTGCGTATACTCAGTTTACTTTGCAGTTACAGCAGCCTGTTTCTGTATTGCACATAGACTCTCAGAAAATTATTGGCTTAATGGAGACAATCATCATGCTTCTCATCTTCCTCCAAATCTATTTGTTCCACAACCAGTCACAGACCAAGAGGATGGGTAGATCTCACTAAATACGATCATTTGAAAATTAGAAGTGAATAGAAAAATCTGGCAGAAATTTAGGAGATATATATTTTATCATTTCATTTTTCAAATGAGGAAAGTGAGTCTTAATATAAAAACTTAAGACAAATTAAACTTAGCAGACTTTATTTGATCAAAGAATGATTCATTATCAGATCGCACTACAGATCAGAAGAAATTCAGAGAGCTCTGCCCAGCAGTGTGAACAAGCTTTTATGGGCCAGACATAGGAGCAAAGTAGAAAAATCACCTGCTTGCCTACAGCTAGACATCCGTCTTGTTTGAACATGGTGTTATTTAATTTTGGCAATACTATAAGGCAGTAGAAAAATATTGCACATATGTACATACATCCAGATATAGATAGACATGTAACAGAAACATTACAAATTTTTAGCCATGTGCCAGGTACAATAATACAAATCTCACTAATTTATTAAAGAATATCTGGATCTAAATTGTTTTTGGCTAATGCCACTTAAATGGCTAAAGCTTCTTACTAATATTTGTGAAAAAGATCATTAATGTTTTTTTATTTGCTCAGTTTCCAAATATCTATTTTTCTTACTTCTACTTCTGATGAGTTATCTACCCTAAACTTGCATTTTAAATAGATACCTATTAAACTCTAGAGAAGACTGTGTAGAAAATTTATATCTCAAAAGCACAGAGCTTGGACTTCCAGCTTAAATGCTTTAATTTGCCCAAACCAAGAAAGAAAGATGTAAAGACCCAGTTAGGGCAAGACAGCTAGGAAAAGCACTTTAAAGGCAAGGCTTCTGTAGATTTAAGCCAACGCTTTCTTCCTTATCAGAGTTTCCAGTGTTCTCTGTCCAGAGAGGTAGACCTTCTTACAAATGGAGATTCCCTTTAGGGATGTAAATTTCTCTTACAAAGAGTCCTCAAAATAAGCAGGTGAAAATAGTTTTTCTGCCAAAAAGTTGTATTTTGGAGATTTATTCTGCTAAATCAGTGGTTTTCCAACCCACCTTCTGTCTTTTAACTAAAATACTAAGTGGGTGGAACCCACTGAAGACTAGAACAAATATTTTGTGTGCCTGACTCACCATGGTTACTTCTAATCTTGCTCTATAATCACAGACTGGTACAACTTTTCTCTCCTGTTTTGTTTTCAAGATTGCAAGACTGAATAATATTTCCCCCCACCCACCAGAAAGAGTTTGGGGCATAGCAAAGATCATGACAACAAGAAAGAATTGGCAGAGTATGTGTTTAGCGGGAAGTTTCATAAGAGGTGTTTCAGTTGACTGCAGGGTTCCCATGGGAGAAGCAGGATTAAAGAGAGAAAACAGAAAAGACTCATTCTTACAAATGTTTTTCTAAATATGATTCAACTGTCAGTCAGATAGCTTCAGGTATGGGGACTTCCACATTTGATTTGAAACTTCCATTTTTTTTCTCTGGGGGATTGGTTGATTATTGCCCAGGGAGTGTAGCCCTTGGGGGCTTTCTCTAGTAGGTAGACAGGCCAGGTCCATCAGATGACTGGTATAGAAATGAAAAATTTCTTATGCAAAGGCCTGACTATTTAAAATACAGGTAAACTTCTTGGGACACGCGGTCCTTTACTTTTGAGGCAACTCCTCTGGGGTTCAAAATAGCTACAAGGAGGTCTTCTCAGTCCCCATAGCTGGCGTATTATAAAGGCATGCACCTCTTTGTCCTTTGTAAAAAGTCTCCCCACTGTGGCCTTTGTAACTTAAAATTACCTTTGGTCAGGTTCACTCATTTTTCTAGAAAAACACATGTTCTGGGTCCATGGTTCTTATACATAAAATATGCTGCAGTCCCACATGGAAGAGTTCTAGAGCCCTTGGATTCAAAAAACACATGATATGCTGTCTTCCAGGAACCTTACCTACCAGAGGCCTCCTACTGGACCCAGTCTGGTTTCTTTACCAGATCCATTCCAATTCTGAACCCAGTCCAGTCAACAAATTGCTCAAACAAAGTTAGAGCTCAAAACATAAATTTGCAGAGTTTGAATCCAAGAGGAAATTTACCCATAATCTTCAGTTGCAGCGTGAGAGCAATGGGCCCTAGTGGGTATCTACACTTGGGCATTCCTTGTTCCGGGGGGCCACTGGGTATCCTTCAAATCTTACTTCTAACACCAAATAGTTAAAAGAAAAACTTTACCAATGAGACAGAAAATTAACAGGCCTATTCAGGACTTGAACTCAGCTCTGGACCAAGCAAACCTAATAGACGTCTACAGAACTCTCTACCTCAAATCAACAGAATATACATTCTTCTCAGCACCACATAGCACTTATTCTAAAGTTGACCACATAATTGGAACTAAAACATTCCTCAGCAAAGGCAAAACAATGGAAATCATAACAAACAGTCTTTCAGACCACAGTGCACCAAATTAGAACTCAGGATTAAGAAACTCACTCAGCACCACACAACTACATGGAAACTGAACAACCTGCTCCTGAATGACTACTAGGTAACTAACAAAATTAAGGCAGAAATAAATAAGATATTTGAAACCAATGAGAACAAAGACACAACACACCAGAATTTCCGGGACACAGCTAAAGCAGTGTTTAGAGGGAAATTTATAGCATTACATGGCCACATCAGAAAGCAGGAAAGATCTAAAATCGACACCCTAACATCAAAATTAAAAGAACTAGAGAAGCAAGAGCAAATAAATTCGAAAGCTAGCAGAAGACAAGAAATAACTAAAATCAGAGTAGAACTGAAGGAAATAGAGAAACAAAGAAGCCTTCAAAAAAACAATGAAATCAGGAGCTGGTTTTTTGAAAAGACTAACAAAATAGATAGACCACCAAGCTAGGCTAATAAAGAAGCAAAGAGAGAAGAATCAAATAGACATAATAAAAAATGGTAAAGGGGATATCACCACTGATCCAACACAAATATAAACTACCATCAGAGAATACTATAAACATCTCTATGAAAATAAACTAGAAAATCTAGAAGAAACGGATAAATTCCTGGACACATACACCCTCCCAAGACTATACCAGGAAGAAGTCGAATCCCTCAATAGACCAGTAACAAGTTCTGAAATCCAGGCAGTAATTAATGGTCTACCAACCAAAAAAAAAAAAAAAAAAAAAAAGCCCAGGAACAGACGGATTCACAGAGGTACAAAGACTAGCTGGTACAGTTCCTTTTGAAACTATTCCAAACAACAGAAAAAGAGGAACTGTTCCCTAACTCATTTTATGAGGCCAGCATCACCCTGATACCATAACCTGGCAGAGACACAACCAAAAAAAAAAAAAGAAAGAAAATTTCACACCAATATCGCTGATGAACACTGATGTGAAAATCCTCAATAAAATACTGGCAAACTGAATCCAGCAGCACATCAAAAAGATTATCCATCACGATCAAGTAGGCTTCATCCCTGGGATGCAAGGCTGGTACAACACATGCAAATCAATAAACACAATCCATCACATAAACAGAACCAATGACAAAAACCACATGATTATCTCAATAGATGCAGAAAAGGCCTTTTTTAAGGCTGAGTAATATTTCATCTTAGGTAGATATCACATTTTCTTTATCCATTTATCCCTTGATGGATATTTAGGTTGCTTCCAAAAAGAATTAGAGCTTCTGCAGCTGCCAGAAAGTAAGCCATCAAAACAGCAGTTGGGTAACAGGAAGAATTCTAACACTCTTGAGCTCATAGGTAGAAGGGACCCTTCATTCATTCAACACACACTAACAATGCATTTATGTCCCAGGTACAGTGCTAAAGGCTGGAAGTATGTGGATCATGCATACATACACAGTCCCTGTCCTTTCAAAGTGTTCAGTCTCAAGGAGGTGTGAGTATGTTAGAAAATATTCTGAGGTGCCAGAATTGCACTAGATGCATTGATGACTTGGAGGGTATTGGTAGGGTAGAATGTTCCCGTCAGAGAATTAAGTATATAGGTACCCTTTCCTCAAAAATGCTTAGACTAGGTAGGGAAGAGGGTGAGGCACAATAGCATATCTTTAATTGGGTGGGGTGAGAACCAAAGAATCGGAAAAACAGACATTCCAGCTCCTCCAAGTTCTTCCAATCGTCAGAACTGTGGAACTAGCCCACCAGGCTTTCTCCAGTCACGTGAGCCGGGAGCCACCAGGATCTCATTGGCCAAGGCTCCCAGAGGGCGGGAAGAGCGGGAAGTGAGGACCAATGGGGCAGGCCAAAGGGACTGTGGAGGCCGACGCATGCGCAGTGCCCTCCGGCCTAGCCCGGCCAACCCGCCTGTCCCGGACCGCCCGGCGTCAGGTACGGGTTCACCAAGCCACCCCGCCCACCTCAGGACGCAGCTGCCGGTCCAGCTGCTCCCGCGGGCCCACAGCGCGCTGTGGAAAGGAGCGGACAGGCCAGAGGCTCTCTCGGGCCTACAAGTCTCTAGGCTAGGCAGTGTTTCCGAGTCCCAGGTGCCTCCAGAGGCCGAGCTCACAGCGCGGCCCACCCAGCATCCGGGGGCGCTGTGAGGGGCGCTCGCCCAGCAGCGGAAAGGCCATTCGCGTGGCGCGGGAGCGCGGGCCCGGCCGCCTGGGCGTGTCCCTTTCGCGGAACTGAGCTCACTGGCTCCTCTCTTCCAGACGGAGCGACGGGGCCGGCCGCAGCCTCAGCCACGCGTCCCTCGGTGGCGGGCAGGCTCCTCTTGGCCTGCAGCCTTACTTTCATGCCCTTCTTCACAGGTGAGCGGATGGCTTGGGGTCCTCCCGCATTTCCCGCAGCGTCGCTCTCTGCATTCCCGCATTCCCAGGTTCCTGCTGCATTCGTGAATTCCCTCCTGCATTCCTGTACTCTCCACTCTTCCAGCCTGCATTCCCACATTTCCACCCTCATTCCTGCATTCCCAACTGCATCCCCCAACGTTGCCACTTTCTCCCCATCGTTCCCACCTGCGTTTCCGCATTCCCACATCCCTGCTCTGATTCCCACCCGCATTTCTGAATCCCCACCTGCTTTCTCTACCCCAGTCCAGCCTTTATTCCGGCATTTCTGCCTTCATTCTCGCGTTCCCAGCCACATTCCCCTTTGCATTCTGCAGACCTCCAATCACCTTTCTTTGTTGGGCAGTGTACTCATCAGCACGGCATAAGGAAAGAGCAGACACGGCTCCTGCCCTCATAATGCTTACAGTCTACAGAACAGTGCTGGGGACACAGTCCTGAGTGTTGCCTTCTGATCAACCACTTAACTGACTGCCTGGCCTCAGGAAAGCAGCTGAGCTTATCTGTTCTTAGGTATCCTTATTAGAGTACTAAGAATATTGGTTCCTGCCTATTATAGTTGTAAGGAACATGTGAGCTAGTAAAGGGCTGACACAATGCCTGGCATGTAATAAGCTCTCATTAAAGAGAGCTTTAATGTTTGTCTGTCTTTCTCCAGAGACCACTTCATGTTGGGAGAATTGTGGGGAGAGAAAATGTTCACCAGTGAAACGTGAATCATGAGCCCTCATCCAAGTAGTTCTACTTCCCCGATTTCCCTGAAGGTTATAGGGTACTGTGTGAGCAGCCTCTAACTCTCCCTGGTTGTTCACAGAAGTAAGATGTTCTGGGTCTGCTTATCGGGAGGAGTCATTCAGTTAGTGCCACATAATCATTTTAACATTTCTCCCATTGCTGCCAGGGCATCCTGCATCACCTCCCAAGCCAGCCTCCCACGTCACCTGGGTGGTGTACTAATTCACGGCCAGGAGCACTGACTGTTCCTGCTCCCACGTCACCTGGGTGGTGTACTGATTCACGGCCAGGAGCATTGACTATTCCTGGCCACCTCCTTGCACCTTTCCTGGTTCCCTCAGCCTCTCAAAGTTCTCATCTTTCCTTTGATGAGAAAGAGAAGGGCAGACTGAAAATAGACTCACCACCCACCTGTCCTTTCCCCCTGCCCCATACTGGTGGACCAGCATCACAGTAAAAATAGTTACCACTTAGTAA